>NC_000007.14:116143142-116446172 GCF_000001405.40 Homo sapiens | reverse complement strand
TGCATTCCATATGAACATTATTAAATCTTTCATTATTTGTCCTATTCTAAATATAGTTGATGTAAAGAAATGACTGAGTACTGTTGATTTCCGTTCTATTCCAAATTTTAATTAGAAAGTGTTTGTGAGAGTTTAAACAGCATAGTTTGTTCCCAGAATTTTATCTCTTTTGTATCTTTTGCCCTAGTGACAAATATGCAAGACTTGTTTCATTTATGACCTTGTATGGTAGCCCCTTTGGTATGGATTAATTTGTTTAATGAGATGTTTAAGAAAGACAGCTGGTTAACAAATTATTTCCTCTCATGTATTTCCAAATTTGCGTTACTTAAAAGATGGCCTTGGAAAAAGGTCCTCATGAGTTTGAGATTTTTCTAGTGAATGCCAAAAGAAGTCTTGTTTATGGCCTGATTCTTCAAGGACACAGTATCTTTTTGTTTAGTATGCATCATTTTCAATATGATTTTCATGGCTGTAAAGGGGAAGCACATTATTTTCGTGTATTAATAGAGGCACCAAGATAGAAACTGAGAAAGGTGTGAGAACGTCTGTTATGTTTTCTAGCATTTCATAGTATGAAACCTTAAGACTCACATTATTAGTTAAGCCTTTGTATAATAACAGAAACTCACCTTTTGCCAAAATTATTTAATTATATATTGTTCATACCTTAATTATTTGATGAATGGATAAGGACGACTAGAGGCAATACCGTGAAATGGAATTTTGGGGGCATCTTGCTTACTCTTCGTGTGTCTTACCCCTCAACTAGCATTCGGGTGACCTTATGATTTTTGCTTCCACCCCAAACACACCCTTCCCAGCTACACCCCATGGCGTGCATTGTACCTACGATGGTACAATGCCATCAGCCCTTCCACTTTTAGGAATAGTTCCATTCCAGGCATTGTCTGATGCCAGGAACCTGCCAGGGCAGAAACAGATATGTTGAATGTTAACGTTTGATAGTTGTTTAATGTGTTATTCCTCTAGGTGTATTTCTATTTTTGTATAATAATGCTTGGAAAGGAAATACATACCTCATTCTAACAGGGAACTTGCTATCTGAAATGAGGATATATTTTTGGCAGGAAGTAATTTTACTTATAATATTATATAGTCAACAAATAATTGCATGTATAGGATTAACTGTGTGTGGTGCTTTCAGAAACTTGGTTAGATGACATTAGAAAGGGTCTCAGAAAATAGTATATAATACATGTGCTTAGGACTCAAAAATAAGTAGAAAGAAAAAATTAAGTTACAAGTACTTCCATACTTTCTCCCTCTGACCACGTCTATAAGAGAAATCTGAATTTGTTAGCTTGGTCTTTGTAATTTCTAAGAGATATGTTGAATCTGCCATCTTGGTTCCTTGCTTTCTGTGCCATAAAATCAGAGAATGGGGAAAGGAGAAGCAAGGAAGGGGTATCTGCACTAGAAAGATTTATTCAAGGGGGAAAAAAGAAAGACTTGAGGAGAAAGCAAAAGAATGGAGAGAGGTGAGGAGCTATACAAATTTTGTTTGGAGACTGAATTTAGTGGGAATTGAGAGGAAAAGGGGGAGAGTCTGATATTTAAGACAGATGCAGGGTGCGGGAGATATGGAAAGGAATGGGATAAATGGAATTTTAAGAAGTGTTGCTGTAGGCAACGATTGGACAACCTTTAATATCTTTCAAAAATGCAAACAAATATTGAAATTTCTTTGTGTAACTGCATCATGTTTTGTTTTGTTTTTGTTTTTTGACTTTGTATTCTTCATCTCCAACTCGGAATCAGCCACGTCTCCAAAAATTCATGTGTACTCTTAGTGAATAATGGTACTTTGAAACTGAGATCTGGGTTCTAGATGTGCTATGCTACTGGAATGTCCTTGCTCTTTGCCCCTTCAGCATATACCTACGCTGAGTATTCTAGTGTGCCATAATAAAAGGATGATGCAAGGTACTTAAACTTGTCTTTTGGCTTTGGCATAATGTAGAGTGAGGAAAAGAGAAGTTGTTTTAAATATATGACTTATGACTTATGTATGCTGTTTATTTGTATCTTTCTATAGCTGTGCTGTCCAAAATGGCAGCCACAGCCACATATGGCTATCTAAATTTAAAATAAAAGTTCAGTCCCTCAGTTATACTAACCATATTCCAAGTACTCAGTTATGACATGTGGCAAGAGGCTACTGTACTGGGTAGAGAGTAATAGAATATTTCCATCATCAGAGAAAGCTCTATTGGATAGCACAGTTCGACAGAATGCTGCCTCGTAAGGCAGACAAGTATATTTATTGGGAATTGTGTTTGTTCAGCTGGTCTTCGGAAATCCACAGGTATAGAATTATCACCAACCAGAGCCTTAATTCAACAGACACTGATGTGTATCTTCTTTTGTCACATTGGCTATTTTTCCCATTCATATGACATACTATATAGATCACTGCTTTGTTCCTGTGAAATATCCCTGTGGTTTTAAAGACCCTAATAGTTTGAATGACTTCCACTTATTGCAGACTTCACTATGTTCCAGGCGCTGTGCTAAGCACTTTATTTGCACTATCTCACTTAATCTTTATAACAACTTTATGTTTTAGATTCAATTAGTATTTTATTTAATCTTTACCTCATTTATAACAACTTATAACAACTTTATGTCATATGTACTATTAATATCTCAATTTTACACGTGGGAAAAGCAACATGGAGAAGCTAGGTCACTGGTTCACAGTCCCACAATAGGTGAGGAGTGAAGCCAGAATTAATTGTGGAAGAGTAAAGGTAGTGGAAGAATATGTATTTTTGATACTCCCTATGGGAAGCTTTCCAAATACTAAAACTTGGAAAAGGCATTGTTTTACTTTCATGAACAGAAATGCACCACAAAAAATTACACAGGCATTAGTCACACCTTTTTAGATTTCAGTTATGCATCATGCCTTAGTCACACAAATTCCTGATCTGGGAGTGTTTGTGGAAAAATGTTTATGCCCCCTCCCTCCTTCACCTCTCTCAGATACCAAACTTCCTTTCAAATTCCCAGCTTCTCAATAACAGAGTATCTTCCTAATTCTGGCTCAGCATCACTTTCCACACCTAGGACCCCAACACACATTCTTTACTCTTTTAACAATATAATAAAAAACTATTTAAAGATAATTTACATGTTAATGTCTCATACTAAATATGCATATCCATGTTTTAAAATTGTTTATTCTAAATAGAAGAATTTCTTGGGCAAATGTATATATTCTTTCCTTTAGAAGGTTTCACATTTTTTATTGGCATGTATTGATTTTACTTTTTGCATTGACTGTTCCTCTACCATTACACTTTCTTGTACTCCTTAACATTATATAAAAAGTATTTCAATGGTTTCTGAGCTCTTACATTTAACAGTGGAGTAGAGGTTTTCTTTCCTAAAGAAGTGACCCATCCGGGCCGGGTGCGATGGCTCACGCCTGTAATCCCAGCACTCTGGAAGGCCGAGGCGGGCGGATCGCGAGGTCAGGAGATAGAGACCATCCTGGCTAACACGGTGAAAGCCAGTCTCTGCTAAAAAATAGCTGGGCATGATGGCGGCCGCCTGTAGTCCCAGCTACTCCGGAGGCTGAGGCAGGGGAATGGCGTGAACCCTGGAGGCGGAGCTTGCAGTGAGCCGAGATCGCGCCACTGCACTCCGGCCTGGGCGACAGAGCGAGACTCCGTCTCAAAAAAAAAAAAAAAAAGAAAAAAAGAAGTGACCCATCCGTGAGGAAGCATAGTGGTCAGAGTCCTGAAGCTCAGCGCACAGAATCACTTTCTTGCTGTTTTCTACCCTTCAAATATTGCACTTTCTCCCTATCATAAAATCTGCCTTGGTGGCATCACCAGCTCAGGCTTCATCAGACCTGTTTGGAAACAGGTTAGACTGAACTGACTGCCTAAAGCTCCTTCAGATCTATATTTGTAATAAAGATTAACGTCTGAAAAACATATTTTGCCCAGCAAAGGCAAGCATCACAATATTATTGTGACATGTTTTTTCTTAGATGTTGAAGAAAAAAAGTTTTAAAAGATCCAGAAAGATATTTATAAAAAGAATTTAATAAAATTTCAGAGAATACTAAAAAAATTAGGCATAGTTAGAAATAAAAGTAAAAGAACAAAGATTTTACTGTGGCCTTTGGCCTCAACTAAAAAAAGTGAACTTGCCCTCTTCAAAATGCTCTTCACTTATTATATAGTCGTCATATAAAAGAAAAAAGACTGCAGGGAGATTCCATAGGTTCAAATCACTGAACTCTATATTTAGAGACAAAAACAGGAGAACTCTCATAATTCCAACACGAACCAGAAGTACAATAGTTTTAGAATCACCCAAATTTCCTTTGATATTCAGCTACACGGAGATCTGAAAGAATTTTCCGATCTTACTTATTTTGGAGCTGCAGCTGGATAATTAAACACATGTGGCAGAAACAGGAAGGCCTCATTTCCTCAACATTTTCCCACTCTGCTCTTTAAAGGGAGTATGAAAATATTTTTGTAAAAGGATGGGATTCCCTGGGTTTCCTAATAGTTGAAATGAGTTAGTCTACACTAAAGTGTTACGCTTCTCCCCTCTGGGTAGAGTACCTGTTTCTGTTAATTCAGTTTTCTTTTTTTAATTTAAAGAAATTCTTGGTAATTACTTATTGAGTAAGCATATTAATATGTAAAATGTAGTAGATTATTGTGAGATCACAGTAGGTCCATTATTAGCTATTGAAAGACTCAGAGGAAAAATTAAACAAAAATTAATCACTAATTACCTTCTATTTAGAAGTGGATTTCTACTTCAAAGTAGCATCACCTAACTTAGGAGAATTTATGACTTGTTTTTCATTTTACTTCTTTGCATTTTCAATTTTGCTAATGATGAATTTTTGATATTTGTGTGATAAAAAAGGAGGAAGAACAAGAAAATAAAGCATTTGCCTAATCCATTTTGCTCATGAGTCAAGGAGGGCAGGAGCTAACCCAAGGGCTTCAGTCTGGCCTTCAATACATCATTCTCTCTCATAGATAGGGTTTTTGCCATTTTCATCACCATCTAGATCAGTGTTGTCCAACAGAACTTTCTGTGATGATAGAGACATTCAGTATTTGTGCTGCCCAATACTCTAGCCACTAGCCACATGTGGCTATTGGCTATTGCACATTCTATAATGTAGCTAATTTGACAGAGGAACTGAATTTTAAATTTATTAATTTTTAATTAATTAAGATTTGTATGTCATGTATGGCTAGTGGCTTCCATATTGGGCAATGCAGACCTGGATTTATCCAAAACAAAAATCAGTCTCGAGCATCTAAAAAGTGTACCACAATTTGTGATTACACAAAACTGCATTTATTTACATATTTATTTAGACACTATAAGATACTAAGATTCTTACAGGATTTCATTGCATTACTCTTAATTACTCTTTAACTAATAGTGTCACAATGCAATTCTAGCTTACCTTTGACAAGTATGGCGTTTGATTTTACATGCCTCAGTATATTCATTTGTAAAATGAAGACTAAAATGAGTGCCTACTTCACAATGTTTTTATGAAAATTCAAGGAGTGAACACATATCAAGTGCTTCAGAAAGTGCCTGGTTCATGGAAAGTACTATGTAAGTGTAAGCTAGTATTACTAAAACAACTAGGCATTTGAATTTATGAGTAGAGGCCCTTTAATCATTATTATTATTTCTGGTAGGTGCAGTGAGTTTTAAAAAATCATAAGAGAGAGAGTCAGGGAGAGATAAGGGCTGAACATTGAGAAGTGGCTGAGGTCATGGGGAATAGACTAGGCTATGAATAGAATTCATGCTACTCCCAGAAGGCCAGTGGACATTGTTCCAAGACATATTTTGACATATTTGGCTAGTAGGTTGGTTTGTATTTTTTGATGTTAAGGAAAGGGGGTCGGCGGTGGTAGGAGAGAAACAGCAGTCTAAATTGCTAGTCATCTATCAATTTTTTAAAGTAAGTTTCATGAAGACAGAGAACATATCACGTATCATGTATCTCCAGCACCCTGTGCATTGTTGGTAATCTACAAATATTCACTGGATGAATAAATAGAAAGACTTTTAAAAGAAGCAGGACATTGTGGAGAGTGTGGCCTCATGCGTTGGTCTGAACATTGTACTACATGACCTTTAAGGTCTTCCAACTCTAAGATTACATGATTTCATGTATAAACAACACTTGATATTTTAGTTCCAGCCAAAATGTCTAGATATGAAGCTAATGTAATTTCCTAGGACTCTAAGCATTATTTGCTATAGCCACATAAGAAGTAGTGTTTGATTTAAACAAAATTAACATAAACGTGCTAGCTGACTTTAATATGGAATCCTGTTTCAGGATCAAAATGCATCAACAGATTCTGGTGTTAGTTCAGTGTTTTGCTTTTTCTTATCTTTTGGAACTGTCTAAAAAATAAATTAGATGTTTCTAGTGATCTGAATCAGTTAACAGAAAATCGGTAATGGAAATTTGCTTTGGGATACATTTCACACTCTTTAATACATGCTTCCTTTATCCATTGCTCCCTGTGAGGAGACACCCAAGCCTCTCAAGTTTCTTCTGCTACCCTGTGGGACCAACACTTATTTGACAAAAATCTCTTCCACAGTATCTATCATGGCAGGTCTGAATTTAACATGGCTTATGTGGTCTTCCAGGATCTGAGCTCTGCCAGTCCCTGTGACTTTGTGCACAGGCAGGGCTGTGCTGGGACACCTTGTGTTTTCTGAATCAGTCTTCCATCCTGGTCACACCTCTGCCACTACACCTGTCACAATCCCTCTTCTCTTCATTGAGAGCCATTTATTCCCCTCTACCTAATACCAACATGCCTGACAAACTCCATATCTTCCTGGAACACATCTTTAACCTCTCCTTGTTTTATTGCTCCCATCTACCAGATGTTTCACGGTATGATAACACTTATCACAGTGTCAGCTAGTTGTACATTTCTTCCTGTATGGGACTGCTGAACATTTTAATGGGAGGGGATGTGACTTAGTTATGGAACTCAGATGGCCACTCTAATAAGGATGTCATGAGGGTAGAGATTGGGTGTCTTCTGTTTACTTCTGTAAACTAAAAGCTTTAGAATACTATCTGGCTCACTGCAGTTGTTATTAAATGAATCTATACATCCAATATCTTTCATATAAGAGGGATTTAATATTTGGTGAATTGACCAAGTGGTTCAGAAGTTCTAGGTTCAGTTCTAGATCTACTGGCAGTCAATTCTTGATCTTAAGAGTTAACCTGGCTATGAAGTTTGTACTGAAATTTGCAAGTGGAAATATTGTATCATAGGCTTTACATAACATAATTATAAATAATTGATTGACAGATAGACTCTTCAGGACTAAAAGGACCTTGAGAAAGGCTGCCTCTTATTGGGGGATTGACAATGTGCTGGACACTGTTCTGGGCACTTTATGCTATTAATCCATTTAAAAAAATTCATTGTTACTAACTCATAGTATTGTGATATAAACATTATTATCCCTATTTTGCAGAGATGACACCAAGGCACAAATCTAAATGACTCCCTATGATCACATAGGTAGAGGGGTGTGGAACTGGGAGTTGGCCCAGGCTGTGTGGTTCCAAAGTCCTTTCTCTTAATCTCCATCTTAGCTGTACTTTTGTGATATCTTTAGCCGTTTTCTATGTCAACCACTTCCACCTAGTGGAAATGCTGGAATTTATAGGAAGGCCAATAAATCCTAGTTGAGCTGGGCTCAACCTCCCACAGCCCCCTCTTTCTCCAGATGTCTGCCTCATCCTCAGTTGGATGGAGAATCTGGTAGGAAGTCGGCTGTATTGCTCCAGGTGTCACCATCCAGTGGAAGAAATGGTGTCTTCAGTTGTTCCCCAGAGGAGAAAGCTTGTTTCAAAGGAGTGCCTACAAATATCTCCTCCTGTCTCACAGAAGTCATATACACTAAAAATTTGGCCATATACCCTACCAATGGCCAATGAATGTGCTTGTGCAGATCTGTTTATGCCTGAGCTGCCTGCGTCCCTTGTAGATCCAGTGATTGGAGTCAGCTTTCCCTGAGGCATATGAGCTCTTCATGGGACATGTGAACAAGAAAACGGAGGGTGATTGTTACCAAGAGATGGCAGAGAAGGTGGTAGGCCGGGAACTCCAATGCTCACTGTACTCATCACAAATTTGGTTAGAAATCAGTTTATCTTTGAGCCATAAACTTCAAAATCATATTCTAACAATCTCTTTAAAGTACCTTTTAAAACCATGTCTTATTGGAACTCTTCAGGGAAAACAATAAGACTACTAAGAAATTGGAATATTTTCATTAATTGTGAAAGAGAAAATTATTTGAAAATAGAACTGATAATTATCTGGCATATATTAATACTTCATAATTATAAAAACAGTATAATAAACTACAATGTAAAATGGTCTGCAGCATGGCTTACTACTCTAGATTTAATTTTTAATTCCATTCTGAGTCCATATGTAACTTAATGTGATTGAAAATTTTTCTGAAAAATGACTAGGACGTATTGCAGAATGTCGGCTAATTAGCCCATTGCAATCTCAGTTATCTGTTTCACTAAAATCGCGTATGCCACGTTTAATCCTGATCTCAAAGTTAACTCCAATAGACATTAATTCATCTGTTCATTTATTTAATAAGCCCTGAATTATTGAGGGCCAAGCACTTGGGGATAGAGAGGTGATTATTTGTCAGTCTTTGTTGTATTTGAATTCTCCATGGGTTCTTAGGATTCCTTTCTTTCTTTTTTCTTTCCAACTTTAATTTTACATTCAAGGGTTACATGTGCAAGTTTGTTACATGGGTAAATTGCATGTCAAAGAGGTTTGGTGTACAGATAGTTTTGTCACCCAGGTAATCAGCATAATACCTGATTGGTAGTTTTTTCAATCTTCACCCTCCTTCCACCCTCCACCC
Organism: Homo sapiens; assembly: GCF_000001405.40. Taxonomy (NCBI): domain Eukaryota; kingdom Metazoa; phylum Chordata; class Mammalia; order Primates; family Hominidae; genus Homo; species Homo sapiens. Next base: position 116,437,199 of record NC_000007.14, on the reverse strand, counting down.
TCAAACAGACCCCAGTGTCTATTATTCCCTTCTTTGTGTCCATGTGTACTTAATGTGTAGCTCCCACTTATAAGTGAGATCATGAGGTATTTGGTTTTCTGTTTCCATATTAATTCACATAGGATAATGACCTCCAGCTCCATCCATATTGCTGCAAAGACCATGATCTCATGTATTTTATAGCTACGTAGTATTCCACAGTATGTATGTATATATATATATATATATATGTGTATATATATATATATGTGTGTGTGTGTATATATATGTGTGTGTGTGTGTGTGTGTGTGTGTGTGTGTGTATCACATTTTCTTTATCCAGTCCACTGTTGATGGGCATCTTGGTTGATTTAATGTCTTTGCTCTTGTGAATAGTGTTGTGATGGATGTACAAGTGCATGTGTCTTTTTGGTAGCAAAATTTATTTTCCTCTGGGTATATACCCAGTAGTGGGATTGCTGGGTTGAATGGTAATTCTGTTTTAAATTCTCTGAGAAATCTCCAAATGCTTTCCACAGTGGCTAAACGTATTTACATTCCCACCAGCAGTGTATAAGCATTCTCTTTTCTCCACAATCTTGGCAGCATCTGTTATTTTTTGACTTTTTAATAATAGCCATTCTGACTGGTGTGAGATAGTATCTCATTGTGGTTTTGATTTGCATTTCCCTAATAATTGGTTATATTGAGCATTTTTTTATACGCTTGTTGGCCGTGTCTGTGTCTTTTGAGAAGTGCCTGTTCTTCGTTGCCCACTTGTCAATGGGGTTGTTAGGTTTTTGGTTGTTGACTTGAGTTTCTTATAGATTCGGGATATTAGACCTTTGTCAGGTGCATAGTTCACAAATATTTTCTCCCATTTTCTAGGGTATCTATTTACTCTGTTGATAGTTTATTTTGCTGTGCAGAAACTGTTTAGTTTAATTAGGTCCCAGTAGTCAATTTTTGTTTTTGTTGCAATTATTTTGGAGCCTTTTTCATGAAATCTTAGCCTGGGTCAATATCCAGAATGGTATTTCTAGGGTTTTTATAGTTTTAGGTTTTACATTTAAGGAGTCCTTTCCACATTTCTTGTTTTTGTCAGCTTTTTTGAGAATCAGATGGTTGTATGTGTGAGGCTTTATTTCTGGGTTATCTAACCTGCTCCATTGGTCTATGTGTTTTTGAACCAGTACCATGCTGTTTTAGTTACTATATCCCTGTAGTATAGTTTGAAGTTTGGTAGTGTGATGCCTCCAGTTTTTTTCTTTTTACTTAGGATTGCTTTGGCTATTCAGGCTCTTTTTTGGTTCCAAATGAATATTAGAATGTTTCCTTCTAATTCTGTAAACAATGTCACTGGTAGTTTAATAGGAATAGCATTGAATCTATAAATTGCTTTGGGCATTTTAATGATTTTGATTCTTCCTATTCACAATAGTCACAAAAAGAATAAAATATCTAGAAATACAGCTAACAGGGAGGTTAAAGATCTCTACAATAAGAATTACAAAACATTACTGGCCAGGCACGATGGCTTGCACCTGTAATCCCAACACTTTAGGAGGCCAAGGCGGGCAGATTGCCTGAGGTCAGGAGTTTGAAACCAGCCTGGCCAACATGGTGAAACTCCATCTCTACCAAAAAATACAAAAATTAGCAGGATGTGGTGGCACATGCCTGTAATTCCAGCTACTCGGGAGGCTGAAGCAGCAGAATTGCTTGAACCTGGGAGGTGGAGGTTGCAGTGAGCTGAGATCGTGCCACTGCACTGCAGCCTGGGTGACAGAGTGAGACTCCAATTGAAAAAAAAAGAAAAAGAAAAAAAGAAAAAATTATTGAAAAAAATCAGAGATGACAAAATGAATGGAAAACATTCCATGCTTATGAATAGAATTTCTTTCCTGAGAGTTTTTCTCCTAATTCTGCCCCTCCCTCCCTAAACTGAGACTTCTTACTTCCTGCCGACAGAGCAAATTTTATAAAACTCAAATTCAATTATATGGTATTTCTGCTTACATAACTTTAATAACTTCCTGATACCTACAGGAAAATATTCAAAATTCTTAGAATGTCTTAAAAATGCTTTCACAAGATGGTCTTGTCTTAAACTTCCCAACCACATCTTGGGACACTTCACACATACACTCCTGAACTTGCCATACTGAACTTCTTTCTCCCTGTGTGGTAAACAGGATTTTTTGTTTTAATGTCATGCCTTTGTACATTCTGATCCTTATTTCTGGGATATCCTCTTCTACTCTTCTCCACCTACCTAAATCCTATTCATGCCTCAAGAACCAGCTCATACATTAGTCACTCTGTGGCTACTTCTGTAAGACTGTTAGGCAGAGTTATTAATACTTGTCTTTATTATATTCCCATAAAATTTTATGTGACTCTATTTCTGTACTTAACACATTGGCTTGTAATTTTTTACATGCCTCTTTCATGAAGAAAGAGATGCGATTTGTCTTTGTAATACCTCAGCCTAGGCACATGGTACCCAACGAATACTTTCTGAGTTATCATTTATCAATGCACCAATCTGAAACAATACATTGACCACTGAGCATTTTCTTTTATTGTTTCAAACAAAAAGTTACTGAGTGCTTTCTCTGGGCCAGGTACCGAGTTAGTATGGCATAGAGGCTTTGCTGTATTTGAAATAATTCAGGTGTTTGTTGGAAAGTTTGATGTTTATTTTGGCTTTGGTGACCTTCTATGGCATATCAAAGTGAGAACTGTCATTGCCAGAAGTTGATTGTGTGCTATTATTTTTCTTCCTGTACATAGAAATTTCTTGATAAGGCAAATGTGATTTGATATCCTTCCAATATCACCATTAAGATGATGGCAGTCCAGTACTGAAATATTTGACATTGCCCTCTTTTTTCTCAGGTAATTTCACGCCTCTCATGCAGTTAAATATAACAAACAAATAAAACAAAGTGATGTTTTAAAAGTTCATTGAAGCACAAGCTCTGGGATCCTAACTTCTAATTCTAAATCCATCAAGGCATGCTGCCTTTGTTCATGAATATTCTTATTTTAAATATGCACAAAACATGAAAAACTTATGTCATTTCCCCATCATGAAAATAATACATTATTAACACCACAGTGAAAAATTGTCAGGTGATATTTCAGAATTGATTCAATTATTTCCAGTTACTATGGAAGGTATTAATCTTCCTTCTAATTAATAATTTTAGAAGCAGAATTGGACCTTCTTTTTAAATTTCCAAGCAGTGCTTTGTTGCGAATGGCTTTCTCACAAAGAAGGGTTTTGATTTTTCCTTCTGTATAGTTACTTGTTCTTTGCCTCAAGGATGAATATATTTCATCAAAGCATAGAGAAATGCTATTCTTACCAAATGATTATTCCATCAAATAAAATTAGGACAACACATACTATGCATTTAGAGAAATTGGGTTTTTGAAACAACCCAAAGCTAGGTTAATGCTGGATAGTCATTTCACAAATAATGTAATATTGCTGTAAGCATTAGCAGGTCTAAGCAGGGTGGTCTGAATTTTGATGTTAAGAAGACAGAATTTATCTTCCACATCTTCAGTGAATAAACATGAAGTCCAGTACATGTTGAGTTTTGTGTTTCTTAGTTTTGAACATTAGAGAACTAGGGTGTGACATTTTGTGGTCTCTCTTTCAAGTCCTGAGGAATGTAGTTTTGCAGTACAAAGTGGAGAATTAGGCAATGAAAAACAGAATGCAACAGACATAATTGTTTTAATATGTCACTGCCAACTGTCATTGGCCCTAGTGGGAGGACTCAGATGGCACCCCTGTCTCTAAGGATTGGCTGGGGATCTTCACATTTCATCCATCATTTCATCACAGATCATCTCAGCCTCTCCTGAACTGTGACCAACTGGCTTACTCAAGGGACTGGATCTGCTGTCCCGACATGATGGCAAGCTGCAGCACATCATGCAGATTAAAGTTCAGCCTGCCTCAGACTCAGGATAAAAACACATTTGGGACAGTCTCGCTCAGCCTCATTGCAGAGACAAGAAATGTATGGTAAGATGGCATACGGAGTATTAATTTGTTCAAAATGCTAACTGATGTGAACTTACCATTTTCCTGTTGAACTGCCACCATCTCCCTCATGGGTAGTGGGGAAGGGAGCCCCTGCTGCTGAGGAGGAGTCCACTGGTGAGAACAAGGAGCCGTATTCTTAGCTTCCTCAGTCAAAAGACATCTTGGTACGAGACCATAACGATTTGATGTAGGCCCACTGCCAAAGAGAATATGTGTGTCTTTCTGCACTTGCTCTTTAGCAAAAGGCCAAGAAGCAGTAAGTTTCTCTTTGTGAATTTCATACTGGATAAAATGATTTCATAGGAATGGAGAGCTTAGAAAATAAGTAAGTTAGAAGCATTGTAGGGACCACGTGTTATGCCACTCCCTCACATTGGGAGTCTGGAGTGTGTGTGTGTGTGTGTGTGTGTGTGAGTAGGACATGATACAACTAACTTTAAGTGGGAGTATGCGAATCAGTCATCTCATGTCCTGCCACTCATCTTGAATCTTGGAAGTTAGGAGGCTCATATGACACAGGGACAGTGGAATGGGAGAATCCACATCTGAGAGAAGTGGCAGTTTGGCCAAGAGGTCTTGGGACTGGGAAAGTAGTAAGCAGAGAAGTGAGTGCACTGTGTCAGCAGTGGGTTAGGATTGGCACTGCTGCAATCCAGGTGGGTGGCAAAAGAGAACCCAGCCACTTCCAATTGCCCTGTGAGGGTATCATATGCTTCACACATGCCATCTAGCTCCACACGAGTCAAGTGACATCATTAAAAGGATGTCCGCATAGGATGGAGACAGAGGGAGACTGAAAGACTCCCTGCTCTACGACCACTGCAGAGTGGCAGTTCTTTTAGTACCACCCATTCTCTGGATCCCAGGAGTGTGGGTTAGGGCTAAAACAAGAGTACATGAATAAATACAAAATTAGGCTTAACTAAAAAGGAATCAGTGAATTGAATGGAGGAAAATGGAAATGGACTAAATTCAGATTTTTAAAATAGTATGCAAAATGAGAGCTCATGATAGATAATTCATTTGTTAGAAGAAATAGTTTTACTTCAGCATCTCTGAGAATTTTGTGGAGGATTGTATAAAACATGCACAACGCACATGTGGAACAATAATCAGGAGACAGCAAGATGGTAATTATGAGTGTGGATACAGTCATGTATTGCTTCACTGTGGGGGTATGTTCTGAGAAATGCATCATTAGGCGACTTTGTCATGCAAACATCATAGAATGTACTTACACAAACCTAGATGTTATAGCCTACTACACATCTAGGCTTCGTGGTATAGCCTAGTGCTCCTACACTACAAACCTGCACAGCATGTTACTGTGCTGAATACTGTAGGCAACTGTAACACAATAGTAAGTATTTGTGTCCTTAAACGTATCTAAATAGAGAAAAGGTAAAATAAAAATAGGGTATAAAAGATAAAAAATGATACACTTATAAAGGGCTATACTACTGTAGACTTTATAAACTCTGTAGAGTTAGCCTATACTAAAAAAGTTTTTTATCTTCAATAATAAATTAACTTTAGCTTATTGTAACTTTTTTACTTTATAAATTAAAAAATTTTTTTAATTTGATTTTACTCTTTTGTAATAACACTTAGCTTAAAAAACACATTGTAAAGCTGTACAAAAATATTTTCTCTCTGTAAATCCTTATTCTATAAGCTAAAAAGCTTATTTACTATTTCTAAAAGTTTTAATTTTATTTTTACTTTTTAAACTTTTTGTTAAAGGCACAAGCATACACATTAAGCTAGGCCTAGACACAGTCAGGATCATCAATATCACTGTCTTCCTCCTCCACATCTTGTCCTATTGGAAGGTCTTCAGGGCAATAACATGCATGGAGTTGTCATTTTTTGTGATAACAATGCCTTCCGGAATATCTCTTGAAGGACCTACAGGACCTGCCTGAGGCTATTTTACAGTTAACTTTTTTTATAAATAAGTAGAAGGAGTACATTCTAAAACAATGATTAAAAAGCATAGTAAATACATAAGGCGGTAGCATTGTAGTTTATTATCATTATCAAGCATTACTACCTATATAATTGTATGTGCTAGACTTTTATATGACTGGCAGCACAGTAGGTTTGTTTACACCAGCATCACCACATCCACGTGTGTAATGTGTTGCACGATGACGTTACCACAGCTATGATGTTACTAGGCAATAGTAATTTTCTAGCTCTATTATAATCTTATGGGACCATCATCTTCTATGCCATCTGTCATTGCCTGGAATGTTATTATGTGGAACATGACTGTAAATGTATATATACCTATACATATATATGCATACAAACATATGCATATATGAGCACACATGTATATATATTCAGAATAATCTGTTTTTGAATGCAAGAATTTTGTGAAATTCATGAATTCATGTCAGAAATGTAGTCATGATCCGATTATATTGAGGACATTTTTAAGGTGCATATTTGTAAAACTGTATTTAATATAGTGGAGCCAGTTATAAGCCACTTAAGTCCCTTTCCTTTCCCATGCGTTTGCTGAAACAGGAGGTGGTTTTTTTCTTTCTCTCTGTTTTTTTTTTTTTTTTTTTTTTTTTGCAGTGTTTTTTCCTCCATGATGCAGGTTGGTAAGCATATGTGTTGGGACCTGGTGAGACAAAGAGAGAGAGAGAGGGAAACAGAGAGAGAGAGTGAGAGAGAAAGAGAGAGAGACAGGGAGAGAGAGAGAGAGAAAGAGAGAGAAAAACAGAGAGAGAGAGAGTGAGAGAGAAAGAGAGAGAGAGAGAGACAGGGAGAGAGAGAGAGAGAGAAAGAGAGAGAAAAACAGAGAGAGAGAGAGGGAGAGAGAACCAGAGAGTCAGAGAGACATAGAGATAGAGAGGTCCCAGGAGCAGCAGAAGCCCTCAAGCCCTAAAAGGAAGTCACTAACAGTCTCTGCTCTGCAGTTGGCCTGGTAGCATAGGCCACCCTTCCTCCATTATAACTGATCACAAACTCCTATAATAAAAGCCTGTAACCACAGCATTGCAAAATAGAGATTCTCAAACATACAAGAGATCACCAAACAACTGAGAAAAAACAAATCGAGGAAATAGAACTGATAGAGAACAGAATACTTAAAAAATATATATCATTAATATCCCTGAAAACACTCAAGAGATAGCATATTAATAAAATAAGACCAAGAAATTCTAAGAAAGAAAATATGTCAAAAAGTAAACATGTATGAGAGTCAAAATACTTATCAATCAAGAATAACAAAATAAGCTGGGTGCGGTGGCTCACGCCTGTAATCCCAGCACTTTGGGAGGCTGAGGCAGGCGAATCACCTGAGGTCAAGAGTTCGAGAGCAGCCTGGCCAACATGGTGAAACCCCACCTCTACTAAAAATACAAAAATTAGCCAGGTGTGGCGGTGGGCGCCTGTAATCCCAGCTACCCGGGAGGCTGAGGCTGGAGAATCACTTGAACCCGGGAGGCAGAGGTTGCAGTGAGCCGAGATCAAGCCACTGCACTCCAGCCTGGGTGACAGAGCTAGACTCCGTCTCAAAAAAAAAAAAAAAAAAGTAACAAAATAAAGTGTAGCAATATTATCAGTTAAAATATAATCTAAGGAATATTTTAACTTAACCTAGGGTAATTATTGATAAAAAAGAAGCATAATCCACCAAAATAATGACAGTCATTAAACTTAAATTTTAAATATATAATGCAAAGATTGATAGAATACAAGAAACAAGTAACAACTACAATCGAATGTAAAGTATTACTATGCTTTTCAAAATTCAATTATTTGAGTAAACAAAAATAAGAATTGCTATAAATTTTTTTAAAAGAACAAGTTTGATTAGATATCTCTAAGAAAAAGAGAATATATGTATTTTTCAAACTTTCCAAATTAAATTAACCAGGTAGGAAATTTGAATTTGTAGCAAATTCTAAAGAATATGTCATATATGCTACACATATTTTTCTTTTAAAAAAATGTTTTTTCTGTCTTTGCTATCTGTTCCCACTGTTTTTTTTATATATATATATATTTTTACACACAGGAAGGGGAACATCACACTCTGGGGACTGTTGTGGGGTGGGGGGAGGGGGGAGGAATAGCATTAGGAGATATACCTAATGCTAAATGACGAGTTAATGGGTGCAGCACACCAGCATGGCACATGTATACATATGTAACTAACCTGCACATTGTGCACATGTACCCTAAAACTTAAAGTATAATAATAATAATAATAAAATATTTTTAACATAATACATTAAATAAAAAAATTAACAATTAAAATACAACTAAAATATCTTTTTATGGAAACTTTAAAAGACTTATTTAGAAAACTGTTGGCTAAAGAGTAAATAAAAATGAATAATAAATATTATAAGTGAACAATGAGAAAACAGTACATTACAATATGTGAAATGTGGCCAAAGCTGTAGGCAGAGGGAAAATTTTAGCCTTAAGTGCATTTGTTAGAAAAGAGAATATATTGGGGGAAAAAACGCTAAGCATTCATACCAAATGTGTAGGAGGAAAAGAAAAAACTTGAATTGTTAAGAATAAAAAGTAGGAGAAAGTGGAAACTTAGTAAATGTACAAATTGTTTTTGGTAAAATACAGAATCTGTGGATTGGTCAAGATAAAAAAGACAGTACAAGTACATAGTATAATATTAGAAATAAGAAAATGAACACAACTAAAGGTAGAGGGAAGGTTTTAGAAAGAGAAAATAATAGCAAATACAACTTTGTACTATTTTATCTGTAACTTGTATAAACTGTGTAGGCAAAAATAAATAATCTAATTGAGTACATCTTGTTGTTCAAATAATGTTTGCCTAGGGCCACTGGTGACCATCTTTCTGGACACCTGGAGGAATCTTCTTATTTGCAGTAGAAGAGAATAATGCTGCACCCAAAGAGAAGCAAAGCTAAGAGATATTGTTGAAATAGAGATGACAGGAGAGAGAAACAGAGAAAGAGTGAGCCCTGGCCAGAACCACTCTGTTTGGTTCTCCGGTATGGTTCTTGGAGTTGTATTAGAGAACACAAACTAAAGAACATAGCAAAAAAATGGCTTCTGGAAACTCTCATGCTTGATGTCTAGAAGAATACCTTTATAGAAGAATATAATACAATAAAAGGTATTAAGTCCCCACATGACAAATGGCCAATGCATTCTTTCAAGGAAATAGTGCATCATGCCCATATCTTGTTTCCTACATTTCATTTATTTGTTTCTGAAACATCTCGGACAAGACAAATATTCTGCAAATGTTCATGAGAGTACTTATTTCTGGAATTGTACTTTTTTTCTTCAACTATTAAACTCCTTAAAGTAGGGAATTAATGCCTATACACCGAAATAGAAAAGTGATTAACTTTAATGGAACCACATGTTGCTAAGGATGGAAATAGATTTGATTGACTTTGGGCTTTAACAAAGGAATTTTAGTCATAGTCTTCAGCATTCTCTTTTTTTTTAAACCATGACCCAGGAAAAATCTTCCCAAGGACTGTATTTCATCATACAGAACAGAAAATGGTTAATGCAGGTGCACGAAAGTAATTTTCAAATCTATTTATAAATGAAACATGGATATGTGTGGTGCTTTGCAGAGGGAGAAGAACAAGAACTTCTAAAAAACCTATATATAGTCTCTGTCTTAAATAGGTACCTTTTAGGCAGTAGTTTCTCATCACTGTTTGACTTAGAAGTTTTGTGAGAAATGTCGTATCCAATTTCAACATAACATTGGAAAAAGACTTATTTTAAGTCTGATCCTTTGGTTCAGGTGCTGCCAGGAAAACAATTTAATATGAAAAGACCCTCCTTCATATGTCTGAAAAACAAGCACAAGAAAGAAGCCCGAAAAAAAAATCAGATTACATTAAAAATCATTAGGAAGTAACTCTAATTTGGGGGGGGGTTCAAACCAGGTTTCTTTTACATAGAATTTATACAGGAAAAAAAATCACCATCATACTGATCGTATATGTAAAACTAAGGCTTCTATTCTCCCCCATCATTTCATTAGCTACACGAGTTTGAATAATGGATTAAATATGAAGATCTCAAAAGAGAAAAGTATCTAAAATTGAGTTTAAATCAAAATTAAACATCCAAATTGACACCTCAAGTCCAACAGGTCCAGCTGACCCTAGGGAGATGAGACAGCAAGTGTAGGGGATTCAGTCATGAAGAAGGAACAGCATTGGAGATAGTCTTGAGGACAGTTCATCCTAAATGCTGCCGTTTCTATGCCAGAAGACTCCTTACCTTTCTTTTTCTTTTATTCCTATGGATGATTCTTTCTTTTTCTGAGGGCTCCACTCTTAAATATTTGTTCTTTTGGTCCTAGATATTTTTTTCTTATCTATGACTTGGCTTCATTTATCAGGTCCAAATGTTGACCTCTGCCGTGGATGGCAACTTCATGCCACATTTTCAGTGTAGTGCCCCATCTGTATTTATTTACTTTATAATAGAGTGTTGGCAATCTCCTGGAATGCTGTTTTCAACTTATCTTTATGATTATACTCCTGAGATAATACAACTCACAGCTACACTGAGTCCATTAAAGTTATGGTGACATTGGCTTTAAGCCCAGCTAGAAAAAAAAAAAAATATGCCTTGACTTCCAGTGAGTGGAATTTCTGAGTCACACATCCTCGCCCTAGTGTCATATGCAGATGCATCCTCAGAAGACCTGAGCAATTCTGAAGAGGTATTTCCATGTCTTAGTCAAGGATCTCCAAAACAATTAGCTAATTATTTAATTTATTCAAAACATGTTTTTTATCTTCATGTGGTGTCATAAAATTTTCATTCCAGGAGACCTTGCTTGATATATTTATTACATAATTTTCTAATGAAGACAAAAGGTCCATAAGGGACTATGATCCAGGATTTTCATTTCTTTTCCCTGAGGAGCCAGGTACTAACTCTTGATCATAATTTGAGAAAAGCAAGGTTATTCTACACACTTCTCACACACCGTTGGTGGAAATGTACAATAATCACTTTGGAAAATAACTTGGCAGCTTGTAAATCGTTGACCATAGACTTGCTATATGATCCAGTCATTCTATTCCTAGATATACCACATATTCAGACCAAAACTTACAGCTGCTCTACTTTAAAAGTCAAAACCTGGAAACAACCCACATATTCATCAACTGGTGGATGGATAAAACAAACTGTGACATATTCCCACAATGAAATACTATACAACAATAAAAGTGAACCATTGATACATACTGCAACACAGATGAATCTTAAATATTTATGCTGAGTGAAAGAAGCCAGAAGGAAAAGAGTATATACTACATGATGTCATTCATATAAACATCTGTGACATGAAACCTAATATGCAGTCTCAGAAAGCCGATCAGTAGTTCCTGGGGAAGGGGTGGGGAGTGGGACATAAATATAACAAAGATAAAGGAAAACTTTAGGAAGTATAGAAATGTCTATTATTTTGAGTAGGTAATGTTTTCACAGAGTAAACATGTCAAAAATTTCCAAACTTTATACTTTAAGTATGTATAATTTATTGTATATCAGTACTATCTTAATAAAGCTGTAAAACAAAACTTTGTTCCTAATGAATGGTTACCTCAAAAATGCCAGACTAAATTCCATAAATGAGAGTACAGACCTATTTTCTCTATATGCAAACTTGCAATCCCTTAATTGATGTAGAAAGACAGTATTTGTTGAGAATATAGTCTTTGCTCACAATTCTTTTTTTAAAAAGTGAAAGAGTCTCTTAAAGTGCACTGAGCTTGGTACATTAGTCACTTTCATATAAAATTATAAGTAAAGGTCTTTTCCACGTGGGTTGTGTGGGGAGGGAGTCAGGATGAGAGAATGTGCCTTCTGCTCGTTTTTTTTTTGTTGTTGTTGTTGTTTCTCATTTTTCAAAAGGCAATTTAGACAGATTTGACATTTTCTTAAAAGACAGCAGATATATTGAAGTGGCTACAAATGGGGGGTTTAGGCTGGGCATGGCGGCTCATGCCTGTAATCCCAGCACTTTGGGAGGCCTAGGTGGATGGATCACCTGAGGTCAGGAGTTCAAGACCAGCCTGGCCAATATGGCAAAACCCCGTCTCTACTAAAAATACAAAAATTAGCCGGCCATGATGGTGTGCACCTGCAATCCCAGCTACTCAGGAGGTTGAGGAAGGAGAATCGCTTGAACCTAGAAGGCGGAGGTTGCAGAGTGAAGATCGTGACACTGCACTCCAGCCTGGGTGACAGAGTGAGACTCTCTCTCAAAAAAAAAAAAAAAAAAAAAGGCTGGGCACAGTGGCTCACACCTGTAATCCCAACACTTTGGGAGGCAGAGTCGAGTGGATCACAAGGTCAGGTGTTCGAGACCAGCCTGAGCAACATGGTGAAACCCCGCTTCTACTAAAAATACAAAAATTAGCCAGGCATGGTGGCGTGTATGACTGTAGTACCAGCTACTTGGGATGCTGAGGCAGGAGCATCACTTGAACCCAGGAGGCAGAGGTTGCAGTGAGCCGAGATCTCACCACTGCATTCCAGCCTGGGCGACAGAGTGAGACTCTGTCTCAAAAAAAAAAAAAAAAAAAAAGAGTGTGGGTTTTAGAGTTAGCCTCTTCTAGCTCAGATCCAGCTCTGCTCACCTTTGGTCAGTGAATTAATCTCTCTAAGCTTTAATTTCCCCATCTTAGAGATGCGGATAATAGAAAAACATATCTCATAAAGTTGTTTTACTGACCAAATAAGATAATGCATAAGAAACCTTTAGCATAGTGCCAGGCATAACACACAAAATGTCAACTATTATGCAAAATCCTTGACAAGTTCCCAACTATTATGCAAAATCCTTGACTAAGTTTCCCTGTGGGGAAAACTAGAACTGAGCAGCCTGAAATGGTAGGGGGCAAAGAAGGAGGCTAGTGGAGACCACTATAAAATTATACTTTGGCACATTTCCTTTGTTTGGAGAAATAACACTACACTGCTGGTGTAAACCAGAGAAATAAACATGGAGGGAAGCTGTGATGCAAAAAATAATAAAGGGACTTAGCTAACACTCTGTGCAAATACATAAACAATCTGAGAAAAAGACATTGGAAATACCATTCTCTGTGCCACCAGAGTACTACTTTCAACTGAAGTGCACTTTTTTGGGGGCGGTGGGGAGTAGTTTGTATTTTGATAATAGATGCAGTTGGTGGAGAGAAAAGGGGATGCATAAGGTGCTTAACTCCTGTCTAGTCCCTGGTTCTACTAACTGCCCATCCAATGACAGACCGAGTAGGATCTGATAGAAAAGGGAGCAGCCAGTTTCACGGGCCGGTGTGTAGTCAATGCCTGAATTCTTTCTGCATTTATGTTGTTTCTTTCCATTTCCTGTGCTCAGCTACCTTTGATTGCTTGATATGCTACCCACACACTCTTGAGTTAAACTTCTTGTATTAATACACAAGTGTTTTCTTCATGAAGCTGTGTCTCATGAAAACTTTAAAAGGTGAGGCTGGATTCCTTGCATTTCTTTTGTCTACACCCTGATTTCTTTGGCACAGCAACAGCTCTTAGGTTTTGGACATTAAAACATATGCTAATAATCATTGATTGAACTAATCTAGCACATATACCAAAAGGTAGCTGATTTCTCTGTGATGGAATGCTAATGAATAAATATGGGAAATGTCTACCACCTTCAATCCTCTTATTAAATATGTTTTGATGGTTATACTTACGGTCATAGTCATTGTTATCGATTGACAGTTACTCTCATTGTCATAGGGAAAGCTCAACTGATAGTTTTCTTTGTTTGATTTTTCAATTCTTCCTCTTCACTCTACCCCCATTTCAAATTTACATTGTTTAATAATTAAGTTGATTTAGTTTGAGATTTTATTTTGGAAAATTTCATGACACCTCTCTAGATCCTTTGCTCTTTAGGTGTCATTTTGGGTAACATTATTTATTCCCTGCTGATGGTACATTTCTTATCTGCCTATGTCACTGTTGAATGTGAACAGTTCAGTTTAGCTTTCTTGTTTGAACATGGTGATTATATTCTTTTCATGGGTACCTATAAATGTGCCAGGCACTGGGGGAGTTATGTTAGCTTTTGAAATCTTTTTTCTTTGCAAATGTCTTTTTTATTTGCCCATATTCTTTCTGTGAGTTTGTATGTTCTCCACAGCTGCATCTGCTGTGGAGAACATTTGTTTTTAACATGGTTATTTGTTGCCAGGGATAATAGGCATCCTAGTTGCACTCTGCCCAAATCTCTGGGAATGATCAATCAGGCAATCCTACTGATAGGCTGCAGAAATGGTTTGTGGAAAGAAACACAAATGAATTGGGCAATTAGAATCAGCTGGGGAGTGTATTTAAAAAATAGTTTTATTTGGCCTCATATGGCTTGTGGCTTGAGGCATATTAGCAGTTTTTGCTGAAAGCACACTGGAAGACCAAACAAGAACCAGAATTTTTACCAGATATATTTGTAATTGCATATATAATTTAATTTGTTCAGTTAATTTGTATGTAAACTAATTATGAATGTTAACTGTAGTAAAATATACTATCCCCATTCCCCATCATTTGGTAGACTAGAATGTAAACTTATTAGTAACATATAACAATAATCCTATATTACGCTACAGGGCAGCAATGTTTACAAGAGAAAGATCTGTTTTACACGTCACCCTAAGGTCCCCTGCAGGTATATGCAGGACCTGCAAAATATAATTCTACTCCTTTAAGAGAGATCCAAAAACGTAGGAGGAGAGCAGGGGGAGTAATCCAGGCATTGATGCTACTCAGAGAATGACTATTACATGAGTAGATACATGTTTAATGTGATTAACACCTTCATTTGCACGTATATTATACTAACAGAGTCTCTTTCTCTTTAATCTATTTTACTGAAGATCAGGAGTGGGATTAGGGTCAGGCAGATGAAAAAGACAACCAAGTCTTGCCACATAATCAAGATACACAAAATATCTTCATTCAAGATGGTGAGGAATTACTCTCAAGTTTACAAAAAGTATTAGTTAAGTCACCATTTTAACTCTGACATTTATTTAAGTACTCTACTTATTTGTGAATAGATTTTACATAAATGATGCATCCCATTTTTTCATGGCATGGCCAATTCTTTTTTTTTTTTTTTGAGACCGAGTCTCACTCTGTTGCCCAGGCTGGAGTGCAGTGTTGCGATCTCGGCTCACTGCACCTCTGGCTCCCGGGTTCAAGCAATTCTCCTGCCTCAGCCTCCTGAGTAGCTGGGATTACAGGTGTGCACCACCATGCCTGGATAATTTTTTGTATTTTTAGTAGAGACAGGGTTTCACTATGTTGGCCATGCTGGTCTTGAACTCCTGACCTCAGGTGATCAGCCCGTCTAGGCCTCCCAAAGTGCTGGGATTACAAGAATGAGCACTGCACCTCCCCTGGCCAATTCTTTTAAGAGTGTTTTGTTATTGTTGATTTAAAATTCAATAATATTAATTTGTTTCCTAAAATGAGACATTGGAATTGTTTGCTCTGAACACAAACACATTACTTATTTCAAGTTAGTAGAACAAACATTTACAAACATTTTAAAGAAGGAATTCATGTTTTCCAAGCCTCTACCACATGAAAAAAAAACAGCCATCTCATTATTGTAAATATTGACAGTGATTAAGTTGTTGGGTATATAGTAGGTAGTTCCTAAATCTGATGGCTACATGGATGAATGAATAAAAAAGTAGAAAAGCTAAGGAGAGGACTAAATTTAAAAAGGATTTTCTTGCAGAGAAAGCATACTTCTACGGTGGATGTTAGCTATGTTGTTTGTACAAATGCCCTGAAAATGTTTTTCAGCTCAGGTGCTGTAGAAATAATGTTTTTCTTTCCATGACTGTACCCCATCACATTTTTTAACTAAAATGATCTGAAGGTCAATTGATCAATGTGTTAATTATGAGTAAAACAATGTGCTAACTACAACTAACCTGCCTCCCCCAGGCAATACCTGTCTACTTTTTTGATACTGTGGGAGATCTGTCTTTGGAAGTGGTCATTTCTACCTTCTTTTAAACCTGCAACTTTTGCCCTGCCACTCTCATCCAGATCTGGCTCAGAGAATATAGAGAATATATCTGCTAGTGTCCCACTGTCCCATGTTTAGCAGGTCCACACTTCTGGTCTCATTTCTACTCCCTCTTTGTGTTCTTAGCCCATCACCCAATACTTGGTTCCTGATACAGCCCTGCAAAGGCCACACTTCTGCCTCTTATCACACGAACCACCAGATCTGGGTATGGTATCTGTAGCTGCTTGTCATAGGGGTGAGCCCTTGAGATGGAGGTGATGGTAAAAACAGCCCTGAATTGGAAATCAGGAAACTGGTTTGCCACTCACAAATTGTGAACCCTTGGATGGGTTATTCAGCTTCTGTGGCTTCTCTATTGTCTTCCGCAAAAATGAGATTTAATTACAGATAGGTCTTAAACTATTCTGGGTCTAATAGTCTCTGTTACATAAAATAAGCCATTTCAAGATAAAGAGATATAATTGGAAACTTTTGACACATGGGCCGTGGAACATTTACTTGTGTTCCTTTTGCATAAATATTATGAAAATTGTTCTTTGAAAAAACAATCTATTGTTAAATAGTACTGCATCCTTGCTTTTAGAAACATTTTTAAAAGACCAATTTGGAATTTCTAACCTTCTCTGGTATATTCCATGGTTTTTGATTAAGGGGTTTTAAGAACTTTGTATAATTAGCAAATCATTTCAAATGAATGAAAACTCACCTCATTATAAATTAGAAGCAATGAACGTTCTAACTTATTTTGTTTCAGACTAAAGGCTGAAGTCTGAGCAATACATAAATAAGCAAGCAAGATAGAATCCATTGGAAATATCACATCTGTCCACTATCATCACACATAAAGGCACATTGTGTGGTCCTGATAAAGATTACACAGTATCCAGAGGAGGAAGTGCTTTCTCTAAAAGAGAGGGAGAGATGAATAACTAGGGAAGCAAAGAGTTCTGTAAGAAAAATCAAAGACTGGGTGGGTAGAGTCGGAACTAGAGGAAGAATTTAGGCAAGAGGAAAACTCAAGGACAAATAGAGGGTTTAACTGTTCAGGCTTGCAGGCGCCATCTGAAATTGCAAAAGAAAGGAAAAATTGAGCCTGAGATATGATTAGGACAGTCATATTGTGTATGTTGAACAAAATATAATGGAAGGATGAACAGGATGGCTTATTTTTTCATTCAGTTTCCCTATCTACAATTTAGCATTTAAATTCTGAATACATGTATGTGACCTCTACAATAGCTGAGTTGTACACAGCAGGATGGTTGTGCCATCTAAAGACAACAAGCCATCTAAAGATAAAACTGCAGGCCCCAAAACACAGCATGCTCAAATTCTTTTTGTTTCTTCTACTTTTGTTTTAGCTTCTGGAGGTACATGTGCAGGTTTGTTACATGGGTAAATTGTTTGTTGCTGGGGCTTGGTATGCAAATGATCCTGTCACTCAGGTAGTCAGCATAGTACCTGAGAGGTAGCCTTACCAGCCCACAGCCCCCTCCCATCCTCCTTTCTCAAGCAGTCCCAAATGTCTATTGTTCTCATCTTTGTGTCCATGTGTTTTCAATGTTTAGCTCTCACTTATCAGTGAGAACATGTGCCATTTGGTTTTCTGTTCTTTTGTTCATTCACTTAGGATAATGGCCTCTAGCTCTATCCATGTTGCTGCAAAGGACACAGTTTTTTTCTTTTTGTGACTGTCTAGTATTCCATGGTGTATGTGTACCACATTTTCTTTATCCAGTCCGCCGTTGATGGACATCTTTGTTGATTCCTTGCCTTTGCTGTTGTGAATAGTGCTACAATGAACATACGAGCATGTGTCTTTTTGGTAGAATAATTTATTTTCCTTTGGGTATATACCCAGTAGTGGAATTGCTGGCTCTCATAGTAGTTCTTCTTTAATTTTTTTTTTTTTTTTTTTTTAAGAACTCTTCACACTGCTTTTCGCAGTTGGTTGAACTAATTTACATTCTTATCAGCAGTGTACAAGTGTTCCGTTTTCTCTGCAACCTCACCAGCATCTGTTGTTTTTTGACTTTTTAGTAATACCCATTGTGACTGTCATGAGATGGTCTCTCACTGTGGTTTGGATTTGAATTTCTCTAATGATTAGTGATGATGAACATTTTTTTTCGTATATTTGTTGGCTGCATGTATGTCTTCTTTTGAGAAGTGACTGTTCATGTCATTTGCCAATTTTTTAATGTGGTTATTTGTTTTTTGTTTGTTTAATTGTTTGCATTCCTATAAATCAAGAAAGATCTTCCTAATTTGAAAGTAAACAGTGATACTAAAATTTGTAAGCCTAGTCAAATGTGGGCTATTCAACAGGTGTGATGTCCTTCATAGGTATTTCTAAGAAAAAGAAAAGGAAATGGATAAATCTGGGCATGGGATTCCTTTTGTGGCAGACAGTGTTTATTGGCTTGCCCAGTACTTAACCTCAACCTTTTCTTCCCTTTCAACCTCAGTTATAGAGGTTGAAAATGTAAGATACTTGTATTCCCCAGCCCCCTTTACAACTGAAAAAGGCTTTGTGGCTAATGACAAGTAAGCAGATATCTGCTGGGATCTTTCCTCGTCCTCTGTTCTATCTGTTCTAAGGAGGACATGGGCTCTACAGCTGTGTCAGCTGCTTTGTGACCTCAAGAAAAAGGACAAATGAATTAGACAACAGTCATGACATCACTGAGCTACTGAACCAATGTTACCAGCTGCTTCAGATTTTTACTATGTAATAAAAAGAATTCTCCATTTGCTTAAACCTTTGCTAATGAGTTTTACTCTTATGGATGAAAACATCCCAATATACCTTCCAGACAAGACAATTCTATTCTGCGCTTCCACATCATGCCTAGTAGCACTCTGATTCCAAGCGAGATAAGACTTATTTTGCTTCAGGCGTCTTATCCTGCTTTCCATGAACAAATACAGTCTCTTCCCAGGGCATCTTAGCAAATGGACACATGTGCTTGCCAAGGTGACTCTGCCATCCTGTGTGACGGGAGGAGGAGGGGTAAAGTTTGGTTTCAGAAATATAAGTTCTCTGCCCTGAGCAGAGATAGACAGAGTCATAGAACTTGGCCTGTTCCTTCCTCTGTATCTCCCTTCCTCCCCTCCCTTTTCTGTATGACAAGCAGAAAGACAAAGAGCTCAGTGTTTCTCTCTGCCTAAGGAAGTGTGCTCTGTGTGTGTGTGTGTGTGTCTGTGTGTGTGTGTGTGTCTGTGTGCATGCACGCGTGTGTTTGGGGGTGGTGGAGGTGGTAATCTCTATGCTGTCTCATCTTCAGTAGAGATAAGACAGGCAGGGAAGGTGGAAGGGAGTCCAGTAACACAATCAAAAGGAAGGAAACTCTCACTTAAAGTCAGCAGTTAAAAGCAGACTCCACACTTGCTACAAACAGCAGTAGTGAAGGAAAAGGCTCGGTGTAGAAATAAATACAGAGTAGCTTAAATGCCATGAGGAGGGGGGCATAAAAAAATTCAAGAAAATGTATATAGAGTAATAATTTGGGGTGGAAAAACAGGTAATGGTCACAGAAAAGGGAGAAGAAAGTGTGGAAAGATTATTCTGATGAGCTTACTTTCTCTTCTAGCCCTCAGATTATATTAGCCATGAAAGTAACAGGTCATGGAAATGAAATGTGTACATGATGGGTGCATTAATTTGCTTCACTACAGTAACCTGTTTACTGTCTATATTTAATTCATAACATCATGTTGTATGCCTTAAATATACATAATAACATTTATTTTTAAGAAAAGAAAGTACAGAGAAAAAAAAAGAATGGAATACACATGAATGCCGAACCACATTGGATATGTAGCTGTTCATGAAGATATTCCAGGGAAGGCCTATCTAGTAGAGCCTCAAATCTATTTGAATACAAATGGCACTCATTAAGGACATCTGTCTTCTGTAATGTCTACACAAAGTCTTACCGGGGTAAGCAAATCTTTGCCACAGCCTTTTGAGGTCTTAATAAAAATCATGAAATTTGTGACAGAGACCATCGTTGCTATAGAACAAGCAGAGACATTTAGGTATGAAGCCATTAATGATAAACAATATTAATATTATTATTAATTATAGTGTGACCTGGCATCTTATTCATACTGAAACAAGATGACATCAAATAATACTAACATAGAACAACTAGTTTACTTCATTTAGTTCTCAAACACATTTAAGGTTAACTTTCTTAATCATGAAAGAAATCTGACTTCAATTGTAAATATCTAAGAGTCCCTAAGATCTGAATGGGAGATGAGAATTCCTCTGTTAATCATGAAAATTTGAAACTAACTCATATCCTATAGAATGAAAACAATTACTTATATGAAGTTTGAGTTTCTTTCATAAAAATTATAGCCTGCTATTGGTATTTTGGAAAATATTTACAAATCACTTGTGGACCATCAGTTTTCCTTTCTGAGAAAATTGAGTGCATTAATATAACTACTTATATTGGGAGTTAGAGTTGGGTACTCCTCATTTACATTTTGGTTCTCTGTCATCTTTAACTAGGTCTTCTTGGCTCTTATTGACGGCTGATGAAGGAGGGGTTTATAAAGAAAACAAGCCAAAACCTGAATAACTTGCTACTGAGAGCAGCACACATATTTTCCCAAAGTGCAAAGTTGAGAAGAAGTACAAAGCTTTGTTAATATTCTGAACAGTACTGCTTAGTATGATCTAATTGATGGATTTTCCATGGACTCCCTAGAGACTGAAAAAGGTTTGACTGTCAGGAAACTTTTCTTGTGTTTATTCTTCAATTTTCCTTTTCCTACTTTCCAATCATCATTCCCTATTAACATCCCTTGATGGGTCACCTTAAGTGATTATTCTTTTTAATGGCATTTATAACGTTTAATATTTCCCTGTTAATTTCTATTCCGACAAAGTACATATTTTTTTAATCTTCACTCATAACATTAATAAATTTTTCCAACATTTTAAAGCTCAGTTAACATTTCCTTATATATGCCTCTGTCTTTAAAATATGAGATCTGAATGTACTGGTATCACTAGAATTATCTACAGAGTTCTAATGTGATGGAAATTGTGCTACAAAAATTTGTTCTTACATAATTTGCTTCAACGGAATTCCTCCTGAACTAAATACTTAGTCTTTACATTCTTTAAAATAACTAAAATTTCCCAGAGGAAAGTCTGAATTGTTCATTTAACCTTGTGTGATGTGTGCTGTGTGTAGCTGAAACAGCAAAGTGGACACACCTGCACCCTTAACATTTTTGACTTTTTTTTTTTTTTTTTTAAAGAATCAAGTTTCGTTTTTGTCACCCAAGCTGGAGTGCAGTGGTACAATCTCCGGTCACTGCAACCTCCGCCTCCCGGGTTCAAGCGACTCTCCTGCCTCAGCCTCCCAAGTGGCTGGGATTACATGTGTGCACCACAAAGCCTGGGTATTTTTTTTTTTTCATTTTTAGTAGAGACGTGGTTTCACTATGTTGGGCAGGCTGGTCTTGAACTCCTGAACTCAGGTGATCCTTCCCCGCTAGGCCTCCCAAAGTGCTGGAATTTCAGGCCTGAGCCACAGCACCTGGCCAACTGTGACTCATTTTTAAAGCGGTTTGGCAATAATGCTATATACGTATAATGGTTTTGAATAAAATATACAACTATACATGGCCTGTTATCTTCTTATTTTAGACAGAATAATCTTAGTCTTGTACTTTCATGTATTAGGCTGATAGCCATGAGATTTGGGGAGGAAAAAAATAGGATAAAATAGGACTCACTCATTTCAAGAAATAGAGTTAGTTTTCTATGCAAGCATTTTCTCCCCTTCTCCTTAGCCCACCAAAGTGGTAAATGAGACTTCCAGCCATGAGGCTGTTTGCACCTCTGTCTGGGAGGAGACTTCTGGAGCTTTGGTTGCTGCTAATGACTTGGAGGGGCTTTGAAGGCCCCCTTGAAGATGTCACGCATGACCTCTGGACCCTTGGTATCTTTCAAGAATCCTTATGAGATACTAACTCATTTCGTTTATAATAGGTGAAAACAGATCATGTATTTTTAAACCAGATAATGCCTAAGTTATATTACTCTAGAATTCATAGAAAAAATAAAATAGCCGAGATCTTTAAAAAGACTGTAATGTGGTATTAGTGGACTGTCTTTTTTTTTGTTTATGGAGAGAAAAAAATTATTTGTAAGTTTTTTTTTAATTTATTATTGTTATACTTTAAGTTTTAGGGTACATGTGCACAATGTGCAGGTTAGTTACATATGTATACATGTGCCATGCTGGTGCGCTGCACCCACTAACTCGTCATCTAGCATTAGGTGTATCTCCCAATGCTATCCCTCCCCCCTCCCCCGACCCCATAACAGTCCCCAGAGTGTGATGTTCCCCTTCCTGTGTCCATGTGTTCTCATTGTTCAATTCCCACCTATGAGTGAGAATATGCGGTGTTTGGTTTTTTGTTCTTGTGATAGTTTACTGAGAATGATTATTTCCAATTTCATCCATGTCCCTACAAAGGACGTGAACTCATCATTTTTTATGGCTGCATAGTATTCCATGGTGTATATGTGCCACATTTTCTTAATCCAGTCTATCATTGTTGGACATTTGGGTTGGTTCCAAGTCTTTGCTGTTGTGAATAATGCCGCAATAAACATACGTGTGCATGTGTCTTTATAGCAGCATGATTTATAGTCCTTTGGGTATATACCCAGTAATGGGATGGCTGGGTCAAATGGTATTTCTAGTTCTAGATCCCTGAGGAATCACCACACGGACTTCCACAATGGTTGAACTAGTTTACAGTCCCACCAACAGTGTAAAAGTGTTCCTATTTCTCCACATCCTCTCCAGCACCTGTTGTTTCCTGACTTTTTAATGATTGCCATTCTAACTGGTGTGAGATGGTATCTCATAGTGGTTTTGATTTGCATTTCTCTGATGGCCAGTGATGGTGAGCATTTTTTCATGTGTTTTTTGGGTGCATAAATGTCTTCTTTTGAGAAGTGTCTGTTCATGTCCTTCACCCACTTTTTGATGGGGTTGTTTGTTTTTTTCTTGTAAATTTGTTTGAGTTCATTGTAGATTCTGGATATTAGCCCTTTGTCAGATGAGTAGGTTGCGAAAATTTTCTCCCATTTTGTAGGTTGCCTGTTCACTCTGATAGTTTCTTTTGCTGTGCAGAAGCTCTTTAGTTTAATTAGATCCCATTTGTCAATTTTGGGTTTTGTTGCCATTGCTTTTGTTGTTTTAGACATGAAGTCCTTGCCCATGCCTATGTCCTGAATGGTAATGCCTAGGTTTTCTTCTAGGGTTTTTATGGTTTTAGGTCTAACATTTAAGTCTTTAATCCATCTTGAATTGATTTTTGTATAAGGTGTAAGGAAGGGATCCAGTTTCAGCTTTCTCCATATGGCTAGCCAGTTTTCCCAGCACCATTTATTAAATAGGGAATCCTTTCCCCATTGCTTGTTTTTCTCAGGTTTGTCAAAGATCAGATAGTTGTAGATATGCGGCATTATTTCTGAGGGCTCTGTTCTGTTCCATTGATCTATATCTCTGTTTTGGTACCAGTGCCATGCTGTTTTGGTTACTGTAGCCTTGTAGTATAGTTTGAGGTCAGGTAGTGTGATGCCTCCAGCTTTGTTCTTTTGGCTTAGGATTGACTTGGCGATGCGGGCTCTTTTTTGGTTCCATATGAACTTTAAAGTAGTTTTTTCCAATTCTGTGAAGAAAGTCATTGGTAGCTTGATGGGAATGGCATTGAATCTGTAAATTACCTTGGGCAGTATGGCCATTTTCACGATATTGATTCTTCCTACCCATGAGCATGGAATGGTCTTCCATTTGTTTGTATCCTCTTTTATTTCCTTGAGCAGTGGTTTGTAGTTCTCCTTGAAGAGGTCCTTCACATCCCTTGTAAGTTGGATTCCTAGGTATTTTATTCTCTTTGAAGCAACTGTGAATGGGAATTCACTCATGATTTGGCTCTCTGTCTGTTGTTGGTGTATAAGAATGCTTGTGATTTTTGTACATTGATTTTGTATCCTGAGACTGCTGAAGTTGCTTATCAGCTTAAGGAGATTTTGGGCTGAGACAATGGGGTTTTCTAGATACACAATCATGTCATCTGCAAACAGGAACAATTTGACTTCCTCTTTTCCTAATTGAATACCTTTTATTTCCTTCTCCTGCCTAATTGCCCTGGCCAGAACTTCCAACACTATGTTGAATAGGAGTGGTGAGAGAGGGCATCCCTGTCTTGTGCCAGTTTTCAAAGGGAATGCTTCCAGTTTTTGCCCATTCAGTATGATATTGGCTGTGGGTTTGTCATAGATAGCTCTTATTATTTTGAGATATGTCCCATCAATACCTAATTTATTGAGAGTTTTTGCATGAAGGGCTGTTGAATTTTGTCAAAGGCCTTTTCTGCATCTATTGAGATAATCATGTGGTGTTTGTCTTTGGTTCTGTTTATATGCTGGATTACATTGATTGATTTGCGTATATTGAACCAGCCTTGTATCCCAGGGATGAAGCCCACTTGATCATGGTGGATAAGCTTTTTGATGTGCTGCTGGATTCGGTTTGCCAGTATTTTATTGAGGATTTTTCCATCAATGTTCATCAAGGATATTGGTCTAAAATTCTCTTTTTTTGTTGTGTCTCTGCCTGGCTTTGGTATCAGGATGATGCTGGCCTCATAAAATGAGTTAGGGAGGATTCCCTCTTTTTCTATTGATTGGAATAGTTTCAGAAGGAATGGTACCAGTTCCTCCTTGTACCTCTGGTAGAATTCGGCTGTGAATCCATCTGGTCCTGGACTCTTTTTGGTTGGTAAGCTATTGATTATTGCCACAATTTCAGCTCCTGTTATTGGTCTATTCAGAGATTCAACTTCTTCCTGGTTTAGTCTTGGGAGAGTGTATATGTCGAGGAATTTATCCATTTCTTCTAGATTTTCTAGTTTATTTGCGTAGAGGTGTTTGTAGTATTCTCTGATGGTAGTTTGTATTTCTGTGGGATCGGTGGTGATATCCCCTTTATCATTTTTTATTGCATCTATTTGATTCTTCTCTCTTTTCTTCTTTATTAGTCTTGCTAGCGGTTTATCAGTTTTGCTGATCCTTTCAAAAAACCAGCTCCTGGATTCATTAATTTTTTGAAGGGTTTTTTGTGTCTCTATTTCCTTCAGTTCTGCTCTGATTTTAGTTATTTCTTGCCTTCTGCTAGCTTTTGAATGTGTTTGCTCTTGCTTTTCTAGTTTTTTTAATTGTGATGTTAGGGTGTCAATTTTGGATCTTTCCTGCTTTCTCTTGTGGGCATTTAGTGCTATAAATTTCCCTCTACACACTGCTTTGAATGCGTCCCAGAGATTCTGGTATGTTGTGTCTTTGTTCTCGTTGGTTTCAAAAAACATCTTTATTTCTGCCTTCATTTCGTTATGTACGCAGTAGTCATTCAGGAGCAAGTTGTTCAGTTTCCATGTAGTTGAGTGGTTTTGAGTGAGTTTCTTAATCCTGAGTTCTAGTTTGATTGCACTGTGGTCTGAGAGACAGTTTGTTATAATTTCTGTTCTTTTACATTTGCTGAGGAGAACTTTACTTCCAACTATGTGGTCAGTTTTGAAATAGGTGTGGTGTGGTGCTGAAAAAAATGTATATTCTGTTGATTTGGGGTGGAGAGTTCTGTAGATGTCTATTAGGTCCGCTTGGTGCAGAGCTGAGTTCAATTCCTGGGTATCCTTGTTGACTTTCTGTCTTGTTGATCTGTCTAATGTTGACAGTGGGGTGTTAAAGTCTCCCATTATTAATGTATGGGAGTCTAAGTCTCTTTGTAGGTCACTCAGGACTTGCTTTATGAATCTGGGTGCTCCTGTATTGGGTGCATATTTATTTAGGATAGTTAGCTCTTCTTGTTGATTTGATCCCTTTACCATTATGTAATGGCCTTCTTTGTCTCTTTTGATCTTTGTTGGTTTAAAGTCTGTTTTATCAGAGACTAGGATTGCAACCCCTGCCTTTTTTTGTTTTCCATTTGCTTGGTAGATCTTCCTCCATCCTTTTATTTTGAGACTATGTGTGTCTCTGCACGTGAGATGGGTTTCCTGAATATAGCACACTGATGGGTCTTGACTTTTTATCCAATTTGCCAGTCTGTGTCTTTTAATTGGAGCATTTAGTCCATTTACATTTAAAGTTAATACTGTTATGTGTGAATTTGATCCTGTGATTATGATGTTAGCTGGTTATTTTGCTCATTAGTTGATGCAGTTTCTTCCTAGTCTTGATGGTCTTTACATTTTGGCATGATTTTGCAGCGGCTGGTATTGGTTGTTCCTTTCCATGTTTAGCGCTTCCTTCAGGAGCTCTTTTAGGGCAGGTCTGGTGGTGACAAAATCTCTCAGCATTTGCTTGTCTGTAAAGTATTTTATTTCTCCTTCACTTATGAAGCTTAGTTTGGCTGGATATGAAATTCTGGGTTGAAAATTCTTTTCTTTAAGAATATGGAATATTGGCCCCCACTCTCTTCTGGCCTGTAGGGTTTCTGCCGAGAGATCCGCTGTTAGTCTGATGGGCTTCCCTTTGTGGGTAACCTGACCTCTCTCTGGCTGCCCTTAGCATTTTTTCCTTCATTTCAACTTTGGTGAATCTGACAATTATGTGTCTTGGAGTTGCTCTTCTCGAGGAGTATCTTTGTGGCGTTCTCTGTATTTCCTGAATCTGAATGTTGGCCTGCCTTGCTAGACTGGGGAAGTTCTCCTGGATAATATCCTGCAGAGTGTTTTCCAACTTGGTTCCATTCTCCCCATCACTTTCAGGTACACCAATCAGATGTAGATTTGGTCTTTTCACATAGTCCCATATTTCTTGGAGGCTTTGCTCATTTCTTTTTATTCTTTTTTCTCTAAACTTCCCTTCTCGCTTCATTTCATTCACTTCATCTTACATCACTGATGCCCTTTCTTCCAGTTGATCGCATTGGCTCCTGAGGCTTCTGCATTCTTCACGTAGTTCTGGAGCCTTGGTTTTCAGCTCCATCAGCTCCTTTAAGCACTTCTGTGTATTGGCTATTCTAGTTATATATTCTTCTGAACTTTTTTCAAAGTTTTCAACTTCTTTGCCTTTGGTTTGAATGTCCTCCCGTAGCTCAGAGTAATTTGATCGTCTGAAGCCTTCTTCTCTCAGCTCGTCAAAGTCATTCTCCATCCAGCTTTGTTCCATTGCTGGTGAGGAACTGCGTTCCTTTGGAGGGGGTGAGGCGCTCTGCTTTTTAGAGTTTCCAGTTTTTCTGCTCTGTTTTTCCCCATCTTTGTGGTTTTATCTACTTTTGGTCTTTGATGATGGTGATGTACAGATGGGTTTTTGGTGTGGATGTCCTTTCTGTTTGTTAGTTTTCCTTCTAACAGACAGGACCCTCAGTTGCAGGTCTGTTGGAGTACTGGGCTGTGTGAGGTGTCAGTCTGCCCCTGCTGGGGGGTGCCTCCCAGTTAGGCTGCTCATGGGTCAGGGGTCAGGGACCCACTTGAGGAGGCAGTCTGCCCGTTCTCAGATCTCCAGCTGCGTGCTGGGAGAACCACTGCTCTCTTCAAAGCTGTCAGACAGGGACATTTAAGTCTGCAGAGGTTACTGCTGTCTTTTTGTTTGTCTGTGCCCTGCCCCCAGAGGTGGAGCCTACAGAGGCAGGCAGGCCTCCTTGAGCTGTGGTGGGCTCCACCCAGTTCTAGCTTCCCGGCTGCTTTGTTTACCTAAGCAAGCCTGGGCAATGGCGGGCGCCCCTCCCCCAGCCTTGCTGCCTCCTTGCAGTTTGATCTCAGACTGCTGTGCTAGCAATCAGCGAGACTCCACGGGCGTAGGACCCTCCGAGCCATGTGCGGGATATAACCTCCTGGTGCGCCGTCTTTTAAGCTTGTCGGAAAAGTGCGGTATTCGGGTGGTAGTGACCCGATTTTCCAGGTGCCGTCTGTCACCCCTTTCTTTGACTAGGAAAGGGAACTCCCTGACCCCTTGTGCTTCCTGAGTGAGGCAATGCCTCGCCCTGCTTCGGCTGGCGCACGGTGCGCGCACCCACTGACCTGTGCCCACTGTCTGGCACTCCCTAGTGAGATGAACCCGGTACCTCAGATGGAAATGCAGAAATCACCCGTCTTCTGCGTCGCTCACGCTGGGAGCTGTAGAGCGGAGCTGTTTCTATTCGGCCATCTTGGCTCCTCCCTAGTGGACTGTCTTGCTTTGTCTGGTAGTTCTACAGAATTAAGCTTTATTATCCTAAAAAAGAAATTATCACATCTCCAGGAAAAGCTTCCTCTGGGGTATAAGCATTTTGCAAATCTAGGGAGTCCCTGTGTGAAGTATCACTTGCCTATTTATTGAGTGTTTCCCTAAATGACTAGTGTCATCTCCCAATGGTCATTAATATTCTTCTCCAAAGGTTCTATCTGTCAAAAATGGGGAAATGTGACCCAGTATAAATAGGATGAGGTATTTTCATTGGTACTTGTGGTCTACCCTGGCTTGCTGCTGCTCCCAAGGGGAGACAGAAGTTCTGTTCAACACAGTTGGAAAGTTTCTGGACTCCAAGTGTCAAACCAGGAGTGGAGACGCAGCAATTTTCAAAAGAAAACAAAACAAACAGTCGACACATCTATCTCCTTTTCTCTTCTAGTGCATATTCTATCACCTCCTCATTTAAATTGCACTCTCTCACTTTTGTTTGAACTAAAGCTTGTGTTCATCTTGAGCCAATAAAAACTACAAAAAGGAAACATCTGTATTGTTAAGTAACTAATGCTGCTATGATAACCCAGCAAAGTAACAATCTAATTAAAGATCATATGGCCAAGGTTTTAGCAGATAATCTTTTCAAGGCAGAATAAAATTTGTTACTATGTATAACTGTTACATTTACATACATGAAATTAGATTTGTATCTAATTTATTTTTGTATTACCTTATATTTTTTAATATTTTAAATATGTACTGTTAATATTCCATGACATTTGATCTTTGAAACAAATTGAAAGATGGGTATGTTACATAGACTTAAAGACATATAAATAATTAGTAAAATTGCTGACACAAGAGCCTAGCAAATTCCTTACAAAATTATCTATGTTAGAAAATATGGTTAAATTCTAATGAAGCGAGTTGTTTTGGAAATTTTCATTGACTTGCTGGTAGGGTTTTTAAATAATGCAGAAGCTTTCTGGAAGGCAATTTCAAAAACTTTAAGTGTTCATACCCTTTGACCAGAAATTCTACTTCCAAGAATATTTTCTAAGTAAATAATTAGGTATTTGCAGAAAGACTTAGCTACAAAGAGGACCTCTGAAGCATTGCTCATGTATTATTTAGAGTAAATAACAATAGTACTTGCCTTTATTAAAAAACCAGCATGGCACATGTATACATATGTAACTAACCTGCACAATGTGCACATGTACCCTAAAACTTAAAGTATAATAAAAAAAAAAGTAATCCAGAAATTTTATGACTCAACATTCAGAAATGTATATTTTTTGCTTACAGAAGTTCCACAATGGATGTTCCTGATGAGTGTGCATTCGTATAATTATTCAGAGACTCAAACTCCTACCATTTAATGTCTCCTCCATTTCTGGAGTCCCAGGAGTCCTCTTCAAGAGAGCCTCTGTCTTTGGCTGACCTTCATGAGAAAGTATATGGAGGTCACATGGGTGATATTTCATGCTGAGCCTGTAAGTTACACAGATCCCTCTGCTCACATTTCACGGGCCAGACAACGCATGGCCACTCCACAGTATGGGAAGCTGGGACCTGCACTCCAGTTCTGTGCTTAGACAATAGAAAAGGAAGATTTTGAACATTTAATAGTCTTTCTTCAACTTATAATTGGAAATACATTTTAAAATAGTCATATATTCATATAGTAGAATAAAAAACTTGATAGTAGTTATCAAACTTTTTTACCATTCAATACAATGAAAAGATGTTCTTGATGTATCGAGTGGAAAGTGTTTGTTACAAACAATGTTTTTGTCACAAGTTTTATGGTTATTCACACAGCCATGCTATCATCTCAGCAATGTCATACTTCCTGCTTTCCCAAGTTTTCCTTTTTTTTCTTTTTCTTCTATGTGCTTAGTAAAGAAAGCATGATGGCTGGGCACGGTGGCTGATGCCTGTAATCCCAGTACGTTGGCAGACCAAGAGGGGAGGATCACGAGGTCAGGAGATTGAGACCATCTTGGCTGCAGTGCAACTCTGTCTCTACTAAAAATACAAAAATTTAGCCAGGCATGGTGGCCAGGCGCCTGTAGTCCCAGCTACTCGGGAGGCTGAGGCAGGAGAATGGCATGAACCTGGGAGGCGGAGCTTGCAGTGAGCTGGGATGGCACCACTGCACTCCAGCCTGGGCGACAGAGTGAGACTCCATCTCAAAAAAAAAAAAAAAAAAAAAAAAGAGAAAGCATGATATGTAGAAAGATTTCACACTAGGGAACCTGATAGATGTAGGTTTGAATATGGATATTTGTCATTTATTAACTGAGTTAACTGAGCCCAATTAATCTAACTTATATGAGGTTTATTTCTTTTTATTTTTAAAAGATAAAAAAATCTACTTCATAAGGTCATATAACATACTTAACACATGTAATATGCTTAACAAAGTGTCTGGCATATATCATGTATATTATATATGTAACATATGTACATATGTAATATACTTGACAAAGTGTCTGGCATATGTAATGTATTTTTAAAATCCTATAAATGATATAGTGATATCAATTGTTACTTTTATGATATTATGATCAGGCTACTCCAAGTACATAGATAGCAATTTGTTAAAAATGTATTCAAATGGACTGCAACTTTCACTGTTCTTTTCCTTAGCCTCCAATGGTTTAATGTATTTCTTCTGAATGTTTTTCTTAATATCCAGCGTCTTCTCACAAACCTTCCAAAGTATATATCATGAGCTAGGAATATTTATTCCTATTTTTGAATAAATATTTAATTTTAGTTTTAATAAATAATTATAAATACGTTATAAATAATTACAAATAACAATAATTTTAATAAAATTAATTTTAATTTTAATAAGTAAAAATTAAATAAATATTTAATTTTAATAAGTAAAAATTAAATAAATATTTAATTTTAATTATATTTGACACTGGGCAGTACTTTTGTTCTTGTCTAAATACTATTGAACTGCCCTCTCAAATTGAGGTGAAAGATTGTACATTTTGGCAGACACTATGGGTTGCCTGCCACAGAGCCACTTTCTCCCTAGTCCTCAACACTGGCAAAGTCTGCTTCTCACTTTGGAACTTGAAAATGTCAGACTCTGCCTATCCGAGTCCTTCTTGCTGCTGGAGCACAGGCATGTGATCCAATCCTGCCTGGTGGACCAGAAGAGAAATCTACTGAGGAAGTCTCAGAAAGGTATTCCTCTGCTAGTGAATTGACTGTGTTCTCAGTTATCTAAGTTTCCCTGCATCTAAACCCTTGGCAGTGTGACTTTGTGATTCTTCCAATCTGGAGGTGGAGTCTATTTTCCTGCTTCTTAAATTTAGGCCGATCTTGTAAAAATATAGCAGAAGCGATGGTGCACCATTTTGAAGCCTAGGCCCAAGAAATCTTGAGAGGTAACAATGACAGAGTGAGGCACATGGTAGACTCTTTCCCTAGCACAAAAACGTGTAACTGGGGGAAAATAAAAAACCAAACAGTTATTTAGAGTCTCTTGAACTTGTCCTAAGAGCCTACACCAAATGGGGAAACATTCATTCAAAAAATCTCCTAAATCAGGCTGGGCACGGTGGCTCATGCCTGTAATCCCAGCATTTTGGGAGGCCGAGGCGGGTGGATCACCTGAGGTCAGGAATTCCAGACCAGCCTGACCAACATGGTGAAACCCTGTCTCTACTAAAAATACAAAAAAATTAGCTGGATGTAGTGGTGGCCGCCTGTAATCTCAGCTACTCAGGAGGCTGAAGATGGAGAACTGCTTGAACCTGGGAGGCTGAGGTTGCAGTGAGCCGAGATCGTGCCATTGCCCTCCAGCCTGGGTGACAAGAGTGAAATTCCATCTCAAACAAACAAAACATCTCCTAAATCAGTAAAAACAGGAAGAGTTAGTGGAATTGCTGCAGCCCTTTTAAAACTGTGAGGGGAAATATTGTCAACACCCTGAAGAGGGAAGAATGGAACTATAGGGAAGAGATCCTTCATGGCATCACTGAATCATGGAATTTGCTAACTCTTGAACTGACTACTTACTGCTTTCTAGTTCTGGAAGAAAATATATGTCCTATTGTTTAAGTAATTTTAGTCTGGAATTTTATTTTTGCAAACTAATTGACATTCACATGATTCTGTGAATAGAACTGATCCATGGCAAAGTCATATAGCATGTAAAGTTTGCATTTGGGTGTGTTCTTTCTGAAGTGCTGTCGTTTATTCATCAGTGTAATTCCACCTATGTACAGAGTGCTTTCCCCACCCAAATCCTGCTTTCCTGGTCTAGTAGTCCTTTGTCTGAGTGCTCATCAATAATATTAATGACACATTCGGATTTGAGGTGTTGAATAACTAGTTTTTGCTAATTCAAACAGGAGTACTTGTCCTTAACACGTTCATTTTAACTCTTGCCTCCTGGGCTCTACTAAAATGTGTAGTCAGGTATTTAAGCCAAACATGGGGCTTATTAGGGTTGTTAGATAAGCCCTAAGGACACTAGAGTTCTTAGATAAACACCAAATGCTGGCTTGTTTTCGGAGTTTGTTTTTAATTTACCCAAGGTGTGTGCATGATAATTCTCTCTGCAGAAGACTCTTGAAGACATCACATAGCATATACCAAAGTGGACAATCTAAAAAATAATCCAGTTCTCTGACTGCAAGATGAGTATGGCCTTCATTAGATGCAGATGTAGCATGTATGTCAGCCACCTAGAGCCCACTTGGACTCTGTCCTGGAGGACAAGCCATTTCTAGGGAGCATTTTAAAATTATTGCCTTCCAATTTTATTACTTCAAAATTTATTATGTTTTACTGTGTTCTCTTTTTGGAAGGAGCAGTTACCATCAAAAGAATATAGATGGCAACGGATGAATATATATTTGATAATTGTGCTTTTACCTTTAGTATTGGGAATTTATCAGTCTATTTTTGATATTTGAAATACAGATGAAAAGAAACTGTATACACAAGATAAAACAGCTTTTTCCTTGAAACAATGACATATTGGCTTTTCCTTTCTGGTAAATTTAGCTTTCCAAGGTGCTATTTTAGTTTGCTCCCCAATTAATAATCAAAAATAACAAATAAAGCTCATGATTACATATAGTACCAAACCAGGCACTTGAAAGAAAATAGAGCCTCCTACTAATGCAATCAAGTAAGTCTGGAAATCCATTTCCACTTGTATTCTTTTTGAGAGTTGCTCATAGTTGGTCACTTTCCCTGATTTGAGCCCTTTGCAGTATTTAGTTGTGAATCTGCCTCTTCAAGACCTTGTTCTTGGCTGTTGGCCTTTCATTTAATAGCAGTGCAGCAGCTCTTTGTGGCTGGCCCCAGATTCAGGCAATCTTAAATCATATTTGCTATTGTTTCCTGTTGCGGGAATTTGCTCTTCATGGATTGTATTTCACTAATAAGAGTATGATGACAGCAAAGGCTTTGTGGGGTAATAGGAGCCAGAAATGTCACAAGCACCTCATGAAACAGAGTTAGGGGTGTGACACACTTCACATACATCTATTTATAGGAAAAGAGATCATTTGCAAATTGAAAATGACTGGTGTTTGCCTGTGCACTATTATTCCTCTAGCCGTGCCTAGATGCCTGGCACACAGTCTATAAAATATCCAAAAAATCAATGCTAAACTTCAGTCAGAAAAACTCAGGTTCAAGTCTTTTCTGCATTTGGGATGATGTTGGGATTGATAAGAAAAGGCAGGCTGAGGGACTGAGAAATCACTTTTGAGGTGAATGGAAGAGTTTTATTCAATAAAGAATTGTCTTTTATAGTTTTTCTCTGCGTCTTTGGAGAAATAACCCATATACAGTGAGAACCTATGAAGGAGAACTCGTAAACTGATGCACAAAGAAGTTGCTTCATGTTAGCAACTATTTTTACCTTTCGGAAATTAGGCTTCTAACTCTGGAGCATAAAATTGTATTTTTTCACCATAATAATAAAAAAAGGACTGAGGTTATTCTCTCACTTCACCAAAGTGAATCTGTGTGGCACACAGAGTCTGGCCCTGGCCTGAACAAGCCACTGTTGTTTGGAACTTAGTCTTACTATAAAACTGTCAGTTTGCAAGGATGAAAGCCATTTATGTATGGCTAAGAAAGCATTTAATGTCCCATATCTGGTCTTGCCATGTGAACATAGGAACAAATTGGAAGAAAGGAACAAGTTCCTGGCTATTCTTTGCGTGGGGAGGAGCAGGTTTCATGAAAGCCAAAGCATAAAGTCTTGCTTCACATAATTTCATCTGTAGACGTATTCCTTATACCTTTATAAAGATTGAAAATTTTGACCTCGATAATTATTAATAGATTTAGACAACATGCTAAACTAAAGGCATTTTTAGGCTAAACACAGGAGGCAAATATGAAGTAATAAACCTTGGATAAAATGAAAGTTTTTAAGCCAACAGTAACAAAAATGAGGTTGCCAGTGAGTGCTAGATGGCTAGATGTATAAAAACGCAAACAAAATAACAAGAAATAGGGAAATGGAAGTTTGCTTTCAAACCAAGCAGAGTGCACACAGGATTTTGAAATGTCTCCTCAGAAACTATATTGAGTAGCCAAATGGTACAGGTTTGTACCATGAGAGGAGCTCTGTCCTCTTCAATGTAGACACCTTTGTTCACATCTTCCCAAATGTGAGGTGAACCTTGAAGATGGCCGGCAAAAGTTTACTGAAAGAATGGTTGCATTGGAAAATTGTTGCTCCATTCTTTAATAAGAAAAAAAGAGCTGGTTATGGCACTAAACCAATGATCCTTTTTGTTTGTTTGTTTTTTCTTATCTATGAGAAGCCATCAGCTCTTTTTAGAGAAGCAGTCTACAGTATTATTATCTTTAATCAAGTGTTTTGATCTGCTATTGAGAGGACTGTCCATGAGGTTTTTGTGAAAATTGTATTATGTAGGAGAGATCAACATTTGTGGCAACTTGGAGAACTTCCTCCTATTCTTTAGGGCTGATCTCACAGCAAACTATAGAACCATCAGTCATTTTGAAGGAATTAAAGCCATTTGAAAGCAATACAATGTGAATTTGGGGAACACAGTGTATTTAGCAACATTGGGAATTTTATAGCTCCAGGAAAAAAAAAATAGGAAAATATAACTAGAGAGTTTCATCTTGTTTACCATAAAGGAAAAAATGTTTCTGCTTGTAATTATTTATTTCCTTCACAGCATATGGCTTTGGGCAATCAAAGAGATTATTTGTAACAACGTCTATGGCTTACTAGTTTATTTCATTAAAGCGTCATGTTAATGAGCCCAAGTTTCAGATTCATCTCTAAGTGAGCCAATAAATTTACTCTTGGAACCAAAAACTCTATCCCATTCAGCCAATCTTGTAACAATGTTCCTTCAGACTAGTTGAGTATGGGTGGATGGATCAGTGCAAATTCATTCTCATGACTCCTTGGAAAATTCACTGATATCCAAGGATATGTCAAGAGTGGTTCCTTCATAAAGGAAGGACAGCCTTCTTGGAACAAATGTTGCAAAGCCCTTTAGTTGAGCACATGGACTCTTTAGACAAGCTATCTGAGTTTATAGCCTGTCTCCAGTCCAGTCATGTGACTCTTGGCCAATCACTTAACCCTTCTGCCTCGACTTTGCCATTGAAACTGGCATTGCAAAGTTGTCACTGAGACAGTGAAAGAGATCTGACCTAACTAATTCCATCTTGCTCTTAACCTCCAAGCTGTCTTTATTCATTCCTGGGCATAGGCTGAACTAACTTTGGGAGGAACTTAGTTTATAGTTTATAATTTTAAAAAAAGATGATAATGGGCTTTTCCCAAGGCAAATCCCCTTCTGGCCTGGGGACTAGACTGTCTATGTAGGACTAACAAATTAGCCACAAGATTAGAAATCATGGTTTAGGAATCACGCAGCTGGAGGCTACAAGATTCTCACCCTCACTAAACTGTTTCTAAGATCAGTGCTTGAGATATTTGGCAGAACTTGCACTTGATGGATCAGCTGGCACCACCCAGATTGATAGATTGGCTCATCTGATCTTGTGGCCCCCACCCAGGAACTGACTCAACACAAGAAGACAGCTTCCACTCCCTGTGATTTCATTTCTGACCTGACCAATCAACACTCCAGGTCACTGGCGTCCCCCCACCCACCAAGTTGTCCCTAAAAGCTCTCATGTTGGAATGCTCAGGAGACTGATTTGAGTAATAATAAAACTCTGGTCTCACGCACAGCTGGCTCTGCATGAATTACTCTTTCTCTATCAGAATTCCCCTGCATTGATAAATCAGCTCTGTCTAGGCAGCGGGAAAGGTGAACCCATTGAGCGGTTACACCATCTGAAAAGTAGGTCGGATAATAGAATGTAATTCACAGAGTAGTTGCGTGAGTTAACTAAGAAAACATATTTAAAGTTCTTAGTGTAGTGTCTGGCTCTTTAATTACTACTCAATGTTACTACAGAACGTCTCTTGTTTTAGAAAGCAACTTCTCAACCATCATGAAGGTTGTAGAACTCAGAGAATTTTACACAATTTTCTTGTGACCCTGTTTGCTTGGGTTCAACACCAAGGGTGATTATTATGTATTCAACATGGACAGTGTTCTCTGGCAGACCTAGAAATCCATTCTTTATGGAATATACTAAGTTGGATATGACCTGCCACCAGCTAATTGCAATTTAAATGAATGCAAATGGAAGCCCAGACTTATATCCCACAGCTGGATGAGTCAGGGATTCCAACACAGCAAACTGCCTGTTTATGGAATAAATCATTGAAAGCTCTCTCTGTGTGGCATTTTTCTGTTTTACCTGAAATCTCTTACTGAAGCCAAGTAGTGCTTTGAGAGAGAGGGTATGTATGTGAGGAATTTAACCATGAAAAATCTTATCTGAATCTTTTTCACAAGTATCCTGTGCCTTGACAACCTCAGGAATTTTATTGGCAGGTTGTCACAAGCCTTCTGTTGCAGAGAGTGGAATGCACTACTGGATGAGGTAAACAGATGGTGTGGATCAGAGATTTTCCACTTTCCACTGAGAAATTTGAAAAGTTGGTGGGGGGATTAGAATCACCATTGAAGGAGGGTAAACTTCCAGATTCCTTGTCAGTTAAAACTATTACCTGAAGCAAAAGTTGCTCTCCAAATGCTCAATTATGTTTTATTTAAATATTCAAATAGTTCTGCTCAGAATAAAAGTGCAAAATTGTATGGGATATAGAACAGGTGCAATTTTGTGATGCAGATTGTAGCATCCTCCTTAGACTACTCATTTTTTTGTCATTAGATCTATTTCTAAATAGTTTGTCTCTGAGATATCATCATGTGTGAAAAATACAGAACTGAGATGTGGTATATTTAATTATACTTGCAAACCTCTCTGAATAGCACTATTAAAATAAAAATGCTTGAAGCCCCAATACAGCTTTTGTCAAATCACTTGAGTCCCACAAATTAGAAGGCCTTTTCTTTTTTCATTCTGTATCATAGAAAAGGTCCATTTAGGGAAAAAGAAAAGTATACAATTACACTTATTATTTTATTTAAAGTTCATTTGCTAGAAGTCCAGCATCACTATTCTTCAGAATAGTATCTTTCAGGGAACTTCTCTTTTGGCAAGTGGATGGCCATTGCTCAGGGCTAGGTTCAATGCTTTTCAAGATGAATACTTGATCAAGTGGGGACTGATAAGGGTTGTAAAGTGTAGTAGGCAAAATAATGGCCCTTTAAAGATACCCATGTCTGAATTCCTGGAATCAGCTAGTATGTTACCTTCACAGCAAAAGGAACTTTGCTGGTGTGATTTAGTTAAAGATTTTGAGATGGGGCAATTGCCCTGTGAATTAGGGTTCTCTAAGAAGTGGAACAAACTGTGTGTGTGTGTGTGTGTGTGTGTGTGTGTGTATACATAGAAAGATACAGAGGACAGAGAGAGAGAGAGAGATTTATTTTAAGAAACTGGCTCAGTTGGTTGTGGAGGCTTGATAAATCCAAAATCTGATGGGGCAGGCCAGTGGGCTGGAGACTTACGGAAGTGTTGCCATTCAAATCCAAAAGCATTCCCCTGGCAAAATTCCTTCTTCCTTGGGAGAGGTCAGCCTTTGTTCTATTATGAGGTTCAACTAATTGGATGGGGCTTATCCACATTACGGAGGCCACTCTGCCTTATTCAAAGTCCACCAATTTAATTGCTAGTCTCTTTCAAGACACAACTTCACAGAAACAGACAGAATAATGTTTGATTAAATATCTGGGCACTGTGGCCCAGTCGATTTGATGGATAAAAGTGACTATCCTGGATTATTCAGACAAATCCAGTGTAATCACAGTGGTCCTTAATAAATAAAAGAGGGAGGTGGGGGTGACAGAGTCAGTCGGGGAAGGAAAGGTGATGACCTATAGAAGCAGAGGTTGTACTGATGAATTTTTGAAGAGAGAAGGGGGCTACAAGCCAAGGAATGTGGGCAGCCTCTATAGGCCATGAAAGGCAAGAAGAGGATTTCCCTTAGAACCTCCAAAAGGTACACAACCCAGCTGGCATCTTAAATTTAGCGCTATAAGACCAATTCTGGACATCTGTATTAGTCTGTTCTCATATTGCTATAAATAAATACTTGAGACTGGGTAATTTACAAAGAAAGAGGTTTATTTGGCTCATGGTTCTGCAGGCTGAACAGGAAGTGTGGTACTGGCATCTGCTCATCTTCAGGGGAAGCCTCAGGAAACTTACAATCATGGTGGAAGGCAAAGTGGGGGGCAGCACATCACTTGGCAGGAATAGGAGCCAGTGAGAGACAGAGAGAGAAGGGAGGTGCTACACGCCTTTACACAACCAGATCTCCTGTGAACTTATGAGAACAGCACCAAGGAGATGGTGCTAAATCATTCATGAGAAAACCACTCCCATGATCCAGTCACCTCCCAGCAGGCCCCGTCTCCAACACTGGGGATTAGAATTCCACCTGAGATTTGGCCAGGGACGCAGATCCAAACCATATCAACATCTGACCTCTAGAACTGTAAGATCATAAATCTGTGTTGTTTTAAGCTGCTAAATTTGTGGTAATTTGCTATAACAGCAATAGGAATCTAATACATATAGAAACCAGTTCACAAACTACACTACTGAGAGTTCAGAGTTTTAGAACTCACTTGTTCTGGTGACTATAGAAGCATCCTGCATCTGCTGCCACTCCAATGGATATCAATGTTCCCAGACAGCTGGGTCTATTCCCTCATCTCCAAGTGCATCTTCCAAGCCTTCCTGCCTCTCTGCACGAATGCTTTTACTGTTCCCTTCTTGTGAAATGACCTCTTGTTATTCTGTTCAGATTCCTTTCCAGCCAGCAGGTTCACTTGTTTCTATAGGTGCACGATTGTCTCTTTGTTCTGTATTACAGTCACTTGGCTGAGAGAAGTCACCTATCTTGGATTAGTTGTAGAAAACTACATACTCTCTTGTGAGCAAATATTTTCCATGTAAGTGAGTCCCAAATCTAAGTATGGCCAAGAGTTGAGACGAGAAAGTTCAATTTCAACTCAATAAACACTTGGTGAATAGCAGCTATCTTCATGGCAGGGAGATTATTGAAAGAAGAATGAGGCTTGCTCCCACGGAGCTCACATCCTTGTGGGTATGACAGATGAGGACATAATACAAGGCAGTATGACAAGGGCTACAAATGACATAAGAACAGAGCTTTGGCATCAGAGGGATCTAATTATTGATATCACATATATACCTATATATGTTAATTTTATGTTATTCTTTATTTCCTCATATTGATGAAAAACTATTTTTATCTGAAACAGTGTGAAAATTAATATCTACTTCACAAATTGCTGTGAGGATTAAATGAAAAAACTAAAAGGTGGATATCCTGATTAGGTCAACAAAATATGCTGAGTTCCTAGTATGCGTTGGGCACTATTCAAAGTTCTGGGAATAGGCTGGGTGTGGTGGCTCACACCTGTAATCCCAGCACTTTGGGAGGCTGAGGTGGGCAGATCACCTGAGGTCAGGAGATCGAGACCAGCCTGGCCAATATGGGGAAACCCCATCTCTACTAAAAATACACACACAAAAAAAATTAGCTGGGTGTGGTGGTGGGCACCTATAATCCAAGCTACTTGGGAAACTGAGGTGGAAGAATCGCTTGAAACTGGGAGGCAGAAGTTGCAGTGAACTGAGATCTCACCACTGTACCCCAGCCCGGGTGCCTCAGAGTGAGACTTGGTCTCAAAACAACAACAACAACAACAACAACAACAACAACAACAACAAAACAAAGTTCTGGGAATACATTTATGAATGAAACAAAGTCACAGTGTTTCTGCATCTTATAGCAGGAAGAGACACACAATATGCAAATAAATGAATAAATATAAATCAATGAAAAATGCTATAAAGTAAAAAAAAAAAAGCAAGGTATAGGGTCATAGAATGACTGGGGGATTGAGGAGAGAGGCAGAGAACAAGTTCCAACATCAGTGCAAAATTCTTGACACCAAGGGCTTACTATAGAGATGTTAAGTTCCCATCATTTTAGAAAAGAATTCCACTTTGTGGATTTCACAAAATGGAATGGAGGAGGTAGTAGTTGGGTTTTAAGGTTGAGGAAGATTTCAGTAGGAAAGGTCTTAAAACTAGAGAAGAAAAGGCATATAGACATGAAGATCCCCAAGTATGTGTATGTGTTATTTCTGATAAAGTGCCTTATTGTCCACATTTGTCAGACCATATTTGTATTCTGTTTTTGAGTAAGGGGTTGTTAATATCACTTAGAGCTTTGGTCTAAAGCTAGGAAGCATTCTCTCCAGTGAATGAGCAAATTGCCTCTGTATCTTTTTATACTTCAGCCAGCCTTGAATGTTTGGGCCAAACTGTTGACCCAGGAAACTGGACCACCAGGCAGGCTCTCAATAATCAAGTTTTATCTGTATTTCCTCTGTAACTATCCTTTTCTCTCTTTAAAAAAAAAAAAAAAAAATTGGCTGCTCTTCTAGTAGAACGAAGCCCTCCTTGATTGCCAGAGATATTTGCCTAGCTTATTTTAATAAAATTAATTTGCTAGGTTAGAATTTCCAAGACAAACTCAGCTTGAGGGAAAAAAAAGGAGGGGGAGGAAGGGGAGCAAGGAGGGAAGAGAGGGCAGGAGAGGGCAGGGATACCTTTGGCTTGCCACAGGATGCGCAGACTCTCTCACCAAAGGAAAAGCAAACAAACAGGCCCACTGCCTGAATCATGGGTGTAAACCAGGGCTGTTTCAGACAGCAGGGAATTCCTAAATGCTGACTGGTGTGGCTAACCTACATGAGTGTGCTAAATAGCAGTGCTAATCTTAATTTTCAGTTCTTTTACATTTTATTTTTTTCTTACGGATTTTTTGTTTGTTTGTTTCCTTAAGAACAAAGAGCAGATTTTTTGTCTTATCCTTGTCCTTCCCCTTCTCTGTGCAAATGTCTAATTTCCACTGTTTAAACTTTCCCTTTTCAGGAGCAAGAAGCTGTCTTCCAGCTTTCTCCTTGATCAAACTTCTGTCTCTTCCTGCCCCCGTTACATTTTTGAAAGTATTATCTACTCATATTTCCTCCATTGCCTTATTGCTTATCATTTGCAATCCAGTTCTTCTAGCAATCTGGTTTCTGCTTTCATTAGTCTACTGAAATTATTTTCTCCAAATGTCAAACTTTGCCAACTTGCTAATTTGGATTTCCTGCTCAGAGTTCCTTTTCTTTTTGACCTTTGCATCATCTGAGACCCTATCCACCTCTCTACTTCTAGGTGTATTATATTCCTTTGATTTTTAAAAATCTAGGTATGCATTTAGTAAAATTACTTGTTTTTTTTTTCTCTTACTCCAAAAGTAAACTTTTTTTTGAGACTTCATTATTGAACTTCTTATATTTTCTCTCCTTTGGCATTTTTTTTTCCTGTCTTAGTAGCTCACCTTTCTCTAGAACTGTAGGTCCAAATCTCCAACTACCTGATGAATATTTCCATCTGTGTTGTCTCATCAGTTCCTCATTTTCGCACATCAAGGGTGCATTCCGTCGTCTTCCTCTGATACAGTCAATCAGAGTATCTAAACAAAATTCCCACGATTAATGTATTTCTTTCAAGCAATATAGATGAAAAATGATACATGAAAATAAGATATTCAGGGTGCTTCAATTGCTAGTGCTTTTCATTTTAACTGTTTCTCTGGTAATATTTTAAAGAGAGTTTGGTACAATTTTTTTTTTTTTTTTTTGAGATGGAGTCTCGCACTGTCGCCTGGGCTGGAGTGCAGTGATGCTATCTTGGCTCACTGCAACCTCCGCCTCCTGGGTTCAAGTGATTCTCCTGCCTCAGCCTACTGAGTATGCGGGATTACAGGTGCCTGCCACCAGGCCTGGCTAATTTTTTTTTTTTTGTACGTTTAGTAGAGATGGGATTTCACTATGTTGGCCAGGCTAGTCTCGAACTCCTGACCTCGTGATCCACCCGCCACGGCCTCCCAAAGTGTTGGGATTACAGGTGTGAGCCACCGCACCCCGCCCGCAATCCACCGTGCCGGGTCTGGTACACTTTTATGAGTGAATTGGCACATTTTATAATTGAACATAAGAATTCAAGAGAGTTTGAAACATACCCCTAGCAGATCCTTTAGAAGAGCTAGTCTATTTTCACAGTTATCATTCTCTTATGGAACCTTACCACACTTCTTTACATGCTAAATTTCTAAGTTCCAAGTTGTCTTAACCTGAAAAATATTTTATTTTTTCTTGTACGTTCTTTTGTGAGTATCACAGTTCTCTATCCAGGCTGGGACAATGATGTATTTAAATAATGAATGTTAAAAAAAAATCCCCATTAGCTTTCCCATCTCACCGTCCACCTGATACTCTATTGCACAAACACCAGGATTAGAAATTGTTTTTCCTCCCACGTCTCCAGCTGCAACCCCGCCAGGCACTGAGTGAGGCTTGTGCAGCTTGTCACAGGCAGAGTTTCCTGTCAATAGCAAAAAGGAAGTGGTGCTTTTGGATGAACCTTCATTGTCCAGGGCTGGAACAGTGATCACCAGGCAGTGATAAGGGCGCTTTTTAATCTACAGGATCTGCACGAATCTAACTAACCTTGTTAGGGAGAAGAGGAAAGAAAGGGCGGTCACAAATTGTGTTGGGAACACTCTTTCCTCAGCCTCTTATATCCCAGCAACCAAAAGAATCTAAAACACACTATTTTTTAGTCAGAATGTTTATCTTGCCAAGGCTTTAGATCTTGTTGCTTTGCAAAGTGAATATAAAATTACATCATGTCATCAATTACCAAAAAAAGAGTAATGCATATACTCTTAATTTTAAATTAAAACTAGGGTTGTAATGTATCTTAGACTGTGTTTGATTTATTATTATTCTTTTATTTTGGAGTAACTTATGTATTTGGCATCTTCCATATGTGAAGGCCATGCTGTAGAGTCTCCTTCCATTTCACCTTTAGATTGCCCTCACTCTTTCCATCTCATTCTTGTTTTCTTCCAGGAGCCTAACATCCAAAATATGCTCCTTGAATATTTGTTGAATAAATACTTCATTGTTGATACAATGAAAGACATATCATCAGCTTGTCTTTCCTTCACCCCAAACTTGGTATAATTATGATATGTATTTTCTCAGTTGTTTTAAAATTTACTTTAACTATGTTAAACATTAAAACTTTATGTTAAACATTAAAAAGCATTATCCCATTTTTCAGATGACAGAAGCCAAGTGAGTGTGTGTGTGTGTGTGTGTGTGTGTGTGTGGTGTGATGTTGTGTCAGGGATCTGAGGAGGGAACTGGCTTGTAGATAACAAGCACATTAAAAATAGCCTCTGACTTTGGTTGTTGTTTCCACTGGCCTATGATCCTACAGTAGAATGAAAAGATCCCTATCATTTAAACAACTTTCTTTGAAAGGAATATTAACTCAGTGGTAAAGCTAAAAGAAAAATTGAAGGGAAGCTAAAAGATGATTTGAGTGTGTCTGCCTTGCCCAGAGGTTGATAGTAGCATAGCTTCAACATTCAACAGCATTTACATTGAACATGTCATCTTGAGAAGTTACATCTAAAATGCTCCCTATCACAAAATTCTATTTAAAATAATAAAGGCTAAGATGGGCTCCAAAATTCAGGTGAAATGGAACTGAGAAGTATTTTCTAGACAAATGTAGGAAATCAAACCAAACCAAAGCAAAACCCAAGCAAAGAAGTTTTATTTATTTCTTGCACTCACTCTTTTGTTGTTGTTGTTTTTTAAGTCACTAAATATCGGGATGGTTTATTAAACAGCAATAAATATTTGGTATAAGCTTCTTCCCATTCAAAGTCAATCCTTCCACTTGTCATCTGAATTCTTTCCT
The DNA here is from genome assembly GCF_000001405.40 of Homo sapiens. NCBI lineage: Eukaryota > Metazoa > Chordata > Mammalia > Primates > Hominidae > Homo > Homo sapiens. The sequence continues at coordinate 116,392,457 of NC_000007.14, read as the reverse complement.
TTTTTCCCCTTGTAAGATTTTATGCCATTAGTCATTCTCTTTCTTTCTTTTTTATTTTATTTTATTTTATTTTACTTTAAGTTCTAGGATACATGCGTAGAACCTGCAGGTTTGTTTCATAGGTATACATGTGCCATGGTGGTTTGCTGCACCTATCAACCTGTCATCTAGGTTTTAAGCCCCGCATACATTAGGTATTTATCCTAATGCTCTCCCTCCCCTTGCCCGCCACCCCCGACAGGCCCTGGTGTGTGATGTTCCCCTCCTTGTGTCCATGTGTACTCACTGTTCAGCTGCCACTTATGAGTGAGAACATGTGGCATTTGGTTTTCTCCTCCTGTGTTAGTTTGCTGAGAATGATGGCTTACAGCTTCATCTATGCCCCTGCAAAGGACATGAACTCATTCTTTGTTATGACTGCATAGTATTCCATGGTATATATGTGTCACATTTTCTTTATTTAGTCTATAATTGATGAGCATTTGGGTTGGTTCCAAGACTTTGCTATTGTGAATAGTGCTGCGATAAACATACGAGTGCATGTGTCTTTATAGTAGAATGATTTATAATCCTTTGGGTATATACCCAGTAATGGGATTGCTGGGTCAAATGGTATTTCTGGTTCTAGATCCTTGAGGAATTGCCACACTGTCTTCCACAATGGTTGAACTAATTTACACTTCCACCAACAGTGTAAAAGCATTCCTATTTCTCCACATCCTCACCAGCATCTGTTGTTTCCTGACTTTTTAATAATCGCCATTCTAACTGGTGATAATCACTATTTTTTAAGTTTTTTTTTTTTTTTTTTTTTTTTTTTTAGAGAGAGAGAGTGGGTCTTATTCTGTTGCCCGGGCTGGACTGCAGTGTTGTGATCATGGCTCACTACAGTCTTGACCTCCTGGGCTTAAGTGATCCTCCCACCTCAGCCTCCTGAGTAGCTGGAGCCACGGTGCATGCCACCATGACTGGCTTAATTTTTGTACTTTTGTAGGGAAGGGTTTCACCATGTTGCCTAGGTCTACCTCAAACTCCTGGGCTCAAGCAATCTGCCCATCTCGGCCTTCCCAAGTGTTAGGATTACACGCATGAACCACTGTGCCTGGCTATGAAATATTTTTAACACTTTCCAGAGACAGTACAGTGCAGATTTAAAAGATTTGTATTTAAGTAATCTGGATTTCAGTCCCAGGTACAGTATTTTGAAATTTTATTTAATCTTTCTGAGCTACTATGGCATCATTTTTACAATGTCAAAACACAAATAAAGTCTCAAGCACAGTGGAAGTAATGTCTAAAAGTAATACCTACAGTTATTTATAATTAAATAATTTTTGCTGTAATTATTAATGTAAATATATATATTCTTAGTTTCAGTCACTAAGTACTAACCTTTTTTTGATTGATGAATGTCATGCCTTGTAAATTAATATACCATCAGCCATTCATATTGACTATGTGTGGGAATAGTGCCTAGTTGCAAAAGAACACTTTTCTGTTATTGAAAAACCATAGAGATGTATAATAGATATGGGATATTATTTACTTCTGTCATTGGTTGAGCATTCTTCACTTGAATTTACACCATAGAATAGCATATTACTTTATAGAATTTAAGATGTGTGTGTGTGTATGTATGTGTGTGTATTTTGCAGGTAAACTAAACAGACATATGTCCTTGTCAATGATGGAAATGACAGTGTTTTACTTGTTTAAGAAAGATATATTTGATTTAACTCTCAGAATTTTCAGAAATACACATATATAATCATGTGGTGTTATAGCAGCATGACAGATTTCTTTAAAGCCAAAGACTTTCTTAAAATTAGTTGCAAATTATAAGTAGAACAGCATGTAAAGCAGAATTTGCAGTATGCATTTGGAGAACATTCTGAATATGTTCTATAGCTGTGTCACGCTTCAGCGGCATGTATTTTCAGATTCATTTGAGCCCAAGAAATTCAAATGTTAAGATCTAATCTTTTCGTTTTACATGATTTTTTAAATGATGCTAACACAATGCTTTGCAAAATGACACAAAGTGGTAAGTATGACATCTGGGAGTATATGTTTAAAAACTCTACCAGGTGCCTACATATATTTCCAAATCCCTATTGGGGCTGTAGACACCTGGTTTAGTTCCAGATTATGTGCTCAGATCAGGAATGCTGGGTTATGTGTGTCTATTGGCCTCCCTCCCCTCACAAGCCATCCTAGCCTTCCTAATAATCTCTCCCACCTCACCCCTTCCCCACTCCCTTACACATAGCATAGGACTACTATGTTATGCAACTCCAAAGAGTGACAATTATATTGCAGTCTATGTGAGTAAATGGTGCCCCCATGGAGTTACATAGCACTTAGCCTGTTGGCCATAGGCAGTGCCCCTGTTCAAAAACTGGCCAAAATACACATCTTAAAAAAATGGCAACTTAAAAGTCCAAACTGATGATGCAAATACTGTCTTTCTAACAAGTTCATGTTCATGTTTGGTAGAATATACCATTATTAACCCTTATCCACTACTCCCAGCTTGTTCAACCTACCTGCACCTCCAGGTGTAATACTAGGCAATTCCACTACTGACCACTTAATGTCTTAAACAACTGCCTTATTATTTTGTGGTATAGTTGTGGAGAACTATTTAATATAGATAGGGTTTTTTTTAAATTTCCTACTTTTCTTTGATTTTGGAATGGTGAGAAATATCCCACCTAAACTTCTAAATATATGTCATCATTGAAGATTATTTAATATATAATCAAAAGAATTACCATTCTCTTTTTGGTTCAGCCAAGACCATGTTTTGTACTGACAATAGAACTGGGACTCATAGAAGGGCCTGAATAAACTCCGTGGCATCAATCTCAAAAGCTAAATGATATACGCTAACATGTTTTAGTCTCTGTTAGTAGCCCAGTTCTCACTTATTATTTATGAGTTGCCTAAAATCTTCTTATATTGTTTATTTTTCAAAATGTACAACCAACATAAAAATAAATTCTATCACTTTGGATTCATTACAGAAAGCAGACTAATAATATAATCATCTTGTAGGGTAAAAGCTATAAAACTGATTTTCTGATTTTCCTTTTTGTTGTCCAGGCTAGAGTACAGTGATATGATCATGGCTCACTGCAGCCTCAAACTCCTGGGCTCAAGCAGTCCTTCTGCCTCAGCCTCCTGTGTTGCTGGAACTACAGACTTGCATGCTGCCACACCTCACTAATTTTTAAATTTAAATTTTAATTCTTGTAGAGATAGCTGTCTGGCTATGTTGCCAGGGCTGGTCTTGAAATCCTGGCCTCAAGTGATCCTCCTGCCTTGGCCTCCCAAAGTGCTGGGGTTACAGGCAGGATTCATTGTACCTGGCCTGATTTTCTTATTCTTACCATATAGTGAGACATATCAGCAGAGTATTTATTCTTCCAGTGGAAGCCGCCTGTTTTTAGTGATGAACTACTTGAGGTCAGGGATTCTGCCTTACTTATCTGTTTCCTTAATGCCTAGCACTGTGTTTTGCATATAATACTACTCGATTTCTGTTTACTGAAGTTCAGTATCCTTTTTTGGATCTATCCTAGCTCCGCTATGTCTTTGAGATAGAACAAGGAGAGACACAAAAAATTTTCAATTGTGTTTGCTTATTTTTTTTCCAGGAGCATGTCAATTCTTTTTATTTTGTAGCCTATTAGATAATGATAAGCTGGCACTATTTTTATTTTTTTGAGCTATAGAAGTAAATTCGGCTAAAGCATTAGTTCAAGTACATATTAAAATTTAAATAGGATAATGTTGTGTTGCTACTGAGATTTTTTCTTTTTTTAGTATTTTTATGTATTTATTTATTTTTGAGACAGACTTTTGCTCTTGTTGCCCAGGCTGGAGTGAGTGCAGTGGAGTGCTCCTGGCTCACTGCAACCTCCACCTTCTGATTTCAAGAGATTCTCCTGCCTCAGCCTCCCAAGTAGCTGGTATTACAGGCACCTGCCACCACGCCTGGCTAATTTTTGTCTTTTTAGTAGAGACGGGATTTCACCATGTTGACCAGGTTGTCTCAAACTCCTGACCTCTGATCCGCCCGCCTCAGCCTCCCAAAGTGCTGGGATTACAGGTGTGAGCCACCATGCCAGGCCTACTGAGATATTTTTAATATTGCTATTTGAAATAGTTCACACTGTATACAGGCTTAAAAAATCTAATAGTTTCCACAGCCAGGAGCCAAGAAAAAAAAATCTAATGGTATAGTTATGTAAAAGTTACAACACAGCAATGCTTATATTTGGATGGTACTTTAAAATTTCATGTCTATTTGGGAGGCCGAGGTGGGCGGATCACGAGGTCAGGAGTTCGAGACCAGCCTGGCCAACACAGTGAAACCCCATCTCTACTAAAAATATAAAAATTAGCTGGGCATGGTGGCAGGCACCTGTAATCCCAGCTATACAGGAATCTGAGGCAAGAGAATTGCTTGAACTCGGGAGGTGGAGTTTGCAGTGAGCCAAGATCACGCCACTGCACTCCAGCCTGGGTAACAGAGCTAGGCTCCATCTCAATTAAAAAAAAACAAAAACAAAACAAAACAAAACAAAACAAAAAAACACGACTGGTATCTCATTTTATCCAGACACCAATCCAGTGGGATATGTTCTTTTATCTGCCTTTAACATCAGAAGAAATTGAGATGTGGAGAAAGTAAGCCACTTGCTCCCGGTTACATAGTTGACAAGGTTACAAATCAGATAGTCTGCTTTCAAATTCAGCTCTCCTTCCTAGACTTGGGGAAGCCATTTATCTTCTTGCATCTCTATTTTTGCATTTATTAAATAGAAATAATAATACCCACATTCCAGAGTTGTTATATGAAATTAATATAATAAATTTTGAATTCTTGGCACTTGATAAATGATGGCTATGCTCTTAATTTGACCATAAAGGGCATATCTAGTTCTGTTGATGTAATAATGCCAGCCAATCAGTTGTACCCTTGTCAGCACTGAATTCTGATGACAGGTACCACACCACTGTCACCTGAAGAGTAAGAGCACTGGGATTGCCTTGGACACCTTTAAAGCCCCTCAGAGAGTGAGACAGCATGACACAGTGGACATGCAATAGATATGCCTGGAATGAACAAAATAATACACTGCGCTGTGGCCCCTTTCATCATGTTGTCTTGTGTTCGGTTGATGACACAGTTTTGTCTTCATAAAACTTTTTCTGCGTTTATGTTTTGTCTTCCCAAGTACTTTGTAGGTGCTTACATCCATAAGATGTTAAACCTATTCCCTTAAGCACAAAAGATGCTCAACAAGTATTATCTGCTGGAGTGATTTTCAAGACAATGTGGCAGTTGTGCATTTGCCTCTCTCACTTTGGACCATCCTTTAACAACTTAGGTTACTACTGTCATCTAAAGAGTAAGAGCACTGGGATTGCCTTGGACACCTTTAAAGCCTCTCAGAGAGTGAGACAGCATGACACAGTGGACATGCAATAGATATCCATGGAATGAACAAAATAAAACAATGCACCATCCTTTAACAAGTTAGGTTAGCTGGCATGCGGAAGTAGCTTTCAGCAGCCCACGTTGCATTCATTCTACATTCATTCAGTGTGGGTGCTTTCATCACGGAATGTAGAAATGTTGGTCCATACCTCCACTGCATAGACACATCTTCCATTGGTCTGATTCTTGGGAAAGTACTTAATTAGCCCATTATTTTACTAACGGTCTATTATATTTCTAGCCTGCCGTGGGCATGGCACTGACCAACAGAAGGTCTGAGGATGATGCTACATGGGAAATGGAGATGGGAGTGGTGGCCCAAATGGCTGGACATTTAACTCTATTTTTTTTCTGTGAAAATAGATAAGAAAATGAGTTTCTATGCTCTATTTTTTTCACCATAATTATGATTAATTACAAAACGCTAGTTAATTTAAAATTATTTGAATTAAAAAGATTGTCTTTTCTATTAGAAAGACCAAGATCTTTTTAAAAAATAATTTTGAGTCATTTATTCATAATTGCTGTCTACAACTGGAAGAGATTGGCTGATATGGGAGCAGTGAGTCTCTTGTCAACAGAAACACTGAAACAGACACTTCAAGGATGGAATTGATAAATGAGATAAGGGCTATTTCTAGAGTCAAGTGTCTGTGATTCTGTCCCCATGAGTCTAAGCATGGTCTCCTACTTTATGTTTCTATGAAAGAATTGACCCCAAATCTTTATTTAGGATGTTATGGGAAATTGACCCCAAGGGAAAATCTCATGAGAATTAGAACACTGCTACTTACATTTTTAAAAAGCTTTGTCAAGATCAAGATGCTGGAGAATGAACAACTGTAATCTCCCTTAAGCCATACATGGCTTTTCTTTTCTCTCTTTTTATTTCTTTGAGACGGAGTCTCACTCTGCTGCCAGGCTGGAGTGCAGTGGCGCAATCTCGGCTCACTGCAACCTCCTTTTCCTGGGTTCAAAAGATTCTCTTGCTTCAGCCCCCTGAGTAGCTGGGACTACAGGTGTGCACCACCATGCCCGGCTAATTTTTGTGTTTTTAGTAGAGAGGAGGTTTCACCGTGTTGGCTAGGATGGTCTCAATCTCTTGACCTCATGATCCGCCTGCCTCGGCCTCCCAAAGTGCTGGGATTACAGGCGTGAGCCACCGTGCTTGGCCACATGGCTTTTCTTATTGGTGAAATGGGTGGTGCTAATTCTCAGAGATTCAATTTTAATTCACTGTGGCTGGGAGAGACAATTTTGGTTTTCAAAGCAAGGCCTTTGGAGTCTGTCACCTGTTTCTCTATTTGGCAAATAATAGGATTAACATTTACATTTTTAAAGCTGACATTTTGATGGATCTTGTGAATTAGAATCTTTGACTTTCACAACTATGACCCCTGCTATGAGTTTCAAAAACGTATTTGGAGCTAAAGCCAAGAACTTGCCTCAGATTCTGCATGTAGTTGTGTTAGTCACACCTCAATGCAACGTGTGTCACCCATTTAATACAGTGATGATCACAAGGTATAGTGTACATTAAGGGGTGGGGAGTTGGGGGAGAGTCAGGATTGCACTGATGTTGGTGAAGTAGGGTAGTGATGTGAAGGAGCAGAGAACGTAGGTTAATTTATCAAATTCTTATCCTTTAACACATTTAAGAAGTAGATGAAACTGAAATGTCTGTTAATCTTTAAGAAAGCTTTCCTTTGACTCCTCTTGTGAAGAATTTTTAAAGGATCTGGGGCCTTTTAGCCTAGAAAACATTAGTCTGTGGGAGTGGCTGGCTGGTGTTTCTTAATGTCTGCTGAGCTGTCACTGGGCAGGGGAGCCACCAAAAAGTAGGTGGAAGGGAAATTTCATACTGAGTCCCTGCTTTGTGCCAGGGACTATTTCTGTTATTGGATTTATTCTTTTTCTTTCTTTCTCTCTTTTTTGTTTTGTTTTGTTTTGTTTTTGAGACCGAGTCTTGCTCTGTCACCCAGGCTGGAGTGCAGAGGCGCCATCTCAGCTCAATGCAACCTCTGCCTCCCAGGTTCAAGCTATTCTCCTGCCTCAGCCTCCCGAGTAGCTGGGACTACAGATGTGTGCCACCACACCTGGCTAATTTTTTGTATTTTTAGTAGAGACAGGGTTTCACCGTGTTAGCCAGGATGGTCTCAATCTCCTGACCTCGTGATCCACCCACTTCAGCCTCCCAAAGTGCTAGGATTACAGCCGTGAGCCACCGCACCCGGCGGGTTTATTCTTTAAACAACCACATGAAGTTATTATCACCCTATTTCTGCTGTAGAGAAACAGAGGCTCAGAAAAGTTAAGCAACATCTCCTTAAAGAAGCAGAAAAGCAAAGTGTTTGTAAGCACAGACTCTGGAGCTGAACTGCCTGGTGTTAAACTCCGGATCTGCCACGTATTAACTGACCTTAGGCAATTACTTAACCTCTCTGTGCCTTGGTTTTCTTGACTGTAAAAATGGAGAAAATGATAGGGCACACTCTTAGGGTTGTTGTGAGGTTTAATATCCTAAAATGTGTAAAGTAATTAGAAGGGCACCTAACACACATATTGTAATGTAATTAATTTATACAGATGCAATTGGTATATGCATATGGTATATGGTATAATATGGTATTTCATATATAATGCAATGCTATATATTCCTATGTATTAAATTTTATAATTTATTCAAGAATTTAGAGAAAAGGGAATAAGGAGAAATAGAATTGCCTATAATTTTTATGGATTTAGTAGGACATGAGATGGGACTTGAAGATGGGTAGAATTTTCATATAGTAAGCATGCTTTATTTTTGTAAATAGAAAAATAAAAAAATAAAAAGATAAGTGAGCAGATTCAGAAAAAGACTTTCCATATTCAAGCAGCAATTTAGACAAAGGCACTAAAAAATAATTAGTATGATGTATGTAGGAGATAGTGTGATAAACACTGACTGGTCAACCTAACACCCATTCCTACCCCTTTATTCCTTTCACTGTAGAGGTTGGCAGGTTAGATACTCATATTCGCAGCCTCTCTTGCAGATAGAGTGGTCAGTCGACTCAATTCTGACCACTGAGATAGGAGGAAGTATAAGGATTTTCTAAGGAAGCTTTTGTTTTCCTGATTAAAAGACATGACTGAAGTCACCTTTTCCCCTTTCTTTCTTACCTGAACACAGAAATGATGCCTGGGACTGTGATAACCCTCTTGGAGACAAAAAGATAAAAATCTAAAGAGGTCAAAGCAGAAAGATAGAAAGAGCCTGAGTACTTGAGAGCATCATTGAGCTGCTGAACCACAGCCAGCTGGCTTTTACCTCTCACCTTACTGTGATGTGAAAAATATACCTCCCTCTTTGTTTCACTTATGTTGGTAGGGTTTTCTGGTACTTGAAGCTAACACATTCTACCTACTACAGACAGCTCCTTATACCTATGATTCCTATATTCTTTAGAGCTTTCTTTACTTCTTACTAGTCAATGAAGACTCTAATCTCCTCTTATAGTTAATAATTATTCATGTGAAATGTTACCTGCTCAAATTACTATGTGATTTCTTTCTCCCGATTGAACTCAGAGTGATACCACCTAACTGGAGCAAGTCACTCAAATTGGCTAGTATATGTGGAATAAAAAGAGTAAGGTGAAAGTTGTGATGATGGTCATGGTGGGGACATGAAGTTGAAAGCCAGGATGGATTTTTTTTTTTAAGTTTTGTTCTTCTGGCTGACCTTCTCTCCTCTTCTTTTTCCTTTTCTCCTCCTCCTGCATCACCTTCTCCTCTCCTCCTCATTCCCCTGTCTCTCTTTCTCATTTCCTTCTTTCTTTCCCTAAATATTTATTAAGCTTTTCCTATGTGCTAGACACTGCTACATAGCATTGAGGAAATTATTTGTATACATAAAATTACATGTTGAGTGCTACCACAACAAGAGAACTAACTGGATGGATTGTCTTAAATTTGGATGTTATGCTTTAGATGGGCTGACTTAATACATGGGCTACATCAGTGGTCCTGGGAGAAGATCTTGGAGTTGTTCATTTCTCCTCCCAAGAAGCTACAACTGCCACTTGGGAGAAATACCCCAAACATATTTTTAACCTTGCAGAATGATCCTAAATCAAAAGTCACATGAGTACAGCCTCTAGAATGCAAGGGTTTACAATTCACCTCTTACATGGGTAATGCCATATAATAGTATAGATTCATTTATTTAATGATGGTCCTATAGGGTCAAATACACATGCTAAAAGTCAGATATACAAAAATAATTGTAATTTCTAATCTTCTGTAATTGAGATAATGTTGCCCTCAAGCTCTGTTCATCTGGTTAGTGGTGGGCTGAGTGTGGAGTGGAGAAAGTGAGACAGGCAAGCTTGTTAATTTGCATTATCTTAGTTTCTTCTAGTTTAAAATAATCTTACTTGGGTTTAACACAGTCTTTTTTTGGTAAATGCTTACTCTTTTATGGTTTACCCATTTATTTTTCACATAGTAGCATCCTATTTCCGGGGACCTATGTCTGTTTATACCATGAAGGTTGGATCCCTGGTCCATGTGCTGTCCCTTGGGATAACAAATCTAGTTTTCAAATTATCAAAATAGGGAAAATAATGCTGGGTAAAATTAATATCTAAGGTCACTTGTTGACAAGCGCTTTGAAAAGTACTAGTACATTATTCTGACACTCTTGAGATTCTACACTGTGGCTGCTTCTTCATTTATAAGGCCCTAAATTATAACAAAAAATCTCCTGGTCTATGTTAATAACATAGGCAGAGACATCAAGATCACTGTATATATTCAGGTTCACATGTCTCATTATTTTAAATACATTATTAAACCTAAATACTTTCACTTGCTAATCACCTTTGGAATAACAAAGAAAATGTTTAAATATTTTGTGACCTATAAGAAAATGTCAAGGCAATGATCATAGCAGCTTTTTGCTGATTTTTGGCATTGCTTAAAGCAATTAAGTGCAAAACACAATAGAAAAGTAGAGTTTTTCAGTCTCTGTTTTTAAATTTGAGTCTATGGATGCCTCTAAAAATGAGACATTCCATTTATAAATTACCCAGTCTTATGGTGAGTGATGGGGAATGGCCTCAACTTACAGCATTCTAGAAGAAAATTTGGAAAATGCTGCCTAATTTCTTCAGTTATCTGCAAAAGCAAATACTTTTCTCGAAGGATCTTTTTCAATGAGAAAACAGTCCCTCTGTGGTAGAATTTCCTCTTTTTACATTTGAAGGTGAAATGTATATCATCCAGATTATCATCAAATGTTTTAACTGTTTAAATATCAATTTAGAAAAAAGTACCTATTTAGAAATATTTTTTCTTACTCTCTAAATTTAAATGATGCGTGTTATAAACTAGAAGAAACTGCAAATGTCCTTTTGGGAAGAAAGGCGTTAAGTTAGCAGGTCTGAGACTTCAATTCTCCAAAAAGCCTACTTGCAAGGCGGCTGATGTCTGAGAATTTGAATTTGGAGGTGTTCTCACCAATTCTCTTAGTGATAAAGTTGGTTTGCTGTGCCTAGACTGAAACACAGCGTGGTGTATGCCAAACACCTGCTTTCCTTCTGGTGGTCTGGAAGTTTGGTACATGGTAAGCAGGGGCTGTCTACATGACAAGCTCCGAATAAAAACCTTGGGTACTGATATGGTTAAGCTTTGTGTCCCCACCTAAAGCTCATCTTCAATTGTAATCCCCATAATCCCCACGTGTCAAAGGAGAGACCAGGTGGACTTCATTGAATCATGGGGGAAGTTTCTCCCATGCTGCTCTTGTGATATCGAGTGAGTTCTCACGAGACCTGTTGATTTTATAAGGGGCTCTTCCCTACTTCGCTGGGCAGTTCTCTGCCTTGCCACCTTGTGAGGAAGACGTCTGCCTCCCCTTGCCTTCCACCGTGATTCTGAGTTTCCTGAGGCCTTCCCAGCCATGTGGAACCGTGAGTTAATTAAACCTCTTTCCTTTGTAAATTACCCAGTCTTGGGTATTTTCTTCATAGCAGTGTGAGAAAGGACTGTTACAGGTACAGAGTCTCTAGTGGGCCTCTGGACAGAAACATCACACAGGTGCTGCGTTTGTTTGCTGTGGAAGAGGATGCTCAGTGTGACCTCTCATGGGAAGGGGTGAGTGTAGGGAGCCTGCACGTGGATTCCTCTGGACTTGCCTGTGCTGGTTCCCTTATGCTGTGCCGTATATCCTCACTACACTGCCCTTAATAAGTCTTAGCTGTGAGTACAACTATACAACTACATGTTGGCTCCCATGGATCATTTTAGGGAATCTCCAAGCAAGGGATGGTCTCAGGGACCCCATTACACCCCTACAATATTTTACAATTTTTTTTTTAATGAAGCTTGACATAAAAATGGAAAAGTACAAATGTGCCATTAGCTGCTGCTTTATAGGATTTTTTTTTTTGCCACAAAGATTAAATTTTGTCTCATTCTGATAATCAAATAGGTCAAACTTTCTTTCTGCAGGGTTACATGGTAGCATTTTATAGTTACAAAAATATGACAGGACATCATAGATACCTAGTTTCAGCATAAATACTGAATAAAGAAAATGAACATGCAAACTTTTAAAAGAAACTGTGTTGTGTGAATGGTACAAATTTTAATCCAAATAAGGTTCATACTGGCCCTTTATAACTATGCAGCTCAGAGGGAGGAAAAATGTAACTGGGCTGGTAAATGTGCAACAGCTGGCAAGCTTCTGTTGCCAGCTCTTATTTTAGATTACTCAGAGTCCCGGCTCTATGAAATGTAGTTCAGAATCTCAAAGAAATGTCAGAGGGGATTTTTGAAACTTCATTTCTTTTTTATTTTCTTGAGCTCATTAAGTTAGTAAATGTGGAAGGAAGTGTGACTGAAAAGAACCTATGGTAGGTAGGATGATAAATAACAATTCGGAAAAGCAGATAGCTGTAACTTGTAGTGAGTTTTAAGTTGATGCCTTCATATTGCCAGTTAAGCTATTGTGAAAACTTGCCATTGACTAATTGAATGCTGACTTATTTAGAAGGAAAACCTGAAAGCCAATTAAATAAATCCAAAATGCTTGTAGTCCCTGGGCTCTCTCAAAGTACCTATTTATAAGGATTCTGGGGCTTCAGATACATTTTAAAAATGTTAGTGACGTTTCAAAATCCTACGGATTTTATTATTATCTCATTGAAGGGAATAAAATGCAGTATAGATTTGGCTGTGATAGAAAATAGAAAAAATAAAAGATAAAAATTCAGTTTGTATAATGTAAAGAGTTGTCCCAGATGCTCTCCTAGGCCTCCTGCCTGGTATCTCTATTCCATTCTGCATTGGTATTATTGCTGCATCCTTTAATGGATTGATGGAATGACAGTGCTCACCTAATATAACGTGATTGAGTGTAAATGAGAAAGTTATTGTCATGTTTAGTTAAAGAATTTATATGTTTTTTGTGTGTGTGTTTTGAAGTGCTATATCTAAGAACTTACTTTATTGCTCTTAGTGCACAAATAATCAATGAAAATGTACCCACTGATTATTATGGGCAGGAGGAGAGGCCTCATGGCTCTTTCATATTGCACCAGAGAAGGTACACTTTTATTCATGGACTGTGAAGTTTCATGTTCAATAAACAGCAATAGAATACTTTTTCTGAATGTAAAAAGTTACATAATATAATTTCTATATGTTCCATTCCACTCATGCTGTTTTTCCCTATTCACTTTTTAGTTCATGTAGCTAATTAAGATTTTCCATAAGTTGAAACCTCTGTTTTTCTACAATTTTTTTCTTCCCTCATCTTTCAGTTAAAGCGTTTATGTAATTCAAGCTTTAATCACATGACTGGTTTCTAGACACTCATGAGAAAATTAGTGTTCATATATAAGTATGTAGTATATGTGTATATATGTGTGTGTATACATACATATGTGTGTGTGTGTGTATATATATATATATATGCACACATTACTTGGAAGATGAAGACCACCAGATACAATCACTCTTCTACTTTCTCCCATTCTCTCATTCTCTTCAGAAGGCTCAGAAGAGGAAGTTGATCTAACCATTTATGATCAATAATTTTCCCACCGATGCAGAAGATTCCACACATTCTCCCCTAATGAGAGATTTCACTTTTGTTTTCATGCTGTGTGGTTAATTTTATGTGTCAATTTGACTGGGCTAAGGAATGCTCAGATAGCTGGTAAAACACTGTTTCTGAGTGTGTCTGCAAGGGTGTTTCGGGACGAGATGAGCATTTGAATTGGTAGACTGAGTGAGGAAAATTGTCCTCCCCAATGTTGGTGAGTATAATCTCATCCTTTTAGGGCCTGAACAGAACAAAAGGCAGAGGAAGGAGAAATTCGCCTGTTATTCTTTTGCCTCACTGCTGTGCTGAAACATGCCATCTCATCTTATCCTGTGCTCAGATTGAGATCTACACCATTGGCTCCTCTGGTTCTCAGGCCTTTGAACTTGGACTGGATTATACCTCTGGCTTTCTTTGTTCTCCAGTTTACAGATGGCAGACTGTGAACTTTTCAGCCTCCATAATTATATGAGAGTAAATCTATATATAAATCATAAATCTCTCTCTCTCCATCTATACTTCCCCTCCCCTCCCCTTCCTTCCCCTCCCCTCCTTCCCTCTTTCCTTCCTTTCTCTGGGTAATCCTGACTAATATACATGCCTTCCCCACATTAAAATTGTTTTCTTCTTCCTGAATACTTCACCTTTAAGCTTTTATCTCCTTAATCTCTACCTAAATCTGATATTATGCTTTTCTCCAGTGGTTGACAGAGGAATTTTGTGGATACCTTTGATTAAAGATCTGTATTGTATTGAAACAATAGTTTTCTCTTGAATGTCAACTTCCTGGCTACTTTGAGAAGCACCATAATGTGGAACTCTTAGCCACTGCTCTTATTCATGAGTGTTTTGTAATTTACCCACTGTCATGCTGAACCCCTGTTGACTCCAGTAGGAATGGCACCATGTCTGAGAGGTCAAATAAAAGACCTAGAAGCAGCGAATGAGACGTAGGGTTTACTGAGGACTTACATACAGGGATAACCTTAATCCCCCTTATTATGGGGGATTAAGGTCCTTTGTTTTGGATTAAATGGAAGTTGCTAGCTGGAGGGTGCTTAGTGGAAATGCTATGTCACCTGCATGTTTTTACAAATGGTAGCAGTTCTCCTGTCCAGCTTGTCACCATTGAGATGCCCCTGTATGTAAGATAGAGGAGTCTAGGGAACCATATGAGGAAGATAGAGGAGTCTAGGTTCTTGGCTTTAGCAATGGGCAGGCTGTTGTATCATTCACTGAGCAGGGAACACAGGAAGAACTGCAGCCTTGGAGAGGAAAGTAATGAGTTGAATGTCGGATATGTAAAAGTTGACTTGCCAATATTACATACAGAGTGAGTTATTCATCAGTGGTTTAATGTATGAGTTTGCAGCCCAAAAGAGAGATCTAGGCTTGAGATAAATATTCAGAAATTGTCAACATAGAGAGGTATGCAAAGCTAAGGTGCAGGAATAAATTTTCTTTTTTTTAATTATTATTATACTTTAAGTTTTAGGGTACATGTGCACAATGTGCAGGTTTGTTACATATGTATAAATGTGCCATGTTGGTGTGCTGCACCCATTAACTCATCATTTAGCATTAGGTATATCTCCTAATGCTATCCCTCCCCCCTCCCCCTACCCCACAACAGGCCCTGGTGTGTGATGTTCCCCTTCCTGTGTCCATGTGTTCTCATTGTTCAATTCCCACCTATGAGTGAGAACATGCGGTGTTTGGTTTTTTGTCCTTGCGATAGTTTGCTGAGAATGATGGTTTCCAGCTTTATCCATGTCCCTACAAAGGACACGAACTCATCGTTTTTTATGGCTGCATAGTATTTCATGGTGTATATGTGCCACATTTTCTTAATCCAGTCTATCATTGTTGGACATTTGGGTTGGTTCCAAGTCTTTGCTATTGTGAATAGTGCTGCAATAAACATACATGTGCATGTGTCTTTATAGCAGCATGCTTTATAATCCTTTGGGTATATACCCAGTAATGGGATGGCTGGGTCAAATGGTATTTCTAGTTCTAGATCCCTGAGGAATCGCCACACTGGTTGAACTAGTTTACAGTCCCACCAACAGTGTAAAAGTGTTCCTATTTCTCCACATCCTCTCCAGCACCTGTTGTTTCCTGACTTTTTAATGATTGCCATTCTAACTGGTGTGAGATGGTATCTCATTGTGGTTTTGATTTGCATTTCTCTGATGGCCAGTGATGATGAGCATTTTTTCATGTGTCTTTTGGCTGCATAAATGTCTTCTTTTGAGAAGTGTCTGTTCATATCCTTCACCCACTTTTTGATGGGGTTGTTTGTTTTTTCTTGTAAATTTGTTTGAGTTCATTGTAGATTCTGGATATTAGCCCTTTGTCAGATGAGTAGGTTGCAAAAATTTTCTCCCATTCTTTAGGTTGCCTGTTCACTCTGATGGTGGTTTCTTTTGCTGTGCAGAAGCTCTTTAGTTTAATTAGATCCCATTTGTCAATTTTGGGTTTTGTTGCCATTGCTTTTGGTGTTTTAGACATGAAGTCCTTGCCCATGCCTATGTCCTGAATGGTATTGCCTAGGTTTTCTTCTAGGGTTTTTATGGTTTTAGGTCTAACACGTAAGTCTTTAATCTATCTTGAATAAATTTTCGTATAAGATGTAAGGAAGGGATCCAGTTTCAGCTTTCTCCATATGGCTAGCCAGTTTTCCCAGCACCATTTATTAAGTAGGGAATCCTTTCCCCATTTCTTGTTTTTGTCAGGTTTGTCAAAGATCAGATAGTTGTAGATACGTGGCATTATTTTTGAGGGCTCTGTTCTGTTCCATTGGTCTGTATCTCTGTTTTGGTACCAGTACCATGCTGTTTTGGTTACTGTAGCCTTGTAGTATAGTTTGAAGTCAGGTAGTGTGATGCCTCCAGCTTTGTTCTTTTGGCTTAGGATTGACTTGGCAATGTGGGCTCTTCTTTGGTTCCATATGAACTTTAAAGTAGTTTTTTCCAATTCTGTGAAGAAAGTCATTGGTAGCTTGATGGGGATGGCATTGAATCTATAAATTACCTTGGGCAGTATGGCCATTTTCACAATACTGATTCTTCCTATCCATGAGCATGGAATGTTCTTCCATTTGTTTGTATCCTCTTTTATTTCATTGAGCAGTGGTTTGTAGTTCTCCTTGAAGAGGTCTTTCACAACACTTGTAAGTTGGATTCCTAGGTATTTTATTCTCTTTGAAGCAATTGTGAATGGGAGTTCACTCATGATTTGGCTCTCTTTTTGTCTGTTATTGGTATATAAGAATGCTTGTGATTTTTGCACATTGATTTTGTATCCTGAGACTTTGCTGAAGTTGCTTATCAGCTTAAGGAGATTTTGGGCTGAGAAAATGGGGTTTTCTAAATATACAATCATGTCATCTGCAAACAGGGACAATCTGACTTCCTCTTTTCCTAATTGAATGCCCTTTATTCCCTTCTCCTGCCTGATTGCTCTGGCCAGAACTTCCAACACTATGTTGAATAGGAATGGTGAGAGAGGGTATCCCTGTCTTGTGCCAGTTTTCAAAGGGAATGCTTCCAGTTTTTGCCCATTCAGTATGATATTGGCTGTGGATTTGTCATAGATAGCTCTTATTATTTTGAGATATGTCCCATCAATACCTAATTTATTGAGAGTTTTTAGCATGAAGAACCCTTTGAATTTTGTCAAAGGCCTTTTCTGCATCTATTGAGATAATCATGTGGTGTTTGTCCTTGGTTCTGTTTATATGCTGGATTACGTTTATTGATTTGCGTATGTTGAACCAGCCTTGCATCCCAGGGATGAAGCCCACTTGATCATGGTGGATAAGCTTTTTGATGTGCTGCTGGATTCGGTTTGCCAATATTTTATTGAGGATTTTTGCATCAATGTTCATCAAGGATATTGGTCTAAAATTCTCTTTTTTTGTTGTGTCTCTGCCCGGCTTTGGTATCAGGATGATGCTGGCCTCATAAAGTGAGTTAGGGAGGATTCCCTCTTTTTCTATTGATTGGAATAGTTTCAGAAGAAATGTACCAGCTCCTCCTTGTACCTCTGGTAGAATTCGGCTGTGAATCCATCTGGTCCTGGACTCTTTTTGGTTGGTAGGCTATTAATTATTGCCTCAATTTCAGAGCCTGTTATTGGTCTATTCAGAGATTCAACTTCTTCCTGGTTTAGTCTTGGGAGAGTGTATGTGTCGAGGAATTTATCCATTTCTTCTAGATTTTCTAGTTTATTTGCATAGAAGTGTTTATAGTATTCTCTGATGGTAGTTTGTATTTCTGTGGGATCAGTGGTGATATCCCCTTTGTCATTTTTTATTGCATCTATTTGATTCTTCTCTCTTTTCTTCTTTATTAGTCTTGCTAGTGGTCTATCAATTTTGTTGATCTTTTCAAAAAACCAGCTCCTGGATTCATTGATTTTTTTTGAAGGTTTTTTTGTGTCTCTATTTCCTTCAGTTCTGCTCTGATCTTAGTTATTTCTTGCCTTCTGCTGGCTTTTGAATGTGTTTGCTCTTGCTTCTCTAGTTCTTTTAATTGTGATGTTAGGGTGTCAATTTTAGATCTTTCCTGCTCTCTCTTGTGGGCATTTAGTGCTATAAATTTCCCTCTACACACTGCTTTGAATGAGTCCCAGAGATTCTGGTATGTTGTGTCTTTGTTCTCGTTGGTTTCAAAGCACATCTTTATTTCTGCCTTCATTTCGTTATGTACGCAGTAGTCATTCAGGAGCAGGTTGTTCAGTTTCCATGTAGTTGAGCGATTTTGAGTGAGTTTCTTACTCCCAAGTTCTAGTTTGATTGCACTGTGGTCTGAGAGACAGTTTGTTATAATTTCTGTTCTTTTACATTTGCTGAGGAGTGCTTTACTTCCATCTATGTGGTTAGTTTTGGAATATGTGTGGTATGGTGCTGAAAAGAATGTATATTCTGTTGATTTGGGGTGGAGAGTTCTGTAGATGTGTGTTAGATCCGCTTGGTGCAGAGCTGAGTTCAGTTCCTGGATATCCTTGTTAACTTTCTGTCTCGTTGATCTGTCTAATGTTGATAGTGGGGTGTTAGTCTCCCATTATTATTGTGTGGGAGTCTAAGTCACTTTGTAGGTCTCTAAGGACTTGCTTTATGAATCTGGGTGCTCCTGTATTGGGTGCATATATATCTGGATAGTTAGTTCCTCTTGTTGAATTGATCCCTTTACCATTATGTAATGGCCTTCTTTGTCTCTTTTGATCTTTGTTGGTTTAAAGTCTGTTTTGTCAGAGACTAGGATTGCAACCCCTCCCTTTTTTTGTTTTCCATTTGCTTGGTAGATCTTCCTCCATCCCTTTATTTTGAGCCTATGTGTGTCTCTGCACGTGAGATGGGTTTCCTGAATATAGCACACTGATGGGTCTTGACTCTTTATCCAATTTGCCAGTCTGTGCCTTTTAATTGGAGCATTTAGCCCATTTACATTTAAGGTTAATATTGTTATGTGTGAATTTGATCCTGTCATTATGATGTTAGCTGGTTATTTTGCTCGTTAGTTGATGCAGCTTCTTCCTAGCCTTGATGGTCTTTACAATTTGGCATGTTTTTGCAGTGGCTGGTACCGGTTGTTCCTTTCCATGTTTAGTGCTTCCTTCAGGAGCTCTTGTAAGGCAGGCCTGGTGGTGACAAAATCTCTCAGCATTTGCTTGTCTGTAAAGTATTTTATTTCTCCTTCACTTATGAAGCTTAGTTTGGCTGGATATGAAATTCTGGGTTGAAAACTCTTTTCTTTAAGAATGTTGAATATTGGCCCCCACTCTCTTCTGACTTGTAGAGTTTCTGCCGAGAGATCAGCTTTTAGTCTGATAGGCTTCCCTTTGTGGATAACCTGACCTTTCTCTCTGGCTGCCCTTAACATTTTTTCCTTCATTTCAACTTTGGTGAATCTGACAATTATGTGTCTTGGAGTTGCTCTTCTTGAGGAGTATCTTTGTGGCATTCTCTGTATTTCCTGAATTTGAATGTTGGCCTGCTTTGCTAGATTGGGGAAGTTCTCCTGGATAATATCCTGCAGAGTGTTTTCCAACTTGGTTCCATTCTCCCCATCACTTTCAGGTACACCAATTAGATGTAGATTTGGTCTTTTCACATAGTCCCATATTTCTTGGAGGCTTTGTTCATTTCTTTTTATGCTTTTTTCTCTAAACTTCTCTTCACACTTCATTTCATTCATTTTGCCTTCCATCGCTGATACCGTTTCTTCCAGTTGATCGCATCGGTTACTGAGGTTTGTGCATTCGTTGCGTAGTTCTTGTGCCGTGGTTTTCAGCTCCATCAGGTCCTTTAAGGACTTCTCTGCATTGGTTATTCTAGTTATCCATTCGTCTAGTTTTTTTTTCAAAGTTTTTAACTTCTTTGCCATTGGTTCGAACTTCCTCCTTTAGCTTGGAGTAGTTTGATCTTCTGTAGCCTTCCTCTCTCAGCTTGTCAAAGTCATTTTCCGTCCAGCTTTTTTCTGTTGCGGGTGAGGAGCTGCGTTCCTTTGGAGGAGGAGAGGCGCTCTGATTTTTAGAGTTTCTGGTTTTTCTGCTCTGTTTTTTCCCCATCTTTGTGGTTTTATCTACCTTTGGTCTTTGATGATTGTGATGTACAGATGGGGTTTTGGTGTGGATGTCCTTTTTGTTTGTTAGTTTTCCTTCTAACAGTCATGACCCTCAGCTGCAGGTCTGTTGGAGTTTACTGGCGGTCCACTCCAGACCCTGTTTGCCTGGGTATCAGCAGCGGTGGCTGCAGAACAGCGGATATTGGTGAACTGCTAATGCTGCTGCCTGATCATTCCTCTGGAAGTTTTGTCTCAGAGGAGTACCCGGCCATGTGAGGTGTCAGTCCGCCCCTACTTGGGGGCGCCTCCCAGTTAGGCTACTCGGGGGTCAGGGACCCACTTGAGGAGGCAGTCTGCCCATACTCAGATCTCAAGCTGTGTGCTGGGAGAATCACTACTCTCTTCAAAGCTGTCAGACAGGGACATTTAAGTCTGCAGAGGTTATTGCTGTCTTTTATTTGTCTGTGCCCTGCCCCCAGAGGTGGAGTCTACAGAGGCAGTCAGGCCTCCTTGAGCTGTGGTGGGCTCCACCCAGTTCGAGCTTCCGGGCTGCTTTGTTTATGTACTCAAGCCTGAGCAATGGCGGGCGCCTCTCCCCCAGCCTCGCTGCCACCTTGCAGTTTGATCTCAGACTGCTGTGCCAGCAATGAGCGAGGCTCCATGGGCATAGGACCCTCCAAGCCAGGTGTGGGATATAATATCCTAGTGTGCCGTTTGATAAGCCTGTTGGAAAAGCACAGTATTAGGGTTGTAGTGACCCGATTTTCCAGGTGCCGTCTGTCACCCCTTTCTTTGACTAGGAAAGGGAGTTCCCTGACCCCTTGCGCTTCCTGGGTGAGGCGATGCGTCGCCCTTCTTCAGCTCACGCACGGTGCATTGCACCCAGTCCTGCATCTGCTGTCCGGCACTCCCGTGTGAGATGAACCTGGTACCTCAGTTGGAAATGCAGAAATCACCCGTCTTCTGTGTCGCTCACACTGGGAGCTGTAGACTAGAGCTGTTCCTATTTGGCCATCTTGGCTCCACCCCCTAAGGTGCAGGAATAAATTTTCTTGGGTGAGTTTGTAAGAGACGTGGAGAGGGCCTCTGCTGGACATGGAAGATCCCCACATTGAAGGACAGGCAGAGAAGGAGGATGCAACAACGGTAGAGTGACAGAGCCAGAGGATCAAGGCTATGAGGGGAGCATGGTGAGTGTGGAATCAGAACCAAGGGTTTAGATGAAATTATCAACAGTGATAAGCACAGCAGAAAGCTCAAGTAAGAGAGGAACTCAGAAGAGACTCTTGGACTTGACCCCATTGCCATTGTTAGTAACTGTAGCAAGAACAGCTTCTGTGGGCATTAGGCCCATAGCATGGGGAAAGACTCTATCCCAGGATAATGGCCTGTAAGAATGGCTTCCTTGCTTTTATGATGGCCCCACTGTAGTGAGCACTTAGGGGAACATTGGAAACAGCTAGAAGGCTTAAGTCCACTCTGTTAGCTTCCTAGGACTGCTGTAACAGACTACCTCAAACAAAGTGGCTTAAAACAACACAAATTTATTCTCACAGTTCTGGAAGCTGGAAGTCTGAAATCAAGGTGTTGGCAGGACCATGCTCCCTCTCAATGCTCTAAGGAAAAAAATGCTTCCTTCACTCTTTTGGCTTCTGTTGATTAGTGGCAATCCTTGGCATTCTTTGGCTGGTAACTGCATCACTCCAATGTCTGCCTCTATTTTTCATTGCCTTCCTCCCTGTGTGTCTGTGTCCTCTCTTCTTCTTCTTATAAAGACATCAGTCATTGAATTTGAGCCTGTCCTAGTTCAGTATAACCTTAACTAATTATATGTGCAAAGACCCTATTTACAAATAAGGATACATTCTGAGGTTCTAGGTGGATGTGAATTTTGGGGGCAGGACACTATTGATTACAGCCACCAAACAAGCATCTCTAATAAATATTGCAGTGGATTATGAGGTAGGTGGTTCATAGCTCACACTTCAGGAAACACTGAGCCTACACAGATGGCTTTTAATGTAAAGATGGGAGTAGAGTTCAGTTAGGTGGGCAGAGGGGTTCCCTGGAAGCTTCAACCCCAGCATAACTGATCCTAACAGCCAGACATCAGTAAAGGCATACTTTAAGTGGATTTTAAACAGCATTAGCTCTTTAATCTCAAGAAAACTTAAGAAAGATTCCAACCTGATTTAGAGTTCAACGTTGTTGCCAGAATTTAAAATTGATAGCAACAAAACAGACCTTCATTTTCCTGAGTCCTGAGAAGGCATCTAGGCTATAGTGCAAAGGATCTAACATATACAACTCCTTTAGTAAGAAACTGAACGGAAAGGTCATTAAAAAATTAAACTAAAAACACTGAGGTTGCTCCTTCCATCTCAGTTTTGTCAGGAATCTCTGGTAATCAGGGAAATGCATCTTTATTGAAAATGTTGTCATATTTGTAAGATATATTATTATATGCCAAAATATCTCAGATAAGGCACTAATATTACAAAAAAAACCTGTTTTTATTAAATTTTACTGTTAATGTGCAACAAGTCATTTAATAGAAAACATGATATCAAAGAACAAAGTGCTTTGGGTGTCTATTCAGAAACTGAGTTATTAAAAAAGAAAACAGACAGGTTATCTACAAAAGAAGAATGAAAATAGATTGGTTAAAAGATAGTCCCTAATGTAGCTGAGATAATGTTTCATAGTATTATGACAGTTTTATTTGGAAAGCATTTATGACAAGTTTATGGAGATTCTCATGATAAATTGATAATTCATAGAGAACAAACATTTTTATTATTGCAAAAACCTTATCACATAAATCACTTTTTTGAACCACATACAGCTGTGTAAAATTTTATTAATCATAAGCATAAATAAAAAGATAGGTTAGATACCCTTTTGAACTCTCTTGTAGATGTAGGATATTATGATATTTATAAAAATAATTATTTTTGCCACTCTAGAACAGAGATAGCATGGTATTAGCACATTATACTAAAGAAGAAAAGAAAGGCAAAGCGGGAGGAAGGATGGAGAGGGAAGGCCCTAGAGGCTGTGCTGTTATTTGTGTCTCATCCTTGGCCGTGTGCTATTACACTAGCAAGAATGTGAAGGCTGAAGTCAAGGACCAGGAAGCCTTCCTTTGCCAGCAGGCACAAGGCTGAAGATAGCTGTGACCTTGGTAACCACAGAATCAAAAAGGTGTCCCTGTTTTGTGCCTGAAGAGCAGCTATTTGTTAACCTTGCATTCATAGCAGCAGAGGATTCACACTGTTTTGCTCATAGCCTTGTATTATCTAACTCAGTATGAGGTTTTAAAATTAGCACATCCCAGAAAAAGTTAAATATGTTCAAAAGTACTAATTAATGTTTTATTAATTAATGTTTTATTAAATGAAAACTTAAGAACAAACTACCCAGAAAAATACAAAATCATCAAGCTACTCTCATACTTGATGGTTTTTTATTGCCTTGAGTTGCCAGCGTCTTTGTACCTAACAAATATAGGAGGCAACTCCCAATAAATAATACAACAGAATGGAACAGTCTTAAGGGCATAATGAAAACTCATAATTTAGATATCTACTCTATGTCTTATTGATACATTTCTTCATGTAATACATATATACATATATATTTGTTTTTCCAAACAGGGTCTCACTGTTGTCCAGGCTGGAGTCCAGTGACAAAATCACAGCTCACTGTAGCCTCAACTTCCTAGGCTCCAGTGATCCTCCCACCTCAGCCTCCTGAGTAGGTGGGACCACAGGCACAAGCCACTGTGCCTAGCTAATTTTTTAGTTTTTTGTAGAGGCAGGGTCCCACTATGTTGCCCAGGCTGGTCTTGAACTCCTGGCCTCAAGCAATCCTCCTGCCTCGGCCTCCCAAAGTGCTGTGATTACAAGCATGAGCCACTGCACCCGGCCCCATATATTTTTAATATGTTACATAAGACTTTTAAAAGAAAATTTCTACTTCTTGCCAACATCAGAAGATTTCAAGTTTAAATTTTGCAAAATGCATAAAAGTAAATAACTCAACTGTCTTAAATTATATTAAAAATTATTTACATGACATGCACTTGAATTCAGACTAATGAGGGCATGATACCTCTTTACAATACTTTCTCCTGGCATCCTAGGGTGCCAAATAATTCTGCTTGTAGTTATTTATTGAACATCTGTAGTCGCTATTCACTCCATGATGACTAAGAGATGCATCCCTGGTATCTAGCATTGTACATAGTGGGTTCTTAGTAAATATTCAATAAATGAATGAAAACAAGGAAAAGGGAGAGGAAGTGTGGTGAAGGGGGTAAGTTTAACATTCCTTGAGCGTGCACTATGTCATACATCATCACACCTTGAGCACAATTCAGCTTTTAAACTAAATAAAAATGGGCAAAAAAGTAGCAATTGAATATATTTGCTATTAAAATAGGAAAGAACTACGATAAAGCTAATAAGGAAATAATTTCTTTGATTGGTTTAAATTTGTATGACTTTGTGCATTTGTAGATGGTAATAACCACTGTTTCCAGTTTCTGTATTTGATACTTTGACATCTCACTGACACTGGAGAGACTGCCCTTCCCAGGGCTAGGTAATTCCTAGAGACAGCAAATGACTAGCCTGCCAGTGAGAGTGTCTTTCATATGCAAACCAGCTAATCCAGAGTCAGTCCCCACTACCTCCTTTAGTAGTCTCTCATACTCTGAGCCACTAATCTACCCACCCTGTCACCCAAAGCCAGGTACCAGACAATGAAGGACACCCCAGACCTCACTGAAGTCTTTCAAATGAACCAATGCTAAGCCGGTTATCCTGCCCTCCTATTCTTTATTGCAAAACCCCCAAAGGCTCTTGCCCACATATCCTCCTCATTCCTTCTGCCTCCTGACTGACCCTGGTACTTCCTTGTTTGGCCACCTGTGGCTTGGCAGGTGCCTCCATTTGCGAACTGTGAGTAACAAATGATATTTTTAATGGCATTGTTTCCTGATCTATGGTTCTCACGTATCTGAATTAAAACTTACGCTGCAAAACATAGATTCACTGTAAAAATTCTCTTAAGTATTAAACACTGAAACAATAAGCAGGTCAAAATATAATCTCTGTCAATTGATACATTTGTCTTATTTCTAAATAATTGCAATGAAAAAGACCTTTTTAATCTGTTTCACTTAATAAGATTTTTATATACAATTATTTTAAATAATTTTTTGCTAAGTTTTATCCTTCCAGCTAATATAATCTACTGACAAGATAAAAACAGATTAATTTACACTTTTATAGCAATAGAGATTTCAGAAATAGACTAATACTTAAATGATAGACACAAAGCATACTTTATTCGGTAACTGCATTTTTGTATACAAGATCAAATAATGTTCCAAATCCAGTTTCAATTGCATTCAAAAAGGCAGAATGAATGAAGCTCCAAATGGATTTTGTTATATAAGCCCACCATCCCTCATTTACAATTCCAAAATTCAAGCAAGTTATGAAAACCAACTTTTCATAGGTTTGTGAAAAACTCATTTGGTGGCAAAACCTACTCTGAATTGATGAGGCCTTTGTGTTGTTATTTATTTTTCTTGAGGGTGAATTCATATTTCTGCCATAAAGATGTTAATGTGTTTTATTTTCAGATGCTAACCCAGGCCATGGCAGAAATATTAAATAATGTATAGTTTACAGGCTGTTACATTTTAAAATTCATCAAAAATTTTGAATTTTGAAATATAGCTATCCCTGAGTTTCAGAAGAGGAATTATGGACCTAATTCTGTGTGTGTGTGTGTAGGGATGTGTGTGTGTGTGTGTTGCTTATTTAAATGTTTTGGTGGTAGGGGCACAGAATGTTACCCTCTTTATTAATATTTAATTTTATTTACTAAATTAAATATTTTAATTTTAAAAGTATTCAATTTTAAATTAATTTAAAAAAAATTAATTTGAAGGAGTACAATAAAGACACTGGATCAACAGTTCAAGGCAGTTCTTGATCTTCTACAAAAAGGGGTACAGCGAGGGATATATTCATGTGATTACGGAAATAACTTGACATATTCTGACTCTTGCCAATGCTCAAGTTCTTCTCATTAGTATCACTCTGTCAGTGGTTAGAGCCATTTTTAGTTTTTTTAACATCAATGGAAGCTCCTGGAAAAGAAAGTCGCTCAGCTTTTGATATGCCATTGTGTTTAAGCAGAGTATAGTGCTATTTACAGGATTTAATAAAATGCCAATGCAGCGTGGATGCCATCCTCCGTCAAGCACGAGATATCTCTGTCTGAACATGACAGATCCTTGGACAGAATGACTGCAAGCACTGCATGCATTCTACTCATCCATAAAATCACATTAGTAAGATAAATAAAGCGCTTTCTTTCCCATAAATGTATACCATTTGCCTGTGGTGATGTGGTATTTAAATCTTAGGTTAGAATTGACAGAGGTGAAGTTCTAGCTGGTATCTTCAAATGCTCATCTCCAAGAAGTGCCAACAGCAAAGATATGATCCGTTGGGTCTTTTCAAGGAAGGAAGATGGCAATGTGGTTTTAAGCAGCGATGCGATAGGAAAAGGTTACAGGCAAAATAAAACAAAACTAAATAAAAAAACTCCACTTCCATTTTCATTCTGTTAAGCTATATTATAAGAGAAGCTTTCACGTTGTTACTAATGGTTTCCCTGATTTTGCAGCTGAGCCCCTTTTTACTTTGCAGCCTGGCTGACACAAATCATTGAGAATCTCTATAATAAATCATTTGAAAAATATATAGAGGCAATAAGCCAAGAAAGATATTTAGCAGTTAATCAAAGATGACCTAATGTTTTCTACCTATTGTCTGTAAAATGAAACATATTACTCAATTTAATCACCAAACAATATCAATTTAGAGGGAAAAGTGTTGAACTTTGCAACAAGGAGGTATTTAGGATTACTTTAAAAGAAAAACTAGCAGACAGTTTAGGGGCCTAATTTTTTGGGGGGATTCTTTAACATCATAGCTGGTACCCTAGTTGATTTATGCACATTACTATTAATCATAGATTACTCAGGTACAAAATCTAGGAGGCTAGACCATACGGATTCTAAGATCTATTTTATTTTTAAAATTCTGTGATACCGTTTTGTACTGTATGCTGTGGCCATGTTAGGAACCTAATAGTGTTAATACTTGGCCTTTAAACTGGATTATCTTGCCTCATAGCTTCATTCTTTATACAATAATTATAAAGTTACTTGCTAATAGCTAATGTTTCATAAATAATGCCATTTAATACAGATGGCATACACAATCATCCCAATTCTTTACAATTTCTGAGAATGTGTGCCTAGCTTTCTGCCAGACTGAATTAATTACCTAAAGAAAACCCAGAGAATACATTGTGTATAAAAAGATACCATTATGATTTTAAAATGTAAAGCCCATACATTTTATACATTATTTCATAAATGATTACAGTGGTCTAAAAACGTCTTTGGTAGTTGTCCATTTGTCATTCAGCCTATGTGTCTTAGGAAATTCTCTGAAATCAGTCCTGTGAAACATGAATAGGCATTGCAATCTGTGTCAGAGTCTAATGCATCATGCAAGACATTACTATACAAAGACTAGGTGAACCAAAGGCTGAAAACTGTCAACACCACACACCTGGTTATATCTTTTCCAGTTTTAGATAATAGATTTCATTGTTTTATTGTTAATTCATGCTCCTAAATAACAACTGCTTATTCACCAAACCCTCTGGCATCATATTTTCTTCCCAGTTCTTAAATGACACTCGTTAATGTGCTTGAAGCTGTTTTAAGTGCTGTTTCATGTCTATTTATTCATTTAATTCTCATATCGCCTTTTGAGGTAGGACTATAATTACCCCCATTTTATATCTGAGAAAACTCAAAACAGAAATGTCTGAAGTCACTTGTACTGGAACACATAGCTAGAAAGTTTTTGAGCTGTGATTCCTGTCTAGGGGTGCCTGGAGGACAGCGTAAACTTAACGTACATGCTGCACTGCTGTGATAAAGAAGAGCTGCTTAGATCGATTTCTATCTGGCTTGCAGAGTCTCATATATGAGTGTAGAACTGTCCTAGTTTTCCTACACATACCGTATCTTCTGCTGTTGATTATCTTAGACTTTTGATAGTTTTAAAAATAAAAATTGTGGTAAAATGGGATCATGGAATTTAAGTTTAAAGTCTTTAAGTCCTACAATATGGCTTTGTTAGATGTGTTAGTAAGCAAATGCAACATAAGTTAAAAGAAGCATTGGCTTCCTAGTCACCCCAAAGACATTGTCTCCAATAAATAGTGAAATTGAACATTCCTGCTATTGTATCCCAATATGAACCTCAACACATTTTAAAATATTATTCAGTGTTATTGCATTTCAGGGCCATTGTAAGACAATAGGTATGACTAAGCATATAAACATCATGATGAAATATGACAAGACTTTCCTCCTTTTATACATGCTACTTGACAAGATTATGGAAAAAATATTTCTCAGATTTTTCTGAATCCATTTGTTACTCTGAGCAGAAATCTATCTTTCGAGTCCGTGTGTTCGGTCCTAAGAGGTGTGAACCTCAACAAGATACTGGCCGATGGTAAGCAAGTCAGACAACCTAGAATTCATTTTTTAGTAAAGTTTATTTACAAAGGCCATGTCAAGTACTTAGTGGAAAACAATGATAGGTATATTACCACTAGAAAGAAGTACCATTACATTTCATGGAAACGTATTTTCAGATGGCTATTTGACATGCTTTTAAAAACTGGGAAAGTCACAAAGACATGTTATCAATATGAATGTTTGTTTTGTAGTCCACATTTGAGTGGAAACTCCTGTGAAGAGCATATTCACATGTGTCATGTGGTGGTTTGTGGAAATCAATTGTTAAGATGACTGTTAGCTAATTTTCCAGGTGAATTCCTCTTCTTGCTCTACATATGAGATAATTTTAATGTAATAGACATGTTGAGGCATAGTAGGGGGTGGTTTGAAAGAATAAATTTTTGCCCATAAAGAGTAAAATATTATAAATATGTGGATATGGAAAATAGAGATGAGTTTTTATTATTTAATACCCTAAACCACAGCTCAACACTTTTTAAAAAGAAAAACAAACTGTCTTCTCTACCAGGTTTCCCAGATAATCCCATTCTGAAGCGCAGACTTGGGAACCTCTAATGCTTAGAGCAGCACATTGCTATTTTCTTGACTAATTTCTCAAAAAGTATGCAAATTCTAACTTTTGGGTTGTGTTACTCCCTCAATTATACAAAACATATAACTGATCTTTGGTAAAAACCAGAAACATTCATGGTATTTCTTTAGCCCTTAGCCACCTAGCATGTGTGAATTGTAAAAATAAAGTTCTCTATTTTTGTGAGTATTATGTGAAAATACTTTACTGATGATGTTATATGCCAGCCAAAATTATACCAAGTTGGGTTTTAAGAGAGTTACAATTACTAGTAATGCTACAATTACTACTACTATTAATGATAGTAGGAAAAATCGTAACTACAAAAGTATTTTTGAAAGTACAGAATATAGTATTCTGGCCAAAGTTTTATTTAGGATATAAATTTATATACTCAATGCTTAGCATTAAGGCTTCCCAGATTTAAGAGCACTGGACTGTTTAAACTTCTTTGTTGATCCAAGAAAAAAAAGCACAGTATTTTTTCTTTTATATGTATATTATATGTATAATATCTATAAATGAACAAAACTTCTAAGGTTATAGAAATAAGCTCAGAAACAAAAAGCCAATTATAATCAAAGATGGCTAATGCTTCTTGGGCATCCTGCTACATTCCCTCCCATGCTCATGACAGACATTATTTGTTGACTATGGCCAGAGGCAGCTTCAGACCTCTCTCCAAACAGTGCCCTAGGAAGCCACAGTCAGCTAGCAATGGCAAAGGGACCAAACCAATTCATTATGAATGGATCAAAATAGAACATGACATCTTCTCATCTAGACATCTCTCATTGTATCTGTATCTGTAACCAAAAAGGTTCTACTCTATACAAATTAAGTTGAAGGAAATGAGCCCTTAGCTTGTAAGAAAGAAAATGGAGGAAGATCACCTCAGAGCTGTTCATTGGAATGTTTCTATGTCCTTTCGGACCTATA
The DNA here is from genome assembly GCF_000001405.40 of Homo sapiens. Lineage (NCBI taxonomy): Eukaryota > Metazoa > Chordata > Mammalia > Primates > Hominidae > Homo > Homo sapiens. Next base: position 116,362,118 of record NC_000007.14, on the reverse strand, counting down.
GAAGCAGAGAAAACATGTCCCTATATGAAGCAATCAGTTTTGGAAAAGGAAGTTAGCAAGGATTCCAGCATCAGGAATTCCCTCCCACAGGAAATGTGGCCTTGGAGGCTGATGGGACACCCACTCAAAGGCAGTTGGCTGCAGTGTTTCCATGTCAGGGAAGCAAACCCTGACCTAGCGGGTGCTCTTCTGTGGAAGACCCAGGCTGGCTAAGAATAGAAATGGGCTGTGTGACAGTGAAGCTGAAAATGATTTCCTCTTGTCTTTATTTTTTCAGTATTAAAAATACTTTTTTGTGTAATTTATATATTTATGTACTTCACTGGTGGTCTTTTGGTAAGCAATGAAGACGGCTATTAAATATGAGAATTCTTTTTTTGTATGTATGTGAGAGGAATAGGAAAACCTACTAGAAAAGTAAGATAGTACTTGACCTATACAAAAAAAATCCAAACCAAACAAGCATCTGTATTAGTCTGTTCTCACACTGGTATAAAGAAATGCCTGAGACTGGGTAATTTATAAAGAAAAGGGGTTTAATTGGCTCATGGTTCTACAGTCTGTACAGGAAACATGGCTGGAGAGGCTTCAGGAAACTCACAATCATGGTGAAAGATGAAGAGGAAGGAGGCATGTCTTACATGGCCAGAGCAGGAGGGAGAGAGTGAAAGGGGAGGTGCTACACACTTTTAAACAATCAGATCTCATGAGAACTAACTAGCATGATAACAACAAGGAGGGAATCTGCCCCCATGATCCAATCACCTCCTGCCAAACCCCTCCTCTTACACTAGAGATTACAGCTTGACATGAGATTTGGGTGGGGACACAAATCCAAACCATATCACAAACCCTATGTCAAAATAGGAAGACTGTGTTTCACAAACAAGAGTTACATGTTTTCCCGTGGGGTCCCAGTGGTACCTTCAATGTTCTTAGCCTTATGTAAGCTCTCAAAGGATGGGTGTTGGTTGGTCCATCTTAAAACATTTCAGAATTGAAGTTTTACTAAAATCCCATCAATTAATTAGGGAAATATATAAGGTTTTTCTATCATGAAAATCAGGATAAAAAACGATTAGAGTTTAAGAGGTCATGTTAAGAGCATAATAAGGTGGCCAGATGTAAAAGTCAATATACACAACTTAGTACTTTTTTTTGAGACAGAGTCTTGCTCCATTGCCTAGGCTGGAGTGCAGTGGTGTGATCATGGCTGACTGCAAGCTCCACCTCCTGGGTTCACGCCATTCTCCTGCCTCAGCCTCCCGAGTAGCTGGGATTACAAGTGCCCGACACCACGCCCAGCCAATTTTTTGTATTTTTAGTAGAGATAGGGTTTCACCATGTTAGCCAGGATGGTCTCGATCTCCTGACCTCATGATCCACCTGTCTCGGCCTCCCAAAGTGCTGGGATTACAGGTGTGAGCCACCACGCCTGGCCAAATTAACATTATCAATAATGACTTAGAGAACATAATGATAAAAGAAATCTCATTCACAATAGCAACATAACACATTTTATACTTGGGAAGAAATAGAAAATGTGCAGGACTTTTATAAAAGGGTATTTAAAAACCTATATAAATGAAATTCTGTTTCATATTTTAAAATGGGAAGACTCAACATTGTAAAGATGTTGATACGCTGGTTCTCATATATGAAAAGAATACCAATGATTAGCAAATTAACTTTTAATAGAATAACAATGTGATATGACCTACTAATAACCAGAATGTAGTATAAAAACAGTGTATTTAGGCATAGGGATGAACAAATACATTAAGAGAAAAAAGTAGAACAGAAACCCAGACATGTACAAGAATACTGTTCATAGTAAAGGTAGCATCTCAAATCAATAAAATTATTCAAGACTTTTCAATAAATTGCATTGTGACAATTGGCTAACCTAAGAAAAAATTAAACTCAGTTCATAACATAAAGCAAAAATATTCAGATTAACTGTTAAAAACAAATTATAAAAGTATTTGAAGAAAAGACTTTTTAAATTTATAACTCTGGGGATAGAGAAAGCTTTCCTAAGCAATACGCAAAACTCATAAATCATATAAGTATAATTTTGACCCCCATAAAAATGAAAAAATAAAGTTCTGTGAGATAATCATAAAAATGAAGTTAAGCTACAGACTAGGAGAAATATTTATAACATATATAAAATATAATATATAGAGTGCTTGCATATGAAAAAATACAAATAACTGAGTAGAAGGTACAAAGAGGATACAAAGATTCACCTACAGAGGAAATACTAAAGCATGTATAAAATAGATGATATTTACCAAAATGTAAAGTAAGCCTACTCTTTGATCTTGCGATATACTTCTAGGAATCTGTTCTGCAGAAATACTTATAGGCACTAAGACATATTTACGAGCATATTTGCTATTTTAAATAGGTATTATAATAGCAAATAAGTAGAAACAAACTATGATTAACAAAAGTCGATGTAACTATATTAAAGAACATTCCATTATTATAAAGAAAGAACTAGATCTATGTTTACATATTAAATTTAAAAGTTTTTTGAGACCCAAATATATTTTATTTTATTATTATTTTTTGAGATGGAGTCTTGCTGTGTCACCCAGGCTGTAGTGTAGTGGTGCAATCTCGGCTCACTGCAAACTCCACCTCCCGGGTTCAAGTGATTCTCCTGTTTCAGCCTCCCAAGTAGCTGGAATTACAGGCGTCTGCCACCACACCCGGCTAATTTTTGTATTTTTAGTAGAGATGGGGTTTTGCCATGTTGGCCAGGCTGGTCTCAAACTCCTGACCTCAGGCGATCCACCCGTCTTGGCCTCCAAAAGTGCTGGGATTTACAGGTGTGAGCCACTGTAACCAGCCCCTAAGACTCAAATAAAAACAGGTTGTCACAGCATAGCAGAATCATATGTAATGTATGTGTCCCATATATGTATAGATACACTGTATTCATTTATTTTTTACCTCATTGCTTTTGGGTATTTTTTTCTTAAGCACCCTTTCCTTTCTTTTTAATAAAAGTTGTGTAGATTGAGCCCGGGTGCAGTGGCTCATGCCTGTAATCCCAGCACTTTGGGAGGCCGAGGCGGGCAGATCACGAGGTCAGAAAGATGGAGACCATCCTGGCTAACATGGTGAAACCCCGTCTCTATTAAAAATACAAAAAAATAAGAAATAAAAAATTAGCCGGGTGTGGTGGCAGGTGCCTTCAGTCCCAGCTACTCGGGAGGCTGAGGCAGGAGAATGGCGTGAACCCCAGAGGCGGAGCTTGCAGTGAGCCGAGACAGCGCCACTGCACTCCAGCCTGGGTAACAGAGCGAGCCTCCGTCTCAAAAATTAAAATAAAAAAAGTTGTGTAGATTTAACGTGTACAATATGCTGTTTTGATGTAACTATCCATAGTGAAATAATTAACACAGCAAAGCAAATTAACATATTCTTCCCCTTACATAGTTGCCACCTTTTGTAACTATGTGTGTATGGCAAAAGCACCTGAAATTTACTTTCTTTAGTCATGCGTGATGAATTAGTCTAGCGATCTAATGGATTGACTCTTTTACTGTGTGAGAGTAGAGTCATGTGGTTCTTATTGTTTAACTAAAATAATTTTTTGTTGTTAAAGAGGAATATTCAGGAAAGGTCAGGTCTGGTGGCTCAAGCTCTTCCTCACATGATAGAGAACTACTTTGAGGAGGCTGTGGGAATCACATGTCTGTTGCTAACTTGAGTTCAGCCTTCTCTGTACTTACTTATTCTCTTGACCTTGGGCTGTGCTGTCAATTTTTTCTTTTCTGAGGGTTTTTTGAAATGAACATAAAAGGAAATCCTTTCAAGACTGTTCAGATCCTTGCTATGCAAAAATTGCATTTGAAAGAGGTCTTAGATATGATCTAATGCAATTCCCAAACTTTATGTGGAATTCTGATTTCTGAGATGGCCAAGACACTTTATTTTTATTTTCAAGACAGGGTCTCGCTCTGTTGCCCAGGCTGGAATGTATGGAGTGATCACAGCTCACTGAAGCCTGGACCTCCCACTTCAGTTTCCCGAGAAGCTGGGACTACAGGCATGCCTGGCTAATTTTTTGTGTTTTTTGTAGAAATAGTGTTTTGTCATGTTGCCCAGTCTGGTCTCAAACTCCTGGGCACAAGCAATCTGCCTGCCTCAGCCTCCCAAAGTTCTGGGATTATAAGCATGAACCATTGTGCCTGGCCAACCAGGACAGTTTAATGGGAATTTCATATTTCTCATCCGTGAGTCATATCCTTTTACCCAGAAACTGGGAAAACATCCCCACTGAAAACCCAAATAGATGGTACTACTTTCTCAATTTTTACATCAACAAAACAAGGTAATTTCATTCAAAGGAATTATAGTTAATATTATGTATTTTTCAGCAAATTAATTCTGTGATGCCATTTGATGACCTACAAAAAATGTGTCCCAGTGTTACTTCACTGTTCTATATTAGGGCCCTTTTATACACAAACTCTGTGGTATTCCTTTCCACTAACTGCCCAGCACTGGCCTGGTTAGTTCATCTCCATTTGGCAAATCACTATTTGGGGGTAGTTGGTCATGTTAGTGTGTTTAAGCCATGTCACATTATTCTGTCAGTCAGGTCCTATGTGTCCCAAGAGCCCTTCAAGAAACTCACTGGTCTCTTTAGATCCTAGCAAGGAAAGACTAGAAATGTCTCCTTCCAATTTGGTGATTGTACTTCTTATAGAATGGACTGGTTTGGCAATAAGGTACCAAATACTGCTACTCAGAGCTTATCTGATTTGCATGCAGCTAAACTGCCTCTGTGTATTCAGCTGCATGTCCCTATAGAAAAATCACCTTACTATTTTTAGAACTCCACTGTCCATTGTCCTATTCTGGAATAGACAGTAGCTCTGACTATAAGTTAAAATGGGCTACATTAAACCCTGCCAGGCCTTGCATTTCTCTCATTTGGTCCTTCACTGACAAATTCACATAGTGCAAAGGTCATGGGCAAGCTATAACTCTTCTCTGGAGCTCCAAGCTGGCTGCCCCTGGGGATTTATGTTCCACTCTCCTAACTGGGCTTACCAAGCCATAAATTCCTGATTAAAGCACAGACCGCTTGAGAGACAGGGAGGTTGGAAGAGTATCGATGCTCAGGTCTCCAGTCACCCACATATTTGTATGAGAGCCTTGGACTCCTGGACCCAAAGCCAGTGTAATTACTTTATAACTTAAAAATCATGGTTTTCAATTTTAAAAATTCATGTAAAAATGGAAGTCACTGTGCTGGAAATGAGTCTTTCCTTTCTGAGTTCTGTAATGCTATGTTATCTTTATATGTTTACAATAGAAGGAAATGGTCCTACTGGCTGCCAGTGAGTGAGGTAGCAGAGTAGAGCTGCATTCTAAAATCAGAACTAATATTCAGCACCAGCTTCTATGGTCTTGTGTTTTGATGTGCTGGCTATTGGGCCTACAGAAATGCACCTTCTGTTTATGCTTCCAAGTGTTCCTTTTATCTCTAGATAAAAGTGTACAGGGGAAGTTGCCAAAATTAGTCTACCTTTTGGACCCAGGCCATAGTTAAACTTAGATATAAAACAGATCAAAGAGTTCCATTCTGATCCAAATAGCTGCAGCCCAGCAGCATGGCTGGTGGCAGTATGAAGTGGCTGAACACCTTCTGATTTGGAACATCTGAGCAATACTTTCTGGGCTGCAAGGCACAAAAAGAGGCAGCATGCATGTCTGCTTTTGAAATGACTGTCCGCCTTCCAGGATTTGACAGAGGAGCACTTGTTTAGACTTTGGTGTCTAATCCAGTGGGAAGCTCCCAGGTATTCCTAAAGGCTGCCGCAGGGGGTCTCTATGAAGGGGGGTACTCTCCTCTCCTCAATACACACAGGGTTAATTTTGTTCACAGTCCTTCCATGCTTCCTTTAGGTGAAGCCAAACTGTCGAGGTTTCTTCTTTACCAGGTGGCAGCAATTCCCCACCCGACTCTTTTTCATTTTGCATTTACGTTCTGATTTTTAGAGTCTTAGACTGATGTCCCCGGGGAGAGTAGGAGCAGACAGAAGATTCTTGGGCTCTGTGAATCAATAGGGTCACCAAATTATTTACTATCCAAACCAGAACACTTCTGTCAGTGAAAGAGGCACTGTTGGTAATTAAATCTGGACAACTAGAGTCAACTGAGACTCTCCTGGCAAACTGCGGTGTATGGCCACCCTCTGCATAGAGAATCGGGTGATTTCTGGCTCTAGAGATGCAAGTCAAGTGCTTCTTTTCCTGTGCGTGATTGGGCATTTTTAGTCGCTCCTCTAAATTATTATAGATGATCATTTTCTGCTCTTGATAGCAAATATAACAATAAGAAAAAATTGGATAATAAATTTTCATATGACTCAAAACACAGCCCCGTTGTTAAATAATATTGCTTCAGAATAGATTTTCTTGCAAAGAAAATGTTCTGTACAAATTCTTTAAAGAAGTCTTTCAAGTGGATTTTTTTTAAATGATGCCACCGCCCACTACTTACAAAGAAAGTCTTGAAGGGGAGCAGCAACCCCTCAGGCCATTTCTATCAAAGAGATGTACAATCAGTACCAGCAACACAAAAATGCTCCTGTAATTGCACCCAAACTATTTTTTGTACCTAACAAATTTTTGTCTTCAAACTGCAGTTGTATGGCTGTGTTTCCGTTCTGTTTGTTTTACCACTTCCCTTTGAAATATTTTGCATCATCCTGGAGATTTTCCCAAGTTGTGGTCTGCTCGCTGGAGGGCTGCGCTCCTCTGATTTGCAGCATGAAGTTGTGTTGCCATGGCAGGGGTTGTTTACCATAGGGGAACACTTAACAGGATGGGCACCTCCCACAGCCATTCCAAACTCCTTTCCTCCTCTTCTCTACTCGCTTAGATATTCTGAGACAGCAGCCCAGATATGGCTTTCTCTAATCGTAAACTACATTCCCGGAGCGTGAACTTGACTTTGCTATGCTTTCGAGATAGGGAAATGTTTGGCTCTGTTTATTCCTCTCAAACTGGGCAGTGTCCTCTTGACTGTTATGACTAATCCACTTGTCATGGCTGGAATCTCCTAACAATTCTTTCCCTCAGGTAAATCACATCGCTCAGACTTGTGAAGCAAAAATGCCACTGAGACCAAAGGGTGACCTTGTGGTGGTCGCAGCCTGTTCACCTGACAGAGGTCTCTGTTGCCCAGGAGGACTTTTTATTTTTCCAATAAAAGGAAAGCTTAGTCAGAACCTGACAAGTCTTGCTCCCTCACATTCCTGCAGAGGAACCAGCCTGGGGAGAGATAAGAGCCGTGGGTTGACACCCTGATTATGCTTACCTTCTTATTTGTTAAATGTGGAAATTGACTTCATCCAATTAATAAGAGCAGGAAACAGTTTTTGTTTTGTCTTTGTAGGAAAACATGAAGTAACAGTTTTATCTCAATTTGTCAGGCATTGCCCAAGAGACTACAGCCATGTGGGCCAGTGGCCAAAAAATTGCTCTAAGGCCCAAGTATTAACACCCAGATATAAAAAGAATGCTAATTGGTTTTCCAGCTGAAAAATAATAAGGGATTTGCTGCCAAAAATGCTGTATGGCCTGAAAACCCCAAGTTTATACAATAGGGCCTGATTACAATCTGGGGGCTCCATTTGTGCTCCTATGAAGAGCTAAACAAAGGGAGGTGTTTCGCTCCTCTGTCTTTGTAGAAAGCTCCGCTCCAGATCTCAGCCTGGTGGAACACCAGGCTTCCCACAGTCTTCCTGCCAAATCCCCAAGTTTTTTCCTGGCTGCCATTCAGGAAAGTACAGCTTCGTCTGTAGGATGGAAAGTTAAAAAGGCCTTGCTTGGATACGCTGAAATATATACAAACACTGCCTGACGTATGGAGTAGGCTGCTGCCGCTGGCATCTTAGTAGAAAGAATGTGAAATTTTTAAAAGTCATTTTGGGTACGTGATTGAGATGTTAGCTGGAAGAAGAAACTTTTTTTGTTTGTTTGTTTTAGAAAAATGAAAATTCAGCATTCCCCTTAATCTTAACAGTTATCTTACCTTAGTTGTCTCATTGGTAAAATGTCAACTAACCTCCAAGATCCCATTTAGTTTGGGCTGTCTGTAACTTGAGGGCCGGGTATAGCGTATGCAGAAAATACAGGCTGTCTACTGAATATCTTTGAAAAGGTCCCTGGAAGTGAGTTGGGATGAAAGTCAAAGTCTGGAGCACTGGCATGGTACAGTCCTAGGCTGGTGTGCTGATGTGTATTGGCTGGGTGCCAGCCTGCCTGTGACTTCACACTACAATTCCAGGTCTGTATCACTTATGGGAATGGGCCTGAATTAAAATGATTGCATAATACTTACAACTCTGTTCTCTTTATTTCCAGCTGATGGTAAATATTATGGCAAATTTCACAGCATTTAATTAATCTTACCCATAATGTTTTTAAGTTGTAGTTAATACTAAAATACACTACCTTTTCACCAATCATGGTCATAGACTATTATCCTAGTCACGTATGTAATTATGCAACTAAGTTAAAGAGTTTTTTTTAAAAAAAGAATTACTTTGAAAAATGAAGTAAAATGTATTCTCAACAGCCAACTTCTGCCAAAATATGCGAAGAATAAAACAGGCCATAAGAATCCATTGATGTGTACAAAATTATTTTTTTGACAGAAACAGGCAAGCAACTATGTTTGTTGCTATCAATGCTTTTCTCTTGTTTATTACTTTTTGTTTGTTATTATTAATGTGTTTTCCCTTAAAGTAGTGAGGCAACATGGAACGTATGTAAGAGTTTATGGGCAGGGAGCAGTGGCTCACACCTGTAATTCCAGCACTTTGGGAGGCCAAGATGGACAGATCACCTGAGGTCAGGAGTTCGAGACTAGCCTGGAAAATATGGTGAAACACCATTACTCCTGAAAATACAAAATTTAGCTGGGCGTGGTGTCGGGCGCCTGTAATCCCAGCTACTTAGGAGGCTGAGGCAGGAGAATTGCTTGAACCCGGGAGGCGGACGCTGCAGTGAGCTGAGATCGCGCCACTGCACTCCAGCCTGGGCGACAAGAGCGCAACTCTGTCTCAAAATTAAAAAAATATATATATATATAAAAGAGTTTAGGAAGCATTTCTTAAAACCTGCTGGGTCTCAGGACTTTTTACCTGTAGGATACGTCAAGAAGTAGAAGGAGCATGGAGCTAGTGTTGCTGAGCTTTCATTAGGTTCACTCCACCAGGTTAAATTAATTTTCTGGCGTCCCACATCCTTCTGTGTAGACTCCAGTCTCCTTGGGCACACTCCTGCCTCTGTGATTTTGTACTACTCTTTCCTTCACCCGGAGTGAGGGAGCTCCCTTCTTTCCATTTTTTGGGATTCAGTTCAATCCCCACATGATTTGTGAAACCTCCTCAGACCACTCCGGCGCCCTTTGGTTTCCCACTTCTCTGAACTCTCATTGCTCTTATCATTTTCGGAAACAAGGTAAACACATGGAGGATTCAAGTGAGAATTGAACTGGAAACCAGAAGGTAAACAGGATACCCTTTTTTATTGCAAAGGGCAGAGACCCACTCAGTTGTCTCAAACTAAGGAGAAGGTATTGTAAACCTACAAAGTCCAAGAAACGGGCCTTTCATGATGTAAACTGGAAACCTCTTAGAAGCCTAGGCAGCTCTCTCAGACTCTCAGGATCATACAGTACCCCTCTGACTCTTTCTTAGGCATGTCTACTTTCATTTTCTTCCCTTTTCTCTCTTCCAAATTTTTAATTTCTTCCAATTTCTTTATCATTTCTGCTTTTATGCTTCAGCTCAACATCCCCCAAATATCTGAATTAGACTTAGGGTCTTTATTCCAAATTTAAAGGGATTGGATCATCTTGCCTTGTGCTGCATATCCAGCCTTCTGTTCAATCAATGTTGTTGGCAGGGTAGTGTGGTACAAACAGCTGCCTAAACCACGCCTACTGCAGCCTGTAGATGGAGGAGCGGATAGCTACTCTAGAAGATGTCCACTGCCTACAGAGTTGTTTATTCACTTTTGGCAAATTCCTTTTTTTTTTTTTTTTTGAGATGGAGTCTCGCTCGCTCTGTCACCCAGGCAGGAGTGCAGTGGCGCGATCTTGGCTCACTGCAAGCTCCGCCTCCCGGGTTCACGCCATTCCCCTGCCTCAGCCTCCCGAGTAGCTGGGACTACAGGCTCCCGCCACCACGCCCGGCTAATTTTTTGTATTTTTAGTAGAGACGGGGTTTCACCGTGTTAGCCAGGATGATCTCCATCTCCTGGCCTCGTGATCCACCCACCTCGACCTCCCAAAGAACTGGGATTACAGGTGTGAGCCACCGAGCCTGGCCAGCAAATTTCTTAAGGGCAAGGAATAGATTTCCCTTTGCTTACTTCTCTCACTGTGTTTGGTGTGGGCCTGTTAGACTGTCCCAGTGATTATCAACCCTGGTTGCACATTAGAATCACCTGGAAAATTTTAGGTGCATTTCGGTGTCTAGCCCTCTCCTTGTCCCACCACAAGGACTGCTGATTTCATTGTTTTGGGGGTATAGCCCGGACATCAAACATCAAGAGCTGGTCTTTCTAGATAGCAGTCCTGTTCCTACTGAGGTCAGGGCCACAGAAAGTGTTACTGCTATGGGTGGAGAAGTGACTACCTTTGCAGTGGAAAACATGGTGGAAATTGAGGAGCTGTCAAAGAGGTTAAAATTCTTGCTTGGCCTTTATAGTAGGGTAACTATATATTACATTCATGCTGTTTTAGATAGATTGGATACCAGTAATATTGGTAACTTTAGAAAGAGATATAAAGTTTTTAACTTTTGCATTTTTTGCTTTCCTCCATACCCATAACTGGTTTAAATGTGATAGTCAATGAATATTTCCCGAAGGCTTTTCCTTTATCACATAGTCAATGAATACATCTTCAAAATGAAGAACGGTTCCTATATTCTTTGAAAACATTGTTTCATATGACCAGGAACATTTAAGATTTAACAGTAAAGATGTAAAGATGACAATACAGAGTGCCAATTGGATAAGATAGTTGTTTTAGTTTTTCCAGTGGTAACTCTAAAATTAACATTTGATAAATTTGAACTGTGTTGTTTGCCCCCAGAATTGCAAGGAGTCGATTTACTGCAATTCTGTGTAGAGACGCTCCTTCAGTGTATCCTTGACAGTGTCCTGATGGTTGCCAAGGTTTGCCTCAGGTGTTAAAACCAACAGATGTGATTCACTGGTTGGAGAATTTCTTAGAATAATTTCTGGAGTTTTTCAATATGGTCAGTGAAACCAAGGAGTTTCTATTGAATTGGCTCAATTTTTGATTCTTGAAAGAAAAACACTACCTTTTCTGACAAGTGCCTCCGCGACCACCTTGGGACATTTGTTAACAACCTCTGTAAGTCAAGCCACCCCAATCTTATGATCACTTTGGTCATGATTGTGGTATAGAATGTGAATCATGGACTTTGACATTCCCTACCCAAGTTTCTCTCTCTTAGGAAGACCTAGTTTGCCAAATTACCTGCAATTACTCCTATGGAAGGCCTAGTAGCAGTGACCTCTTTGACAAAGGGCCTTGAGAGAGAATACCGTGGAAGACATCATCATAGATTTTTGATACAGCATACCTAGACTCAGTTTCCTTCTGGTGTTACAGCACAGACCAGTTGCAATGCTAGTACCTTGTTATCCCAGAGCAACTTGGCTTGGACTGTTTGGCTAGTAGGATCTCTTAAATTTACCACCATGTGTCCAACCAACACTGAATGGTCAATAATGTAAATTGCAATGCTAGTTCTTAAGGATCCTTTGGGGATGGTGTCAATGGCTTATCCTTTCTCTAGCATGATATCAGCTTTGCCTGGGCAGAAGAAGCAGAGACACCACCCCTGTAGGCTGACCAGCGGTTGGTGTGTCTGCACTGACTGGAGGGTGCTCTGGAGTATGCAATCCTGTGCAGCAGACCTTGGTGACCATCTTGGTAAGAAAGCTGTGGTTGTTGGATGGGCATAGCAGTTATAAAAGAGGATGGCTCCTTACTTGCTATGACCTCTGCAATTTTGCCCCATTTGACAAAAGTGATTCTAAGAACTTTGCATATGTCCGATTTGATCCCGAATGAAATGACTGAAAGAAGATTCATTGACGATTTCATTGTGAAATCTGCTATAACATTATTCTGCTGCACATTATCAAAGAAGTGCCTTGCGTAGTAAAGTACAGAGATGGCACAACTTAGCACTGTGTACATTTTGCTAGTTCTGTGTTGAAAATATATATCTGAAAAATTTGACCGTTGTTTATGAGAAGTTTATTTCTATTATCCCACAAGACTGTCAGGTGTGCTCATGAAGCAGCAACAAAATAGCTGAATGAAAAATCTATTGTAGGATCTCCAAACATTCAGAAGCATAGCACGCTTTTTCTTTTACAGACTTTTGATTTTGTTGCCACAAGGCAGCATGTAATCTCATCATCATGTAAATCCTAGGGAGCAAATTTTCTGGCAGAAATCTTTCACTGTGCCCCAGAACAGCACTTTAAATGTAGGGTTTACCTGGGTCTTAGGGTGGAGGTTGCCTCAATTGCTTTCTAGAATTTCTTGTTGTTATCCAGCTTAATTTTGAAGAGTAGCTCGTCATCATTTCCTTTCTGCCTCACTCCATTCCTCTCTCCTCTTTTCTTCTCTCCTTCAACAAATGTTATCTCCAAACTGTATGATGAGTTTCTGGTGAACATACAAGTATTAAATATGATCCTTACCCTCACAAAACTTTCTTCTTGTGGGGAGAAAGTATAGAAGAAACATCACAACCATGCTGGCTGGTAAGAATTATATTTGGAGTGTTGTGGAAAACATAATTGGACACCTAACCAATCCTGGATGGAGCGGGACAGTTGAGTGAGAAAGTGTAGTGTTAGGGATGGTATCTGGAAGAGATGATCCCAGGTGGTGTTGGGAAGATGGAAGAGAGCCTGTTTAAAGATATGGGTGTGGAAAATGGAAGTAGACAAATGCATAAAGTCAAGGGATTAGGTGGCATCAAGGAAGTGGCAAATAGTTCTGTGTTACTGAAAAGCAAAGTAGATGGGTTGGGGAGGTTGGAGTACAAGAAGTGACTAGTGAGGTAGGCAGACTAAGTCAGGGATAATGTTGTATTTGTTTATGTTAAAGATTTTGGAATTTTGCTGAAGAAGTATGGAGACATTAAAGAATTTTAATGATCAAGTTTTCCTGTTACCCATATCATTCTAGTGATGTGTAGAGTATAGACTGGATGGCAAGTCTGGAGGTAAGAAAACCTATTAGAAGGCTATGGGAATCGTCCAAGGGAGAAATGATGAGGGTCTGATCTAAGGCAATGACAATGTGATGGAGATGAGAGGATGGGCTAGAGAGAATTTGAAAGGGTATAATGACAGGACTTGTGCTTAAATAGATTTGTTGAAAAAAAAGCACAAACAGGCCTTTGTCGATGAGGTCTTTATTGCTGTAAGACCATCTATTCCAACCATGTCTAAAGTCCCTGGAGATCCAACCAGAGGAATTCAAACTGAACAACTGCAAAAATTCGTAACTCCACAGAACACATATCAAACGCTCTGTGCTGTGTCACATGCTTGTGAAGGTCCATATTTGAGATTCTCCAAATTTTTTAACTTTTCTCAGGAAATATCCTCTCTAAATAACTACTGGAGATACAACAATTAATTTTTCTAGCATAGAGCCCCAGGATTAGCCTCCATATACTTTTCCTTCTAATAGGTAATTTGGTTTTTTTTTTCCAACTCTATCAGAAGCTTTATAATCCATGTCTTTTTAATAATTATTCTATAACAAAGACTCTTATCTAAAAAGTCATGGCAGCCATCATAATTTGACCTACTTGCAAAACTTTTTCTTTTCAGCTTTTTTGCTCTTCAATCAGTTAAAACTAATATTAATATATTATTTTAGTTTCTACATTGTTGTGTTACAGCTAGTGATTGTTTTTGCATTCTGCAAGCACAGGTGTCCACATGTAGTGAAGGCTGCCCCTGAGCTGTAGCTATTCTTTCGTGGAGCTTTGAAGGGTTTTCATACTCAGAGTGAGCAGTTAAGGGGAGCAAGCAGGGAAGCCAGGCAGGAAAATGGTGATTGGCCAAAGGACTGTCTGTGGAGCAGTAAAGTCAGTTGCAAGTCTTACCTTTTGTACATTAAATGGTGACAGTGACTTTTTACTCTCACTCTAAAATCCACATTGTATATGTCTAAAGAAATGGAATCATCAGCCTGAGGACTATGACATCTTGCTCATTTACTGAGGAGTCAGATTTTGTACAACTTCAGTGTACACCTGAACATGGGTGTAAGACAAGAAAGAGTGCCACACACCAGAATGGCTATTGAGAAGCTCAGAGGCTGGGTCTAGGCCCTTATTCTAAAATTCGCTGCCTTGAATCTAATGTTTCAGGTTGCAGCACCTGATTAAAGCCTTCTTCCTTGGCAATACTAATTGTTTCAGTGATTGGCTTTCTTTTGCAGCAAGCAATGGGACCTAGACCGAATCCCTGGCCTTTGTAGTAACAAAAGCAGCAAGAGAAAAGCAACCTGCCATATACAAGGGCTACTCAATAAGATTATGAGCAAATTTGTCATGAGAGAATTTGAAGGCCAACGGCAGTGGGCCAAAATATTAAGAGTGCTAAAAGTAAAACAAAGAGTAAGAGTAAGTAAGTAAAACAAAAAGTAAAAAGTAAAACAAAAAGTAAAAGTAAAAAAGGTCAACCTAGAATCTTATATCTAGCAAAATTGTCCATCAAAAGTAAGGCAGAAGTTAAGACATTCCCAGATAAAGAAAAGCTAAGGGAGTTCATTACAACTAGATATTCTCTGCAAGAAATACTCAAGGGAGTGTCCTGCAGGGTAAAATAAAAGGACACTAGAGAGTAATGTGAAGCCATATGAAGAAATACATATCTCAATAAAGGTAAATTCATAGACAATTATAGAAGCTAATATTATTGTCACAATGGTCTATTACTTTTGTTTTCTACATGGTTTAAAAGACTAATACATTAAAAATAATCTAAAAGCTGGTAATATTGTAATTTTGACTTATAAATCCACATTTTTTAACATAATTTAAGAGACTAATACCATTTAAATAATTATTAATGTATTTTGGACATCATGTATAAAGACATAATTGTGTGACATCAACAATTGAAAGGGGTGAGAATGAAGTTGTTAAAGGAACAGAGATTTTGTGTATTATTGAAGTTACTTTGGAACAAATTCAAATTAGAATGTTACAACTTTAGGAACTTAAGTGTAATCCCCATGATAACCACAAAATGTAGCTATAGAAAACAAACAGAAGAAATGTGAAAGGAATTTAAATGTTTCACTACAAAAAAATAAACACAAAAGAAGATAATGATATAGGATGTGAAGGATGAAAATGCTATAAGGCCTACAGAAAACAAATAGCAAAATGACAGAAGTATGTGCTTACTTAACAGTAATTGCTTTAAATGTAAGTGGCATAAGCTCTCAAATCAAAAGACAGAGATTGGCAGAATGAATAAAATACGTGATTCAAATATATGCTGTCTACAAAAGACTCACTTTAGATCCAAAGATACAAATAGATTGGAAGTGAAAGGATGGAAAAAGATATTTCATGCAGATAGTAACCAACATAGAGAAAGTCTGGCTATACTAACATCAGACAAAATAGTCTTTAAGTTTAAAAAGTTTACAAGGGACAAAAGAACATTATATATTAATGAAAGTTTTAGTATAGCAAGAAGATAGATCAATTATAAACATTTACTCACCTAATCACAGATCATGAAAATATATAAAATAAAAACTGACAAAATTGAAAGGAGAAATATAGTAGTATAATAATAGAGACTTCAATATCTTGGTTAAGAGGGTGTTGTTTAATTTCCACAATTCTGTGGAATTTTCCAGTTTTATTTCTGTTATTGATTTCTAACTTCATTCTCTAGAGATGAGAGAAGACATTTAATCAGATATCTATTTTTTTAAGTCTATTGAGACTTAATGTGTAGCCTAATATGTAGTGAATCCTGAAAAACATCCCAGATACAATTGAGAAGAATGTGTACATTGTTGTTGGGTAGAATGTTCTGTGTGTGTGTGTGTGTGTGTGTGTGTGTGTGTGTATATATATATATACACACACACACACACACACACACACACACACACACTATATATATATATTAGATCTAATAGATCTGGTTGGTTTATTGGGCTGTTTAAATCCTCTGTTTCCTTACTTATTTTCTGTCTGGTTGTTTCATCCATTATTTTTTATTTTATTTTTTGGAGACAAAGTCTGCCTCTGTTGCCCAACCTGGAGTGCAGTGGCATGATCTTGGCTCACTGCAGCCTCAGCCTCTTGGTCTCAAGCAATTCTTCCACCTCAGCCTCCCAAGTAGCTGGGACTAAAGGTGCATGCCACCATGCTCAACTAATTTTGTTTATTTTTTGTAGAAACAAGGTCTCAGTATTTTGTCCAATCTGGTCTCAAAGTCCTGGGCTCAATAGTTCTCCCTTCTTGGCCTCCGAAATTGTTGGCACTACAGGTGTGAGCTACCATGCCCAGCCTAGTTTTATTCATTATTGAGAGGAAGAATCACAAGGGAAATTAGAAAATACTTACAGATCAATAAAAGTGAAAACACAACATACCAAAATTTAGGGGACACAGCAAAAGCAATCCTGAGGGAAAAATTTATAGTTATATATGCTTACACTGTAAAACAAGAAAGATCTCAAATCAGCAACCTAACTTTACAACTTAAAGAACTAGAAGAAGAAGAATAAATTAAACCCAAACTATCAGAAGTAAGGAATTAATAGATTAGAGCAGAGATAAACAAAATAGAGAATAGAAAACCAATGGTGAAAATCAATGAAATCAAAAGTTAATCACTTAAAAACATCAATAAAATTGACAAACATTGGCTAGATAAACTAAGAAAAAAGGGAGAAGACTCAAATTACCAAAATCAGAAGTAGAAGTGGGGACATTACTACTGACTTTATAGAAATAAAAAGGATTATAAACGTGTTATGAACAATTATACTACAAAAAATTGGATAACCTACAAGAACAACTTCCTAGCAACAAGAAGAAACCTACCAAGACTAAATCATGAAGAAATAGAAAATCTGAATAGAAACTTGTGAGAATATTAAATCAGTATTCAAAATCTCCCACCAAAAAAAAAAAAAAAAAAAAAAAGATCTGGACCTGATGGCTTCACAGGCAAATTCTACCAAACATTTAAAGAAAAAAATAATAGCAATCTTTCCCAAACTTTTTTTAGTTGAAGAAAAAGAAACACTTCTAAATTAATTTTAGGAGGACAGCATTTACTTGATATTAAAGTCAGACAAAGAGACTGCAAGGAAAGAAAACTGCAGACCAATATCCGTTGTAAATATTGATTAAAAAATCCTCAACAAAATACTAGCAAACCAAAATCTGCAGCATATTAAAAGGATTATATACATAGCAACCAAGTGAAATGTATTCCTGGCGTCTAAGGATGGTTCAACACATGAAAATCAATCGATGCATTATACCACATTAACAGAATGAAGAAAAAAACACATACTTATCTCAATTGATGCAGACAAAACATTTCATTAACTTCAACACCCTTTTATGATAAACAAAAAACACTTAACAAATTAAGAATAGAAGAAAACTACCTCAATATAATAACAGCCGTAATTTAAACAAAGTAATCATTATACCCCGTGGTGCAAGGTTGAAAGCTTTTGCTCTGAGATCAAAACACAAGCATGTCCTTTCACCACTTGTATTCAATACAATACTGGAAGTTCTAGCCAAAGCATTAGGTAGGAAGAGAAAATATTAAAGGCATCCAAGTTGGAAGGAAGAAGTAAATTTATCTGTTTGCAGATGAGATGATCTTATATGTAGAAAACCCTAAAGATTAACCTCACATACAAAACTGTTAGAACTAATAAATGAATATAGTAAAGCAGCAGGATACAAAGCCAACATGCAAAAATTAGTTGCATAAAGACTTATACAGTTACCCAAGTTAAACTATAAAACTTTTTTTTTTTTTTTAAAGTAGAGATGAGGTCTTGCTCTGTTGCCCAGGCTGGTCTCGAACCCCTAATCTCAAGCAATCCTCTCGCCTTGCTTTCCCAAAGTGCTGGCATTAGAGGTGTGAGCCACCACACCCAGCCTAAACTATAAAATGTTGCTGAAAGAAAGAATACATAAATACATGAAAACACATCCCATCTTCATGGATAGATTGGAAAACTTCATATTGTTAAGATGTCAATGCTCTCCAAAGTAATGTAAAAATTCAGTGCAATGTTTTTCAAAATTCCAATGATTTTTTTTTTCATAAATAGAAAAACTCATCCAAAAATTCAAATGGAATTCTGAAGGGACCTCAAATAGACAAAACAATCTTGAAGAAGAACAAAGCTGGAAAAATCACAGTTTTCTATTGGAAAACTTACAACAAAGCTACAAAAATCAATACAGCGTGGCACTGGTAAAAAGACAGACATACAGGCTAATGGAATAGAATACAGAGCCCAGAAATAAACCCTAACACATATGATCAAGTGATTTTTGACAAGGTGCTAAGACTATTCAATGTAGAAAGAATACTCTTTTCAACAATGGTGCTTAGAAAACTGGATTTTCCCATGCAAAAGAATGAAGTTGGGCCCTTACCCAACACTATATACAAAAATTAACTGCAAATGCATCAAAGACCTAAATGTAAGATCTAAACTAATAAAACTCTCAGAAGAAAACATAGAGCAAAAGCTTTATGACATTGGACTTGGCAATGACTTCTTGGACTTGACACCAAAGGCACAGACAGCAAAGGAAATAATAGACAAATTGACCTCATTAAAATTAATTTTATACATCAAAAGACACTAGCAATGGAGTAAAAATGTGAACCACAGAATGGGAGGAAATATTCTCAAGTCATATATCTGATACCCTTATCAGAATATAATATTTAGAATATATAGAAACTTCTGTAACTTACAACAAAAAAAGCAAACAACCTGATTCAAAAATGAGCAGAGTACTTGAATAGACATTTCTCCAAACAAGATATACAAATGGACAATAAGTACGTGAACAGATGCTTAGCATCACTAATCATTAGGGAAGTGCAAATTAAAACTACCATGAGATAACGCCTCACGCTCATTAGAATGACAAATATCAACAAGACAAAACAGAAAATAACAAATGTTGGTGAGGATGTGGAGAAACTGAAACCTTTGCACCATTAATGGGAATTTATGTGATACAGCCACTGTGGACAACAGTATGGCCATTCCTAAAAAAATTAAAAATAGAATCATTATATGATTCAGCAATTCCACTTCTGAGTATATACCCAAAATAATTGATAGAACCCTAAGAGATATTTGTACACTCATGACCATAGCAGCATTATCCACAGTAGCTAAACCATGGAAGCAACTCAAGTATCCATCAGTGGATGTGTGGATAAGTAACTATGGTGTATACATACAGTAGACTATTATGCAGCCTTAAAAAGAAGGAAATTCTGATTCATGCTAAAACACTGATGAACCCTGAGGACCTGCTAAGTGAAATAAGCCAATTACAAAAACACAAATGCTGCATGATTCCTTTTACATGAAGTACTTAGAGTATTCAAAATCATAAACACAGAAAGTAGAATAGTTGTTTCCAGGAGTTTGGGGGAGGAGGAATGAGGAGTTATTGCTTAATGGGTATAGAGTTTCAGTTTTACAAGTTGAAAAGAGTTATGGAGATGGATGGTGGTTATGTGGCATAACATTATGAATGTATTTAGTACCACTGAATTGCATACTTAGAAATGGTTAAGATAGTATTTATGTATGTGTATTTTATCACTAAAAAATGGAAAAAGAAGTTCTAGAAAGAGTGAGTAGGGAAAACAGAGGGATGAAAATTATCAAAGCTGTAATAGAAGAAAATTATTCAGAGTTTTAAAAAAGACACAAATCTGCCATTTGAAAAAGCCCACAAAGTACTGAATGGGTGAGAAAAAGATCCACCAACTTATCCTAGTGAAATTTCAGAAACTTTTGAAGACTTTGTAAAGGATATGGAGAGAAAGATACTATTCATTTATATAATGAATAACATTACTAAAATTTGACTTTGTAAATGCCGTTTGTTTCCCAGCAATAATGAACCAACTATAGATGAGATTCTAAAGATTGATTAAACATATACAGGAACAAAATACAAATATGATCAGGGCCCCTGCATTAATCTGTAGGGCTGTGCACTGCTAAACTCCAGGAGGCACTGTTCTCCAAGGAGGCAGTAGTGCAGCTGCCCTGAATGTAAAACAATCCCACTGATGGGCTAGTGTTGGACAACATGCAGGGCCTAAATTGGAAACCAGAAGTAGAGGCTTAGTATACTACTGAACAATTAATTCAGGAACCTATACAAGAGCTAAAAGATTGTGTGAGCATGTGTGTTAGCATGTTTGTGTGTTCATACACACGTAAAATGAAACTCAGGAGAGAAAAGGATATCTTTTGTGTACTGAATATCTTGTACTGGGAGTGAGAAGATACTATCGAAACTTGAGTCATCAAAAAATAGAAGTATAAATGTATATCAGTCACAGTGGAGAGCAAAAAGGAAACCATCAGAACTAAAAACAGAAACTGGGAAATGGTATAAGTGACAGGGAGTAGGACAGGGAATGTAACTTTTAGTATCGTTTGAATTTTAAAAATATATGTATTATTTTGTAACAATAATAATAAAAGTAGATCAATCTGTTTTTTTAACCACATCATTACTGTACAATTACTCGGTTGCCCGGTGACTTTTCAGAGGAGCATATGCAAATCATATGCAGAGCAAACAGACTCCACATCCCTTCAGGACTATTTATGCCTCATGCTTTCTTTGACTGTAAAAAAGTTGAGGCATAGGGTGCTATTTTGTATTCTAATTGTGTGGACAAATTGTCAGTGGACTACATTTCCCCCGGGGTATGGAGCTCTCTTTGTCCCCCTTGGATATTGGCGAATGTATCTCAGATATAATCGACTACTAACACTTCAAGATCTTTATTACATATTGATTCCTTAAATACATAGATTTTATTTGAGCCTTACAATAATTCTGTGACAATTCAGAGCAGGTGTTACTATCTTCATTTTCTAGAAAAAGTTAAGCAAGGTTAAGGTGTCTCAAGTCATTGAGAAAGGGAAAGAGCCAGCACCGGTCTTCCTCTCCCTGCCCCATATGGTTTCTTAAGGTGATGGAGATTAAGTAATATTAATGCATACAGGCAGCTTTTAAAAAATGTGAAAAACACATTACCAAAGAGGAAAAAGCAGCCACTACAAACAGGAAATCCTTGTAAATGCCTCAGCTATAACCTTCCTCACCCTGAACTCTTGTTAAAATTGAACAATATGGTAGTTAAAAATGTGTCTCACAGAAAGGACTTTTGAAGGGAGCTGCAAAAGTAAAGAGAAACAAAAAGAGGAAGAAAAGTAAAAAGCTTTCCTTAAAAATGTGGAATTCCATTTAATTGCTGTGCTTGCCTGGGTCCTACGAAGCATCTTATGTTCTGAGTCCTATATTTCAAGTGCTTGCCTATGTCCTGTAAAGCGTATTCTGACTCAGAATAAAACAATGTAAAAAACAGCCTATGATTAATCTTTCCACTTGATTCTGACATTTATTCACCCTTTCTTCCTATGTGCAGAAGTGGAAGTGGGCATATGTGTGACAATGGGGGGAAAGCGGGATGAATGGCAGGGGTTAGAATAAGAAATGTAACTTATTTTTAATGTCATTTGAATTTGCTTAATATGTGCATATATGGAAGGGTTGATTAAACTATAGATAGGAAAGCATTGACCAAAGGGCTCTTTTCTAGAATGCCGTCTGACTCCTTTAAAGTTAAAATATTATTAGAGGACCATAAATTTAATCAGGAGTTTCTGGGTATATTCTGCTTTTCTTCTTCTATTAGAAATTCAAAGCTCTGCCTTCACAACACAAAACCCTTGACTTAAACATAAAAATTTTTAGATACCTCAGAGGCAGGACATTCCCTTTTTCTTGGCCCACCTGGCATCAGTGTGAATGTTTGGTGAACCTTGTCCAAATTCTGGCTCTTCCCATATTGATTCAGTTTCTATCTGCTAGAACAAGGTGACCTGCCAAGCTGTAGTGAACAAAATACGATGACTCACATGAAGTTTTTTCTTTTATTTAAACAAGTTAAGTGCAAAGACCATTGATAAGAGCAATTTTTAGCAACCTTGTTATCAGCTTATAGTGAGGCAGTCCCTCTTCCTTCCTCCCCTTTCCACCCACCCCATAGTCGTAAAACCCTCACCAGAAACAATTTATAAAGCTTTTAAAGACAACTTTCAGGTTTGAGTGTTAGTATTTAAATGTGGAATTACTTTGAATTTGAGGCGCTTAGCCAAATTGTTACTAAAATATACTCTTTTTCTTGGCAATTACCACTGTAGACAATGTAGAGTGTTTATTTCATGTGTACCTAGCCATAAATGAATTCAAAAGTAATTTAACTTAAAGCTTTAACTAATTCTTTTAATCCCAATAACATAAAGCACTGTGTTTGGATCAGGAATCATCTTATATAACTGGCATTTAATAGGCATGACAAAATATATAATAAAGAAGTATATAACTTTTGTTGCATCTACATTAAATACAAATGAAAAATAATGAGGCTTATTTCTTCCATAGATCTCAGTGTCTTTGGAAAAAATGGACAATCAATAACTGCTGTAATATAACAGCACGATTCTATTATTTTCAGAGCTCTATAGTGAGATTAATAGTACTATTTTTAAAAATCAGAATGTGACTTTATTAAATCCCAGAAGAATGTACATTTAAGAAAAAGGGATAGAAATATCACCAAATATCTTTTCTGTATTGAATATAGCAGTCTGAATGTCACAGTCTTTAAACCTTTTTCTTCTTCCCTGAATTGCTATATCTGGTAATTTTGAAATATGAGTTAGAAACAATCAAGCTCATACCTAATGGATATCAATATTCCAGTTAATGTTTGTCCCAATGTTTTTCTCAAAGACTTAAGAAAAATGAAAATTCTATTTGACTTACGCTTATAGCAGAGATGGCTAACAACATAAAATTAATGCTATGTCTTTCTTAGTAGCTTTGTCTTGTGGCTGCCCAGCCAAAACCAACTTTTCTATACTTACTAGCAGTTAGGAGAGGCCATGTGACTAATTTCCACTAATAGAATGTGAGAGGTAGTGGCACCTGTTACTTCTGGACCCAGGTAATTAAACAGCTGGTGTGGTTTTTGCATCCTTTCTCTTGCCTCTTCCATCAGTTGGATGTTGATTTCCATGGCAACCTCTAAAGCCATGTTTTGGAGAACACATCACAGCTATCAACTTGGGTCTCTATATGACTGCATGAGACAGATGCATCGTGGCCCCAGCAGCAGACCATGAGCACCTGTGCTGGACTGTTGCATGAGCAAGAAATAAAATTCAATTGTATTAAGCCATTAGAATGTTGGGATTTATTTGTTAAAGTGCTAATGTTACCCTATTGTGCTATCCATTTTTTGTGCTATCCATTTTTCTTATGCTTGTATAAAACATTTATTAAGAGAAATCTTGTTAATCTCAACATTACTTGTTCATTGCAGAAAATGTTGACTATGTCTTATACTGACACAACAGCACAATTCTATTATTTTCCTATGAAGGTTTGAAATAATGAAATTATTATTTCAATAATAGAGGTTTGAAAATAAAATTAAAGCAAATCAAAATGACATTAACTGCCAAAGTTTTATTACATTTATTTTTAAGCACTGTGAAAAAATGTCAAGTTGTCAAGTTTCTGGTGTTTTATTCTTGTAATCCTAGTTAGAATATAGTTTTATCTTTGTCACACATGAGCATGACATTCTCTTATCTTCTCTTAAGCTCATGAGTGTGAATTAAGTAGCATATGTCACCATTCCCCAAAATCTTTTAGGATTACATTGTTCACATCTGACTCAGGAGAATAAACACATGAAATCACATTGAAGTCTTGTTGAAGTAGTCTACATGTTTGTTGATAAATAGAATTCCATGAAACATATCCTTTTAAAAGAGCTAGGCCCTTTAAAAAATAGAATTTTCATTTTTCTTAAGTCTTTGAGAAATACCTTGGGACAAACATTAACTGGAATAATGATATCAGTTAGGTAAGTAGATGGTTTCTAACTCATATTTCAAAATTACCAAGACATAGCAATTCGGGGAAGAAGAATTCAAGGAAGCTAGGCCCAGACAAGCTTCTGCTGTCTTCAGATCTATCTCAAACAATTTAATTAGTATCACTAAAAATATGGCCAATATTCTAGGCAATGCAGTTTACTTCTCAGTTTAACAACAGAGATTCCAAGTGATTAATAGTCAATAATATAGACCTTTTCATTCATTTCTTAATATCTAAGAGGGTTAGTGAAATATATTATTATTAGTATTTTCTTCCTTTAGTATTTTTCTCAGCAATATGTACTAATCAGATGGTGCTGGAACCTCCCCTTGGGCAAAATTTTGAGCTATACAGAGCATGAAGTTTCACAGTGATATCCATGTGTCTTTCACCTAGAAAGAGCTGGTTAAAAGAAAATGCAAAGGATCTGAGACTTTACCCTGCTTGCTAATTAACTTAATAGCCTACCACAGTTCCACAGAGGCTGGCAAGAAGACATGAGGCTCCTGATTGGGAGACAAGGACATTATCACGACACAGTAAGCAGCATGAACTTCATGTTTACATTGATTCTCACTTGCCTGGCTTCCCACAGGGTTGTCATGGAAGAGACCCAGAGGGATGCTGCACATGTGGTGGTGGTCTAACACAAAGAAAAGATAAATGCTGGAGGTGAGGAGTACCCCAATTACCTTGATTTAATCATTACACGTTGTATGCTGGTATCAGCATATCACATGCATCCCCAAAATTTGAACAACTATTATATATCCATAGTACTTAAAAATAAAAAATTAAAAAATGTAATATACTAGACAATGAGCTTTACAAGTGTTTTGATACTTTCCTCAGGTTTTTCTTCTCTTTGAGCATATGGCTTGAGATAGTTGAGAACATGAGACATACTAGCACCCATATTTCTTTTGTTCTCTTTTTAAACATGAACTCTAGACCCATTTCATTTTCCTCTACTTATATATCAGAATAAGTTACAGAGGAAATAAGATCTGAGAGCAGATGGGGAAGACAAAATTTAGGGTGCAGGAACAGAAGTAGGAACCTTGGAAAGCGGAAAGGACCCAACTACATCTGTAATCTCTTTTTTGATATTGGCTTTTTAATATCTGCCTGTAAGCCACACACACACACACACACACACACACACACACACACACACACACACACACACCATCTTGTCTATTATCTTACTTAGTAGACTCAATTATGTTTATATCAAGAATTAAGTGTATTCTGGCCGAGCACGGTGGCTCATGCCTGTAATCCCAGCACTTTGGGAGGCCAAGGCGAGTGGATCACCTGAGGACAGGAGTTTGAGACCAGCCTGGCCAACATGATGAAACACCATCTCTACCAAAAATACAAAAATTGGCTGGGCGTGGTGGTGGGTGCCTGTAATCCCAGCTACTCAGGAGGCTGAGGCAGGAGAATCGCTTAAACTCGGGAGATGGAGGTTGCAGTGAGCTGAGATTGCGCCACTGCACTCCAGCCTGGGTGATGAGTAAAACTCTGTCTCAGAAAAAAAAAAAAAAAAAAAAAAAAAAAAAAAAAAAAGGGTATTTGTTATAGTCTGTATGTGTAACATATTTTATAATTTCCTTTATTTTATTTAGCAGACAATTTCAATTCCAGGTGAAGTCAGGGTAAACAACTTTTCCAAGTTAAGATAGTTCATCTCTTATGAGTAAATAACTTTCAGCAATTTAGAGCCCTATTTTGGCTGTGCCTCCTGCTACCATAGGCTGGTCCCTCCCTGATCCTTCTTTCCAATGTGCAGGAGGAGGTTGCATCCATCCTCATGTGGCAGGAGTTGAGGGCACTTTCCACATTCTTGATGTTCTTTGCTTCGGAGGGGTTGGTTTGGTCCCCAGAGGCCCTATACTGGTGTCCTCTGAGATGTGGCTGGTTATACCTAACCTTGTTGAATATTTCGCTGGCATTAACTTCTAATGTATCACTTCTTGCCAGTTGCCTCAAGGAGTAAAGTCCCTAGGCTGTGTAGCTTCCTTTTCCCAATCAGAGTCCCCTCTAGGTTTTTGTGGCCTCTCCACATTTCCCCACTGAGCCACACAGACATTTCTGGGTCTCTGGTATGCCTTGCATCGTCTATGGGAGGACTGGGGCACCCTCTTGGGTACATCATCAAATGCTTCCTTTGTAATTCCTACTGTACAGCTCTTTGGCCTGTTGACAGAGAAGCAGAGCATCAACCTCTCATTTAATCCATTTTAGCTTTCTGTGGGCATTTTTAATTATTTGTTTTGTCTCTTTGGCCACGGCACAGGGATGGCAGTGTGGCTGCTCTAGATCAGCGAAGGGAACCAGGCATCTCATCAGTTTAACTGCTTCCTCTCTGAGCCCTGTGCCTCCCTTCCATGACAGAATAATTTCTTCTTCTTCCTTCTTACTATTGGGCATATCCCTTGTGTCAAATCATTTGTTGTCTCTACGCAGTATTTTCTAGTAAAACTCTAGGACAAAAGTCCATCAGGCCTAGATCTGTATATAAAAATTGGAGTTTAAGGGATTCAGAAAAAACTTAACCTCTTTAAACAAAGCCTCATTTTTAAGAATCTTACTGGAGATTAAAACAAGTCTAATTTTGGAAATCAAAAGCTGAACATGGACATCTTTTTATCTTACATTGCTGTTTTAATGCTTAGCCTCCTTACAATAATGGCCAAGCCTCCACTAGCTGAAGTAAGAGGGCATCATATACAAGGAAAGGTGAGAAAGAAAAGTACACATCAATATATTTAAAAATATATTTAAAATAAAAGTATATTTAAAAACACAGAAATGGACTCCAGCTAACTTAATCATATGTGACATATTAGAAGGCTATTCATGTTGGAAAATCAATGGAACGCTGAGGGATAAGTGTGGGATGCACAGGAGCCTAGGGTGATCCCGAGTATCCAGATGTGG
This sequence comes from Homo sapiens, assembly GCF_000001405.40. Taxonomy (NCBI): domain Eukaryota; kingdom Metazoa; phylum Chordata; class Mammalia; order Primates; family Hominidae; genus Homo; species Homo sapiens. The sequence continues at coordinate 116,334,816 of NC_000007.14, read as the reverse complement.
AAAGCGCAGCAGTGTGGATAGGATAGCATGCTGCTATTTATGACTCAAAGGCCAGTCAGAGAGCATCAGTGGCTGAGCTTAGGTGTGGACCTATCCTCTGCCTTCAGCAGGGATGAGGAGTCATGGCCTCTGTCAGCTTCAGCTTCCATAATGACTGGAGGCATCTGGATTCCCCCATCACCAACACAAAAATTGGTGGTGGGTTCTGGAGGCTGATTAACCTCCAAAAAAGAAATTGGAGTGCTATTGGAAAGTCATTCTTGGAAAGTCCTAAATGACGAATATATGCAACATCTAAATGAAAACAAAAAAATGTGGGAAGGAAGGGCTCAGAAATAAAAGGTGGGATGTCCGAAAATGAGCTCCTTCTTTGCACTTCTGTCAAGGATAGGCACAACCCTGTGGTTTGGGGCATGACCTTGGCCTTAGCACCCATACCATAATGCTTCTTTTCCCTAATTTTCTGGCTCCTTTGCTTTGTTTTTCTTTGGAGGCTGTTTTCTCCCCTTCTCTGTGTAAATGGCCACTACAGCACCTGAGTTCACCGCTCTGCCATTCGATTAAAGTGCTGAATTAACCAGAGCCTCTTTATTCCAATTCTGAACTTCCAAGGGAGCATATCTGATTAGGCCGGTTTAGTATATCCACACCTAATGAGCTATGAACACAGGGGAATGGATAGGTGCAAAGGGTTATATGGTATCAACACTATTTGTGAGATGTGAGGCTGGCAGTGGTTCTCAGAAAGGAGAGAATGGGGCATGGAGTGGGAAAACAGGCTAAAAGTTATGATGGCAGGCTATGATTATACCATAACATGTTTTACAAATCCCCTAATATTGAATATTCTTTCATTCTAATTTTTTCCTATTATAAGAAAATTGCGATTTTAAAAATCCTTTGAAGGTAAATCACATTCTTCCCTTTAGGATTAATTCCTGGAAGTGGAATTGCTGGTGCAAAGAATCATTACATTTTAGAACTTTTGATGTATATTTGTTGTCTTCCAGAAGCCAATGTATGCCATCTCCAGTACTTAAAAGTACTCATTTTCCTACTTTATCTGGGTATATTAATTTGCTTATTAGACATATTAAAAATAGTTCATTGCTTTAATTTACTTGTATTTAATTTCAAATAAGATCAAGCCTTCTTCGTAAACATATTAGCCACTGCATTTCTTCATGTCTTTCATGTATTTTATTGTGTTAATCTTATTGATTTTAAAAGTTCTCTAGTTATAAAAGGTAATCTTTTGTTGTATAGTATGTCTCAAATATCTCTCCAAGCTACAGTTTGCCTTTTGAGAGTTTATATCTAGATTTTTAAAACATAGCTATGAAGTAGCTTTTTAAAAAACCTATGATTATATCATGTAACTAAGTCAAAATTTGGTCAGAGGGATATTCTTCTTTACAGAGTTATTGGATTTATTTGTTCTTGTGGAATATACTGATCTTTTGTTCAATCTTCTGCCTTTAGAAAATGGAGTGGCTGTTGACTAAAACCACCAGAAGTGAAATACAGAGTAAGGCTCACTTTATGCATGATGATGTTATTGGTTTGTTGATAGACTTGGTCACATAAATCCAAGATATAGTTGATCTAGGCCTTTTATTTTGCCATTTAGGGATAAGATAAGAAGAAAACAAACCTGGTAATGCAGCACCAATTGTTAGAATATTGTCTGTAGGGCTCTGCTTTTACATCTCTTTTCAATTTTTCAAATAGATATTCGTAGGTCAAGATTTTCTTGAGAGCTGACTAGAATTAACTTCTGTGTATTAGATTGAAATTGGCTCAGAAGTTAATGTGTAGCAGGAGGTATTATTTCTTCTTCCAAGAGATATTTGGCTGAGAGGCTGCCAATTTCTGTGCTATGAAGTTTTTTGGAGAAGAAAATTAAATTATTTTATCTTTGGCTTTAAGGAATAAATATCCATCTCCAAACTTTCTAGCCCTATCTGAGAGTTGCCGTTGTACGTATCTTTCTAAGCTTTATTTTTATCACCACCTGACAAATATTATTTCATTTTTGTTTTCATATATAAGGTTTACTTCTCTTTATTTTATAAATGTAATCAGCACAAACTGGATAAAGAAATATTATAAGGAAATAGCCATTTAACCCTAATTGCTATCAGAAGTTCACAAAGGAAAAAAACATTCTAGATGTACATTGTCCAGTTTATAACCGTGGATGACTTGTTCACCAAAGGCTCTTCTAACACCTCAAACACAACACATCCAAACTTAGAGCCGACATACACTAAGGTGACCCCCAATGCATCCTCGTTCTTGTTTAATTCTCTCTTCTTGAATGTAGGCAGAGCCCGTGACTTGCTTCTGACCAATACAATATGCAAAGGCAGGATTTCACTCTTTTGATGAGTGTATATTGTATGCCAAAGATGGTGGATTGTCACTGCCTTAAGTATACAAGACTCTCTTAGCACACTGCAACTAGAGATTCTCCCATTGGCCTTGAAAAAGCAAATGGCCATGTTATGAACTGCCTATAGGGAGGCCCAGGCAGCAAGGACCTCCCTTTAGGGCTTAAAGTTTGCCTTAGCCGCAACCAATAAAAGGCTAAGACCCTCAGTCATACAACCACAAATACACAAATTCTCAAAAAACCTGAAAAACTTGGAAAAGTGGATCTTCCCCAGTCAAGCCTCCATATGAGAATGCAGCTTCCAGATGAGAATGTAGAATGCAACCTTGATTACAGCTTGTGAGCTTCTGAGCAGAGAGCTTAGCTAAGCCATACCCAGACTGCTGACCCACAGAAACTGTGACAGAGTAAAGGCATATTGTTTTATATTGCTAGGTTTGTGGTAATTTGCTATACAGCACATAAAACAAATATGCAGCCTAAACTCAATTGTGTTTCCCAAGCTTCTTGTATTTTCTTTGTATCAGCGCAACTATCTTTCTAGTGAAATTCATCTTTGATTCCCAAAGTCAAGCAGCTACCAAATCCTGCTGATTTTATATCTAAACCATCTCTTGTGTGATTCCACTTATCATCAGTTCTTACCAAGACAGCTGCAAATCTTTTCCTTCCTTGGGCCCTCATGGTGCCTTTATTCTGTGCAATGTTGGCAAATTACTCTCTCCAAAGCTGTGCTTCCCAAAACACCTTCTGTAGATACTAGTCCCATGAAATATTCACTATACTGTAAGCTCCATACGGGGAAGAAAGGCAGCTGTTTTGTCCACCATTGTATGCCTGATGTGAAGTAAATATGTACTTTAGAAAATAATGAGTACACAGATCAGAATGTTTCTGGAAGAAAATTGTTTGTATTATAAAAATAGAAGCCTGATAATTTTTGCTTCAGGTTTTAAGAGGGAATTTAACAAATTATTTTTCTATCACAAGAATTTTCACAGCAATCAGAATCTCAGAACAGATGTGAACTATTAGTAGGATGATCATACATCTCACTTCTGGCTCCCCTTTCACTCAAAATCATGCAGGTTGAGAAGATAAACTTAAGGTGATGGGTGGTGGATGAGGTGCTGATGCAGAACACTAGATCAGATAACCAGGCAGTTTTCCAAACTCTAGCCTCTAGCATATGCTTCCCTTTTAAATATAAATGAATTGAGAGGAAATGTAGAGGCTTGTGAGGCTGAAAATTCTTGATTTCTTTTGTTGTTAAACCATTACAGTTTGCCAAGTCCTTTCACCCTGATTGTAAATCTCAAAGGGAATTCAATCCCATGTGTTTCTGATTAGTTTACACTTGAATTATCCAAAAGTTTTGTAAGACCCATTTGAATTCCAAAAACCTTTGTGAAGCTTTTTTTTTTTTTTTTTTTTTTTTTTTTGGTGGTGGTGGTGGTGGTTTGTTGGGAAGAGATTGTTGGAAGGATAGGCAAAAAGTGAAAACAGGTTATTTTGAGTTAGAATTAGGATCACAAGGAAACCTCTCTAAAATGGTAAAATACGCAACATAATCAAAGTGAGTCTTAAACATGAAATTTATGTGGTTCAAATCAGTCTATAATGTGGCACAGTGTAATTGCTCATTTTTGAAACTGATCTCTGCCTATAGTACCCACATAGCTCATAAATATAGCATTTGTATAATGCTACATAGAAAATACTTTCTATTTCCAGATTAGAATAGAAATTATTTTAATTGCTTGTTCATGTATCATTGAATATTAATGGAATCTTCTCCATTTAACGAGGCACAGAGAATTTCCGAAAGGAGGGAGAGCAAAGAAACATTAAGCCATATGGAGATTATCAATGTTATCACTCTCTGTCAAAAGGACTGAAAGGTTATATATACCAAATCCCAATATGTGCAGTCATATCATCTGCTGAATATATTTGAAAGTTAATAACTGTATGTAAAAATAAAACTGTGGCATCATTACATTTTAAGAAGCATTGCAAATGTATTGCTCCACATAGAAATGCACACAGACTAATATTAAGTCATGCTCCATGCTTCTTGTCCTATTTCTTGCTAAGTTTGAGTGTCTGGAATCCTTAGCTGAGTGCCAGTGAGTCTGGAACTCAGACAGAAGCTGCCCAGCCTCACTGGCTCTGCGTATTACAGGCTGTATTTGGTCCTGATTTACTCTACTGGATATGGTATCTGAGTTTAATGATGGATTTCATGTAGAATGAATACAGTAACTTAAAATTATGAGATGAAACTGCCTTACAAAACATTATTTCTTAACTTTCTGAAATTTGATGCCAGGACACATCCAGGATTTGAGCATACATCTGTCAGTTCTCAGCTCCCTCCCCTTAGTTCCAACCATCACCAATCACACTCAACACTTCTTAGTTTGGAACAAAGAAGCTCACTACCATCATGGTAGAATTAACTTGTAATGAAATTCATGCTTACCACATCCTATGAACAGGCCAGGATTTTATAGAACATACTTGATTCCTTTGGAAAACATGTTTATTTTTGAGTTTCTAAGCAGATGCATTTCTGCATTTGAATAGCAGCTTGCCAAGAAGTTCTGAAATCTAGCCATTTTAATAAGAAAAACCAAAATAGTGGTACAAGTTCTTGACCATCTGTTACTGCTCTTACAGAGAAGATTACTGCATTGGGTGGGAGGGAAGAGTACAACAAATCCTTAGGTACCAACCAGTTCTAAGACTCTATTATTCAAGCACCTCAGATTCATTGATTATTTCATGCAATTTATTGTGCTTTACTTTGGGACTAGCTATGCACGGATTTGTGTTATCTGAGGTGCATAACTAAGCTTCTCAAGGCTAGTCTATCTTCACTAATATCTTTTCTACTTAATCCCTGATATTCAAAATATATTTAAAGGAGGTGGGAGAGGAAATGCTTCCCATGTCACATTATAAACAAGGCCTAAAATAAAATTACTTTAGGGAGGGAGAGAATACACAGCAGTTTTAATTTTCACTAAGGTGGAAATGACTGATATCGAGCCTATTCAATTAGCAAATTGTGATAGCAGACACTAGACATCCCTATAGGTATAAGGAGGACACTCCAGAGGGAAGGACAGCCAGAGAAAACAGAAGGTGGAGAATGTTACCCTTTGCTTTAGAGTCAGCCTGTCTAGCTTTATAGCTGGTTTATACATCCCACAACTTTAGACTTCATAGTTAAGTACCCAGAGTATAGGAGAGTCCTCAGAAGTGGTTTGAATGTGGCTGGGTGTGGTGGCTCATGCCTGTAATCCCAGCACTTTGGGAGGCCGAGGCGGGCAGATCACCTAAGGTCGGGAGTTCGAGACCAGCCTGGCCAACATGGTGAAACTCTGTCTCTACTAAAAATACAAAAATTAGCTAGGTGTGACAGTGGGCTCCTGAAGTCCCAGCTACTTAGGAGGCTGAGGCAGGAGAATCGCTTGAACCTGGGAGGCAGTGGTTGCAGTGAGCCAAGGTTGCGCCACTATTCTCCAGCCTGGGTGACAGAGTGAGACTCCGTCTCAAAAACAAAGCAACAAACAAAATAACACAAGTGGTTTGAATGGTTTCTTATTTCTCTCTACAAACCTTGGAATTATCTTCATTAGGTGAAAAAGGGCAACAAATATATAAGTTTAGCTCTTAATTACATGCTGCAGAAAATGTAAAGAAGTACATATGGTAATAGCCAGTTTTCAATACAGGTAACACAAAAGGAAAGGGAAAGCTAATCTTAAAATGAAATCACCATCCTAATGAATTACCAAAAAGTGTGAAAAGTACTTTTACATCAAATGAAAAAATGTAATCTTTATCAAATTTATTTTTTACAACATTTATATTTATTGATCTGAGGTAGGCTTTTGTTAGAACAAAATTAATAGTAAATACTGAACAATATGTCAGGCATGGGGCAAATTGGTTTCTGTTCTTTACAACAAGCCACTATGACCCTATTAGGAAATGTTTTAAAGGCGTTTCTTAGCATTTTCAACAAAATATTTGTACTCCCTACTGAAAATAGCTTAATATGAAGTCCCAAAGGAATTCTGTCTGCCTCATAAAATTGCTTTTGGAGTTTTCAGTTTCTGGCCTCCTCCTTCCAAATGCACAGTGAATATATGGTGGAGTTTTGTCTAATTCTTTCAGTAGAGGAATTTTGCTACATTAAAATAATTTGTTAATTCATCATTTCCATGGTAAAATAGAAATTACTCACCCTGATTCCTAATACGATCAACATAACTTTGCTTTTCATACATAAAGACATTGGTATGAAAAGGAAGCATTCTCTTCCTTCCATCCATATGCTAGCCTGCTTGAGCGGTCGTGTACTATGACTATGGAAAGCATGACCTCAAATTCCAGCCACACCACTTCCCAGCTGTGTACCGTTCAGCAAGTCACTTGCCCCCTGTAATGACTCAACTTCCTGGTCTGTAAAATAGAATCATAGTGGCCACCACCAGAGAGAATTGCTGAGGGGAGTAAATGAGAGCATGAACGTAGATTGCAGCACAGCGCCCATCATGCGGGATGCTTTCAATAACTGTGAGTGATTTTTTCTATTATTAATTAATGCTTTTCTTGGATTTTCTTAACTACATCATATATTTCTAAAACCAATACTCTCTGTTTTTACTTATAAAACATAAATCTTCCGTAAGTAAATAATTATAGACTGAATGTCAATTCCTGGCCAAGTGCAGGATATACTGAGGCCATTATCTGGTGAATGCAGGGTTTATAGATAGCCTATCTCAATTATTTAGAACCTAAAGTGGACATTAAGATAAATTTTAAACATTTCAAAAACAGAACTGGTTGTCACACAGTTTAATAAGCAAATTTGACCCCTAAAGTCTTTGAATAAATGCAGAGATATGGCTCATTATACATTTAAGCTTTCATTTCTACATGTTAACAATTTACTGAGATAAGCAAATATAAACAAAATGAACACTGTGGGAAAGTGTGTTTGATATTTTAAAACTCTTGTCAAACTAATTAATTCAAATGTGTCATTCAGGCCATTATTAAAAAGTCAAAAAATAACAGATGCTGGCGAGGCTGCGGAGGAAAGGGACGCTTATACACTGCTGGTTGGAATGTAAGTTAGTTCAGCCATTGTGGAAAGCAGTCTGGAGATTTCTTAAAGAACTCAAAGAAGAATTACCACTTGACCCAGCAGTCTCATTACTGCGTATACACCCAAAGGAATATAAATCATTCTATCATAAAGTGACATGCACACGTATGTTCGTTGCAGCACTATTCACAATAGCAAAGACATGAAATCAACCTAAATGCCCATCAACAGTAGACTGGATAAAGAAAATGTGGTACATATACACCATGAAATACTACGCAGTCATAAAAAAATAATGAGAACATGTCCTTTGCAGCAACATGGATGGAGCTGGAGGCCATTATCATAAATGAATTAATGCAGAAACAGAAAACCAAACACTGCATGTTCTTACTTATAATTGGGAGCTAAAGATTGAGTACACATGGATACAAAGAAGAGAACAATAGACACTGGGGCCTGCTTGAGCGTGGAGGGTGGGTGAAGGGTGAAGATTGAAAAACTGCATATCGGGTACTATGCTTTTACCTGGGTGACAAAATAATATGTACACCAAACCCCCGCAACATGCAATTTATCTATAGAACCAACCTGCACATGTATCCCTGAAACTAAAATAAAAGTTAAAAAAAGTCATTCATTAGGTATTAAATTCTGAAAGACCAAACCAAACAAGATGGAAAAAATAGAAACCATCAATGTTTCTGTCTCTACTGGGCCATTTCCATCATCATACAACATAGGACAGTTATCTCCTGTCTTAAACATAAAAATGAATAAATGAACCTTCTTTGTCTCTATGGTCTCCTCCAACAACCACGTCATTTCTCTGTTCCCTTTTAAGACTAAACTCTAGGCCTGTCTTGTCCTAACAACTGTACTAAAAGCTCTCTTATCGAGGTCCCTTAAAACCCCCACATGGCAAAATCCACTGGCATTCTTCATTCTTCATCTTTGACCCAGTTTATTACTTGGCCACTAGTCCACTACTCTATCTTATTTCTTGACCTCTAAACACTGGAATGCTGCAGGTCAGGCTTTGTGTGCTCTCTCTACCTGTGTTCCCTAGGTATCTTTATTCAGGCCTCAGCTTTTTAAATATACCTATAGATGGATGAACCCAAATTAGATCTCCAACACTGAGCAGTCCCATGAATTACAGATTTGTATATTCAACTGCCGCTTTCATATCTTCACCTAAATGAAATACAGGCATACCTTGGAGATGTTGTGAGTTCTGTTCCAGACTACCACAATAAAGTGAGCCACACACGTTTTTGATTTCCCAGTGCGTATAAAAGTTATATGTTTATACTGTAGTCTGTTCAGTGTAAAATAGCATTATGTCTTAAAAAACATGGACATATCTTAGTGTAAAAATTGTTTATTACTGAAAAATGCTCGTGATCATCTGAATCTTCAGTGAGTCATATTCTTTTTGCTGGTAGAGGGACTTGCCTCAGTGTTGATGGCAGCTAACCAGGGTGGGGGCTGCTGAAGGTTGGGTGGCTGTGACAATTACTTAAAGTAAGACAGCACTGAAGTTTACTGTATCAATTGAATCTTCCTTTCACAAAGAATTTCTCTGTAGCACGTGATGCCGTTTGATGGCATTATACTCACAGTAGAACTTCTTTCAAAATGGGAGGAAATTGTCTGAAATCCTGCTGCTACTTTAACAACTAAGTTTATGCAATGGTCTAAATCTTTTGTTGTCATTTCAACACTGTTCATAGCATCTTCACCAGGAATAGATTTGATCTCAAGAAAACACTTTGCTCGTCCGTAAGAAGAGATTCCCAATCTATTCAAGTTTTATCATGAGATTGCAGCAATTCAGTCACATGTTCAGGCTTCACTTTTAATTGTAGTTTCTTGCTGTTTCTACCACAGCTGCAGTTACTCCCTCCTCTGAAGTCTTGAACCCTTCTAAGTTAGTTTTCCGTGGGGATTCGAATCAACTTCGTCTAAACTCCCATTCATGTTAATATTTTTACCTCTTCCCATGAATCACAAATGTTCCTAGTGGCATCTAGAATGATTAATCCTTTCCAGAAGATTTTCTGTTTTCTTTATCCAGATCTATCGGAGGAATCACTGTGTATGACAACTGTAGCCTTACAAAATGCATTTGTTATATTAGGCAACTTGAAAATAGAAATTACTCCTTGATTTATGGGCTACAGGATGGATATTGTGTTGTGTTAGCAGGCATGAAAACAACATTCATCTCCTTGTACATCTCTATCAGAGCTCTTGGGTGGCCAGGTGCATTGTCAATGAGCATGACATGGTTTGGCTCTGTGTCCCCACCCAAATCTCATCTCTAATTGTAATCCGCATGTGTCTGGGGAATGGCCTGGTGGGAAGTGATTGAATCATGGGGGCCGATTTCCCCCTTGCTGTTCTTGTAATAGTGAGTGTGTTCTCAAAAGATCTGGTTGTTTAAAAGTGTGTGGCACTTCCCCTTTAGTGCTCTCTGTCTCTCTCTCTCTCCTGCTTTGCCATGGTAAGAGGTGTTTGCTTCCCTTTCACCTTCTGCCATGATTGTAAGTTTCCTGAAGCCTCTGAGCCATGCTTCCTGTTAATCCTGAAGAACTATGAGTCAATTAAACCCCTTCATAAATTACCCAGCATCAGGTAGTTCCTTATAGCAGTGTGAAAAAGGACTAATACAGAGCAGTTATCTCTGAAAGGATTCTTTTTTTCTGAGCAGTAAGTCTTAACAGTGAACTTAAAATATTCAGTAAACCATGCTGTAAACAGTTGTACTGTTATTCAAGCATTTTTCCATTTATAGAGCATAGGCAGCATAGATTTAGCATAGTTCTTAAGGGCCCCAGGATTTTGGAATAGTCTGTAGTATTGGTTTCAACTTAAAGTCACCGGCTGTGCTAGTCCCTAACAAGAGAATCAGTCTGTCTTTTGAAGCTTACAGGCATTGGCTTCTCCTCTCTAGCTACAATAGTCCTACATAACATCTTCTTCCAATAGAAGGCTGTTTCGTCTACATTCAAAATCTGGGTGGGTGTGGTGTTCTATATATGTCTACTTATTCATTTAGTTAATCATGTTTTTAAAATCATCAATATCATGTTAATTTTATTTTATCAGCAGTTTATTTAGCTATGAGGGGAATATACTAAAGGTGTAGGCACCTTCATCAATGACCTTAGCTAGATATTCTGGATAACTTGCTGCAGCTTCTACATCAGCACTTGCTGTTTCACCTTTCACTTTTGTACTGTGGAGATGGCTTCTTTCCTTACACCTCATGAATCAGCCTCTGCTAGCTTCCAACATTTCTTCTGCAGCTTTCTCACCTCTCTCAGCATTCATAGAATTGAAGAGTCAGGGTCTTCCTCTGGATTAGGATTTGGCTTAAGGATATGTTGTGGCTAATTTGATTTTCTGTCCAAATCACAAAAACTTTCTCCATATCAGCAGTAGGCTGTTTCACTTTCTTATCATTTGTGTGTTCACTGGAGTAGCACTTTTAATTTCCTTCAAGAACTTTTCCTTTGCATTCAAAACTTGGCTGTGTGGCATAAGAGGACTTCCTATTGTGGCTTTCAACATGCCTTCTTCACTAAGCTTCATCATTTCTATCTTCTGATTTAAAGTGAGAGATGTGTGACTCTTCCTATCACTTAAATACTTAGAGGCCATCGTAGAGTTATTAATTGACCTAATTTCAATAGTGTTGTGTCTCAGGGAGTAGAGAGGCCCCAGGGGAGGGACAAAGACAAGGGAACGGTTTTCCAGTGGAGCTGTCAGAACACACTTAACATTTATCAGTTAAGTTTGTCATCTTATATGGGCATGGTTAGTGGGGCTGCCAAACAATTACAGTCATAAAAATCAAAGATCACTGATCACAGATCTCCATAACAGATATAATAATAATGAAAAAGTTTGAAATATTGCCGGAATTACCAAAACATAACACAGAGACACGAAGCAAGCACACGCTATTAGAAAAATGGCACCGATAGACTTGCTTAATGCAGGGTTGCCACAGACCTTCAATTTGTAAAAATTTCAATATCTGTGAAGCACAATAAAGGAAAGTGCACTATAAAGAAGTCCACCTGTATAGGAACTTCAAACCTACTTTGTCCATAATGGAACTCTTGGTTTCCTTAAAACTTTCTCTTCCTAAGGATTTTTTCATCTCAGGAAATGGAATATGTTCTTCTGATCACTTTGACAAAGAAACAAACAAAAGAAAAAACAAAACAACTTTGGAGAAATCACTGTTTTGAACTCATTGTATTTACTTTCTCTCATGTTCCATATTCAATTCACCAGTAAATCCTCTGGCTCTACCTTCTAAAATATCTAAAACTAATTACTTCTCTCCACCTTCACCCCTACCACTTGAGTCCATGCCACCGTCTCTTACCCGATTTATGAAAATAGCCTTCTATTTGTCCTTCCTGAGTCTGCCTTGCCCTTCTCTGGTTTATGTTTAGACAGTTGCCAGAAAGACCTATACAAAATGAAAGTGAGATTATGTTACCCCTCTACAAAAACTTCCCAAAGCTTCTTATCTCACCCTGAAAAGCCACATTCCTTATGATGTTGTTGGTCATGTCTGACAGCATCATCAAATGTTAGGAATCCTTCAGAGAACAGGATAGATGCATTTTCCAGGTTGAGTTAATAGAAACATAATCTGTTAATCTGTAGTGATTTTACAGGAATAAAGTTGTTTATTATATTTTCTCAAAGTCTTTCAACTGTCTACATCAACTGTAGCTATGCCTCCATTTTCATTCCTAATTTTGACTGCTTCTACCTTTTCTCTTCTTTATTAATCTCATCACAATTTAATCAATTTTATTTATCCTCACAAAGAACCATCATTTGGCTCTTTTGGTTCTATTATATATACATTTTTCTATTTAAAAAATTTACCCTGTTTTTCTGGTTTGTTTCTTACTTTTTAGATGGTTGCTTAGCTTGAATTCTGAGCTTTTGTTTTTTTCTAATACCACTGAAATGGAGACATATGCTATTTTAACCATGTCCTGTGAGTTTTTATGTATAATATATTCATTATTATTCAGCTTTGAATATTTTGTAATATTATGATTTTATCTTTGGCTCATGGGTTATTTAGTTGTGGTTTTCTTCTAAACATACTGTGTTTTTTTCTAGTTATCTTTTTGTTTTGATTTTTAACTAAATTTCATCATAGAGAATGTGATATGCATGGCTTAGTTCTTTAAACTTTGTTGAGAGCTGCTTTTGGATCAGAATATGGCCAATTTTATAATATGTTTTCTGTATGTTTCAAAAGTTTTTGTAATTTACATGGGTGGATATAGTGTTCTATATATGTCCGCTTATTCATTGAATCATGTTTTAAAAATCATCAGTATCATGTTAATTTTATTTTGTCAGCTGTTTCTTTAGCTATGAGAGGAATATACTAACATCCTCACTATTATTTGCATTTATTTTTCCTGTCTTTCAATTTTTGGTTTACATATTTAAGGCTATGTTGATAGGTACATACAGGTTTAGAACTGTTATATCTTCTTGAGTTATTAAATGTTTTAGCATCGTGTAGTGATCAGTTTAATCTCCTAATGCTTTAGTTAGTAAATCTATTTAGAGTGATGCTAATAGTTTACTACCTGCCAAGTACTTAGATTTTGATTCATGTATATGATTTATTGAATCATTTTACTTCCAAATGTTCTGAATATTTAGATTTCAAACTTGTCTCTTATAAACTGCTTTGGACTTTTTGTCTTTTGTTCTTTGCACCACATGAAGCTAAAATATTGTAGATCAAATTCATCCTAATTAGCAAATGCCATAAAAATGAAAGTTGGCTGCAGAATTCCACTTACCTTCTGGATTTCTGCTAAAAATGCTTTATGACCCTGTCAGTTCAATAATTATTTTTAAGAATATATATTTACTCAGGATTATTAGCTTGTTTCAGCAAGAGGGTTGATCTAGATAACTTTCCATATTACAACAAATTAAAATGCTAAAATTTTAATACATTAAATTTTATGATTTAGTTTTAAGATGTGGTAATTCATGTATGTTAAATAATTTTCTTATTATGGATGACATTTTAATTTTTCTTCATGCTTTATTAAGATACACTTTACATAAATAAATTTACCTGTTCTAAGGTATAGTTCTGTTTTGTGTCCCTATAGTTTTGCTTTTTTTCAGAATGTCATACAACTGGAATCAAGTAAAAGTATGCAATCTTTTATTTTATTTTATTTATTTTTGAGGCAGAGTCTTACTCTGTCACCCAGGCTAGAGTGCAGTGGCACGATCTTGGTTCACAGTACCCTCTACCTCCCAGGTTTAAGCGATTCTCCTGCCTCAGCCTCCTGAGTAACTGGGATTACTGGTTCCCGCCAGCAGGCCCAGCTAATTAGCTATTTTTAGTAGAGATGGGGTTTCATCATGTTGGCCAGGCCAGTCTTGAACTCTTGACCTCAAGTGATCCACCTGCCTCAGCCTCCCAAAGTGCTAGGATTACAGGCTTGAGCCACCATGCCCAGCCAGTATGTAGTCTTTTAAATCTGGCTTTTTTTGCTTGGTATAATGCACTTGGCCATGTTGTGTCTATCAGTAGTTCATTCCTTTTTAATCCTGAATAGTATTCCATTGTATGGATGTACCATAATTTGGTTATCCATTCACCTGTTGAAGAACATTTGTGTTGTTCCAGTTTTGGAAGATATATAGAAAAGCTGTATAAACTTTTCTATATCTGCTTTTATGTAAATAAAACTTTCATCTTTGAAGTGGCAATGCTAGATTGTATTGTAGGTAAATACTTAACTCTTTAAGAAGCTGCTAAACTGTTTTTCTAAAGTGACAATACTATTTTGCATTTCCATTAGGAATGTATGAAAGTTTCGCTTTTTCTATGTGATCATCAATATTGTCAGTTCTTTTGATTTTAGTAATTGTAATAGGCATGTAGTAGTATGTCATTAGGGTTTTTCATTTGCTTCATAACTAATGAACTCAAGGGTCTTTTCATGTAATTATTTGTTATATGAATATCTTCTTTGGTGAAGTGTCAACTCATGTATACCTACGTAACAAACCTGCACATTCTGCAAATATATCCCAGAACTTAAAGTAAAATTTTTAAAAAGTGACCAAACGAAAATAAATTTTGTCCTTTTTGTATTACATTGTTGTTTTCTTAGTATTGAGTTTTGAGACATCCTTATATATCTTTGTTATAAGTTCTTTATCAGATAAATGATTTGCAAGCATTTTCTCCCATTCTGTGGCTTATTTTTTCAAAAGGTACAATAATTTAATTTAGATTTCACTTTTAGGTATTGATCCATTTTGAGTTAGTATTTGTATGTAAGGTATGCTTTAAAGATCTCTCTTTCTTTTGTTCCTCCTTCCCTCCCTCCTTCCTTCCTCTCTCTCTTTTTCTCTCTCTGCATATTGTCTTAGTTTACTAGTGTTGCTATGATAGAACACCCAAGACTGGATAATGTGTAAAGAACAGAAATCTATTTCTTACAGTTCTGGAGGCTGGGAAGTCCAAGGTGTCTGCAGATTTAGTTGTCTGGTGAGGGCCGTCCCCTGATTCCAAGATGGTGCGTTGTTGCTGCTTACTCAGGAGAGGCAGAACACTGTGTCCTTATATGGTGGAAGGCAGAGGGCAAGAGGGTCAAATGTTGAGTGAAGCTCCTTTTATGAGGGCCTTAATCCCACTCGTAATGGGAGGAGCTCTCATTACCTAATAACCTCTGAGAAGACCCACCTTTTAATGTCACTGCATTGGCCATTAAGTTTTAACACCTGAATTTTGAAGGGGACATATTCAAACTATAGGACATGTGGATATCAAATTGTTTCAACACCAATTGTTTCTGCACTGAATTGTCATTTCCCATTCAGTTTGATGCTAGCTATAGTATTTTGGTTATTTGTTTTTTAAATGGATGCCTTTATCAAGTTAAGGGAATTCCCATCTATTCCCAGATTACTGAGTGCTGTTCATTCTATCATGAATCTATATAGAATTTTGTCAATTATATTTTCTGCACCTATTGAGATGTTCGTCTGTTTTTTATATGGTGAATTACGTCAATTTATTTCCAAATGTTTGCCCTGCACTCTCATAATAAACCTCATTTATTCATGATGTATTATTCTTTCTATATGTTGTTAAATTTCATTTGCTATAATTTTCTCAAGGTTTTTCGTACCTATGTTTATGTGGGATATTTAATGTTGTGTAGTTATCTTTTCTTGTAACATCTAGATTTTGGGTTAAGGTAAGGCAGCCCTCCCAGATAAAGTGGGAAGTATTTCCTTGTCTTAAATTTTCTGGAAGAGTTTGTGTATAATTGGTTTTATTTATTTACTAAAGGTTTGGTACAATTTAACCATGAAAACTTTGGTGCCTGGAGTTTTGTGTGTGGAGGTTTTTAGCTATAATTTCAATTTCTTAAATAAATGTGGGGCTGTTCTGGTACTCTCTTTTTCCTCTACCTGGGATTTCCTCCATTCATTGCCTACCCCTCCCTCCCACTCAACAAGAGTCACTACTACAAGTCCTTTCAGATCAGCTCATCTCTCACTTTCCCAAAGCTTTCCCTAACATGTACCCCTTTTTCAAGGTTTCCTCCCTTATGCCAACAACACCCTGTGCATGACTACTATTGATTTTATAGCAGCATATAGAGAATATTAAAAATTCTCTATATGAAAATTTTTTCTATTTGTGTGTTTTCTTTCCCAACAGACTATACAATTGAGGACAAGAACTATGTCATTTTTATTATCATGTCCTTGGTATCTATACAAATAAAACATGGATTTACACATATTACACACTGCATCTATTACATAAGCATGCAATGAAGATATAGGTTCATATGTGCATATATATGTATATTTACATTAGATATGTATATACATACTTTAACATACATGTAACTGTATACTTTATGTACTTATATGTATATAAGTAATTCACCTATATACGTATATGTAAAAGTCATATATGATAGTCATATATATGTAAAAGTCTGTTTTTGCCAGTTTTTTAAAACAAAAATCATCAGCATCATAATTTATTGAAGTCGACTGCCCTTTCTTAACCTTATGAGATTTAAAAAATGTTTGGAATTTTTTTTAAGCCCATGAAGTTTACTCTTGTGAGGAAAGCCAGGTTGAGGGCAATGGCATTTCCACATTTTCTGGGGCTTAATTGAAAGAACATAGAGAGAGGGCTGGGTGCAGTGGCTTATACCTCTAATCCCAGCACTTTGGGAGGCCGAGGCTGGCGGATCACCTGAGGTTGGGAGTTCAAGACCAGCCTGACCAACATGAAGAAACCCCATCTCTACTAAAAATACAAAATTAGTCAGGCATGGTGGCGCATGCCTGTAATCTCAGCTACTCAGGAGGCTGAGGCAGGAGAATTGCTTGAACCCGGGAGGCGGAGGTTTTGGTGAGCTGAGATTGCACCATTGCACTCTAGCCTGGGCAATAAGAGTGAAACTCTGTCAAAAAAAAAAAAAAAAACTATATATATATAGAGAAAGGTATGTATCAAGCCTGTTAATGACCACGGGCCATCTGTGTAGTCACACAAAAGTGTCTAGTTTTCTTCCACATTTCTATGTGTCTTCTTTAGCATTTTCCTTTCTAAAAAACAGGCTCTATAACTGGGCACACTTGAACCCCACAATTAGTCATGGATGTGGTGATTCATCAGGCTGGCTTCTAAGTGCAAGCAGCCCTGGCCTTTCTAAGCCTTGACTGTTGGCAACTCTTTTTTCCCCGCTCTGAATCAGACGTGTATTTGTTTGAGTAATCAAGAAAGAACTGTCTGTCTTGTGACCTTAGAGGCTGGTGAAAGGGAGCAACTGAGTGTTTTTGGCACAGGAAGGTTAGTGAACAATGCAAATCTGTAGATCAGAGAGCACGCTGCTTGGCTGCTGACTCTGGGCAGACTTGAATGTCACAGAATGCTCTGATTGCCGGCAGGGTTTTTCACCCTCTGCCGAAAGCCATTTTAATATAAGCAGAATAGATTTCAGGTATTCCAGAAACCATTCTTAAACTTTCACTGTGTTCATGTTGTTAAATTCTATACCTTCTATTAAGACTTGCAGTCTTTCTGAAATGAGCATTTTGAATCTGACTGTGATAAGAGCCAGTGAGAGACAGCTTTACACATGGATGCCACTGGGAAGAAAGCACATCAAGTAACCCTGCTGAGGAATGAATGAATCAGCCTAATGCAAATTAGGTGAGAAACTGGACCGCACAGAGGGGATGTTGAAACCATTTTAGAGATGAGTGAGAGGGATGATAGCCAGTGAGTGAGCCCAAGAACTTTGATGACAATGAAGGCAGAAGAATCTGGTGGACGCAAAGGATTCACTTCTTATAATGAATTCACTCATCCCATTTGCCTGTTAATCAATGGGTGTTTTAAAGATGCCAGTTGGAGGAAGTCCAAGTGTTCAATTTTAAAAATGCCTATTAGATTAATTACAAGAAAGTCTCTCTCTCTCTCTTTCTTTCATCTGTCATTTTTTCTCTTGTTAGGGGTATGCAGGAGGTCTTCTAATAGACCAGAGAGAGATACAAGCCACAATTCGGGAAAATATCCCAGTAGACTCCTCTCTGCCTTATGTTTGGCATTCTTGAAATCTACGCTATCTGTCTTGAAATCTTTGAACAATGTACAATAATCTTATGCTTGCCCAGGGAAACCTGTTCCATTAGATGAGGTGAGTTGGTTACATACCTTCTTTGACTTGTGTTCCCAAGTGATCTTATTCCAAATATGACTTGGGGACACTTGTATGTGCCGTTCTGATATTGTCCTAAAAGGAAATTATTTTGGAAGTAAAGCCACTGATAAAATCAGCTCAGGAAAATGCACTTTGCAAATATGAGAATATAGGCATTATTAAAAGCCATGCTATAAAAATACCAATGGTTATTTTTACTGAGAGTAGTGTTAAATTTATGGGAGGCTATTGTTTTGGACTAAGCTCTTGCACTAGGCCCAGAAGAACAGACCAAACCAGAATGGAATCACTAGTGCTAGGTCCCCAAACTGGACTTTAAAATCAGCCAGTTAGAAAACAAACAAAAAAACCCCCAAAAAAACACAAAACAACAACAACAAAAAACAGATTCACAGCAATCAATTAAAAGGGGCCCAGTCAACCTGAGCTGACATAATAAGAAAGTCCCCTGGCTCTGCTTTATCCTTTTAAAGAAAGTAACTTTGAAACAACCAATCGGCTTTCTGTTCCTGTTTCTGCTTTCTTCAGGCTTTTCTGCCTATAAAGCCCACTGCCTCTCCTCAGCTTACTAGCGTGCTTTTCTGTTTCATAGATGGGATACCGTCTGATTAATGAATCACTAATAGTTTAGATCATTAAACTAAATTTGTTGAAATTTTTATTTTTTGACAGTAGTTACACAAGAACAATAAAATACCCTTAAGAGGAAAGTGAGAATATCTCATCCGAGAAATGTGAGACAGACAGAAAAAGGTTTAAATAATTGTATTCAAAAGCATTATGTAAACGACAAATAACACATGAAAGTCTAATCTGAAAGGAATGGGAATTAATGTTATAAAGGGAGACAAACAAAAATCAGGTTTCTTTCCACATCTCAACATGGAGGATTTTCCTTTACCCTGGCCTCCTATTTCTGTGTGCAGAAACTTGCTTCAACATGTCAGTCCCAGCTCTAGCTGTCCTGATTCACTCCTCCTTAGAGGGAATGAGCTCACCGGGCAGACTCTGCCCGGTGGGGACTGTCTGGGGAAGTCCTGTCATTCCCCGGGTCTGCGTTGGCATCACTGCTCTGACAGTCTCTTTCAGGAGTTACGTGTTGGAGGCCAGTGACGACTGCAGATCTAAAGCCACATTTTAAAATCCACTGTCTGTGAGGCAGTGGTCTGACTCCTCTTCTCTTTTTCAATTGGTTCTGATTTTAGTTAGGAAAGGAAATGGTTGTTTGTAGACCTACTAAAGTTCCAATAGCTGATTATAAAACAAGATTCTATGACATGCAAGAGTATATTGGAGTCAGAAAAATTAAATAGAATTTATTTTCCTGAGAAGAAACAAACTGAAAAAAGAAAAACCAAACCTCTTTATGTTTATTTGTTTGTACCGATATACGACATCAGAAAGGCAGCCGTATAAAAGAGAATCAGGCTGGAGGGAGCTTAAGCCTCCACTAAATGGGGATTGATTGACCAGAGAAGAACTGGAACTATTAAAAGGCCTGAAAGAAGAAAAGAATTATGAATTTTGCTCCTCTCTCCTTCCAAAAAAAAGTAAATGCACATGTTTGAGAGGGAAGCATGGCCATAGATATTGTGATGCCATGGGGAAATCGATTTCAGGCTTTAAATAAGGATCCATCACTGTGAGAGGCCATGAAGCTGTGCCCAAAAAAACTTCCTGGTGAACCAGAGGAGGAAGTGTTCTCTATGGGTAGGAGAGAGCTTCATTTCAGAGAAAAGAAGGAAGGACTAAGAGAGTTAGAGGCCGGAGGGAAAGAAGGGACAAGTAAAGGGAGTGGAAAATGGGTTGACCAAAGACAGGCAGAGCCATTCATACGCAGATCTCAGATGAAGCACTATTTTCATTTGGACTAAGAAAAAAAAATGGTGACTTCTTAACTCTTATAAACTGAGCACTACTCATTGAAAACCCTGGTATCAGTGTGCAAGAACTCGGTAGGGACTTTAGAATGACCATGTCTTTAGCTAAATAACAAGTGACTGAAATTCAGTCCCTTCCACAGCTGCTTTATCTGGCAAACATGTCTTCTCCTCCACTACCAGCCCCCCGGATAAAATACACCTGGCCAACTCCTGCTCATTCAAAACTCCATTGAAATGGCTTCTCCTTCAGAAGGCTTTCCTCATCCCTTTCAATTCCCATTCCCCTCACCAACCTTACTTGTCTCCTCTCAGATTCTGACTGGCTGGCCCAGGGTTTAAGAACTTCAACTCTACAGTCAAAACAATCTCTGCAATTTGCTGTCTGCGTGATCTTGGGCAAGTTATTTAATCTCTCCTTAACCTTAGTTTCTTCATGGATAATAGCTGGCAAATGATAGTATATATTCCATAGGGTTGTTGTGAGCACTAAATAAAATAATGTACATGGAGTGCTTGACACTGTGCCTGGACACTGCCTGACAGTGCCTGGACTCAGTTAAAGGTGGTCATAATTACTGGGCCAGTCTTTCCCCTTCCCTACATGGCATTTACCACATTCCCTTTCCACTGTCTATCTGCCTATCTATCTGAAGATCTGTTTGCATGGGGACATTGAATTGGAAGTTTAATTCCTAGTGCCTGGTACATCATGAGGCTCCATAAATGTTTGTTGCATGAATTCGGAGAGTAAGCCTCCCCATTCTCTACCATAAATGATACTGATGTCTGTGGTTGTATTTTAGAAAGGACACATTAGGCAAGAATCTGCCCAAGTCAAGCGATACCATTTTCTATTCTTTAAAAATATCTGAAAAAGGAGATTCTACAAACTCCTTTAGTAACATTCTACAGTCAACACTTTCTCTAAGTCAAACATATGCCTCCATTTTAAAATGAAAGACTAACTCCTAATTTTTTATATCAGTTGAAAACAAAAACATCTGCTTTAATTCCCTGTATTCTCTCATACATGTAAACATTCATATTGGCTGTTTATCATTCTCTCCTTATTAAAACAAACCTATTTCTTTAACCTTTTCAAATAGTCTTTTCATGCCTTTTAATAATTGTCCTTCTGAAAAATACTGTGTCATAACGCATAAAAACAGTGAGACAATTTTTGCAGTCTCAGAAGTGGTTCATTTAGGCTGGAGGCGGTGGCTCACTCCTGTAATCCCAGCACTTTGGGAGGCCAAGGGCAGATCACCTGAGGTCAGGAGTTCGAGACCAGCCTGGCCAACATGGTGAAACCCTGTCTCTACAAAAATACAAACATTAGCCGGGCGTGGTGGTGGGCGCCTGTAATCCCAGCTACGTGGGAGGTTGAGGCGGGAGAATCGCTTGAACCTGGGAGGCGGAGGTTGCAGTGAGCCAAGATGGTGCCACTGCACTCCAGCCTGGGCAACAGAGTGAGACTCCATCTCAATAAATAAATAAATAAATAAATAAACAGTTAAATGGGAGGAGTCAGATTATGAAAGTATATGAAAATCCCAAATTCCACATAATTTTCTCTGTAAGCAGAAGCAGCCCCTTCTTCCCTTTGTCATGAGCCTCTCCACTGATTCCTTGGAAACTAATAACAACCTTGCCTAAGATGGTTACCTCGTAAAGGAACTAATGTTCTAGAAATAGAAATATGTAAGAGCTTATTCCTTTCCATGCTTATGGCATATGAAATATAATATTTTACTGAATAGGCCACATACTGTCTCACAGATTTTCCTTCAGCTTAAGTAGCCATACCTACTGTCATGTAGCACCCTTAACTTTTCCACGGTTGGCTGAAGTAAGAATTGGTGTCCTGGCTAGAGGAAACCTATAACAGTGGTTCTTAATATTTAATGGGCTGTGACTTACTTGAGGATCTGATGAAAGTAAATCGTTCTCTTTTTTAAAGAAAGCACATTTTCACATACACACCCACAATTTAAGAGAAATCATGATCTCCTAAACAAACTTAAACCCTCGGGTAAAACTTCTCTAAATCAAGATGCTCTGATGAAAATTATAGTTTTTGATTCTGCATGCTAACAAAAGGCACTAGATCACCTTGAGAACTATAAGGAGTTGCCCTTTTGGGTAAGTTATCTTTGTGTCATGGAAGAGAGTAGCCATTCTCTAAAGGGCGTGTGCAAGATCCATGGGAACTGAGAGGGTAGCATCCATTAGCATGTGAGTGCGTAGATGTACATCAGGAAATGTACATGGTCTAATCAGAACTTTCATGTTTTGAGGATTTAAAAGAAGAAGCTTCCTGATGATCAAGATAAAGATTGTGAAATAACGAAAATCCAGAAAGTACTCAAAACCTAGCTTGTGACTTGGAAGAGGCTTTGCTCCAATGAGAAGGGAGAATGACCATGGCAATGGACATTGTTCCAGTGCCTATGGCCATAGCCAGAGGAAAGAACAAAGCTCACCATCCAGCCTGAGTCTGTGTGTCAGGCTAACAGATTCCTATGCCTCTGAGCCTTAGAACTTGAAAGGGCCTCATAGAAATACATCTAAATACAGCCAAATAGAAGGCCTGAAAGTGACATTGAGTCATCATATCTAGAACTCAAGAGAACTTCAGAGATTATGTAGCTCAAAACTATTTATGGGGGCAGAAACTGAGTCAGGCTCAGAAAAGTGAAATGAATTACCCAAAGTCACACAGCAAGTTCATAGCAGAGAAGTAGAGAATCCCAAGGTTCCAGTGTTCAGCCCATCATGATACTCTAGTTACTGGAGTTCTTGTCTGGAACATATTTTCATAATAAAACACCCACTTTTAGGATATGTAATTAACTTGAAGAGCAGCTCCAAGTTTCACACTTAACTTTAATGTTATTCACATTTATTTCATCATTCTCCTTAGAAATCCAATTTTAACATTTTACCAGTATATGTAGAAGTTAACTTTACTTCCCTTAAATTTAGGAGTTCTACGTTATTGCTATTGCACCCCTGTGATTTCTCTTTCTCCTTTTTAATGACTAATTTTGATATCAAAATACAGATATACACCAGGGTTCAATAGTCAAGAATCTAATCTTGCCTCTTTCTATTGGTAGTTGTAATCACTATTACAATTGCTGAATATGAATATGCTGAATATGCTAAATTTTCCCTCTTTAGGAATAACCCCTCTTTTCTTAAAATACTCTCAATTTTCTTTCCTTACATACGTACCTGATGAAACTTTGCATAAACCTGATTGTTCACCTTTACTCACCACCATTCAAGTACTCCAGTCTCTTCTTTTCACTTCCACATCTCTGGCAGTTCATTTTTGAACTCTTTTGCTAGCTCCGAATCTTCTACTATATGTCTCAAACTTGGAATTTTCAAATAACAATCGTGGTTTATTTTCTCACTAAACAATTGCCCTCAGCAATCTCACTCATCCCAGGCTTTGAATAACAAACATCAACCTCTTCTGAACTATTTATTAAACTGTCTACTTGACATCTCTCCTTAGTATTTGTTTTGTTTTGTTTTGAGACAGAGTCTTGCTTTGTCACCCAGGCTGGAGTGCCATTATCCTGCCTCAGCCTTCCGAGTAGCTGGGACTACAGGCATGCGCCACCATGCTGGACTGATTGTTTTATTTTTCATAGAGAAAGGGTTTCACCATATTGGCCAGGCTGGCCTGACCTCAAGTGATCCACCTGCCTTGGCCTCCCAAAGTGCTGGGATTACAGGCGTGAGCCACCACATCCGGCTTCTTTTTACTATTTCACAGGCATCTCAATATAATGTATCTAAACTGAACTCTTGATCCTTCCCCTAAACTTTGCTTCTTCTTCAATCTTATCCTACGCAATTATTAAAGCCAGATACATAGCCATTGTAGTGGAGTGAATAGGGATATGTCCCCTAAAAGATATGTCCATATCCCTGAACCATGAATGTGACTTTATTTGGAAAAAGGGTCTTTTCAGATGTAATTAAATATCTCAAGATTATATCATCCCGGTTATTCAGGTAGATCCTAAATCCAATGACAAATGTTTTTATGGGAGAAAAGCTGAAAAAGATTTAAGTGAGAGAAGAGGAGAAGACTATGTGTAGACAGAGGAGAAAATTGGTGTTTTCCAGCCACAAGCCAACGAACGCCTGGAGCCACTAGAAGCTGAAAGAAGCAAGGAAGAATTCCCTCCTAGAGCCTTCAGTGGAAGTGTGGCCCTGTTGACACCTGGAGTTCGGATTTCTGCCCTTTGGAACTGTGAGAAGATAAATTTCAGTTGTTGTAAGCCACCCAGTTTGTGGTCATTTGTTACAGCAGCCTCAGGAGACTAATAGAGCTATCAACCTGAATACTCCCCTTTCTGTTATTCTTCTTATCCAATCCATCACCTCCCCAAGAATTCTGCTTCAAGAATGTCACTTGAATAATGTGACTTTTCTCAAATTTCTCTTCCAACAATTTATCACTTTAGTCCAAGCTGCCGTTATCTCTTGCCTTGCCAACTGCAATAGCCAACTCTTTATCTCCCTATTTCTACTCTTGGATCCTCCAATTTATTCTCCATATATGAATAATAACCAATTTTAAAATTGTAAAAATATAAAATACATTCTTTTAAAAATGTAAAATGGATTTTCTCAGTTCTCTGCTTAAAATTTTCAATCATTTCCTATTACAACTGGATTATATTCAGAAGTTTTAGCATGAACCCTGGGCTCATCCCCTGCCTATTTCTTCAACCTCTTGTACTTCCCACCCTTTTCTCTCTGCAGCTCATTCACTTCCTTCTGTTCGTTAAACCCACCTATTTTTGTCTGCCTCATAGCCTTCACCCATGCCATTTCAACCGCTTTCAATATTTTCTCCCTGTTCTTTGCCTGGTGGCAGTCATACTCATTGTTCAGTATAAATGTCATTTGCTAAGAGAGGCATTTCCCAGTCCACAGATATGTCCTGATGATGCCTGTTATGCTTTCACATAGAAACTATACATTTCTTTTACAGAACTTACAATTTCCAATTATACTGATATACTAGAGACTATCCATTTAATGCCCACCTCCTCCACTGAACTCCCCATGAAGGTAAGACTCATATCAGCTTTGTCAGCCACCATAGTTAGAACATTAGTCCTAACTTTTCCCCTAACTTCTAGTCCAGCATCCCCAGCATCCAATAGACAATTATATTAGTAGATTTTACCTTTTTCATAAATTCTGCAAATCTAAACCAAACTCACCAACACACAGACATGAACAATTTGGCCTCTTTTCTGGGCTCCAGTTTTGCCTGTAGTGTCACGATTCCAGAGTGACCCAGAAGAGAATTCCCATGTAATCTTTGGCCTTTGTTCTCCTTTGCTCCTCTGTATGAAAGCAGTCACCAAGTTCTTACAGCTATCCTTTGTCTTATCTCTATTTTTTCTCTTTTGACTGCCTTCCTTCTAGATCTGGTCCACTCAACCTTGGCACTATGTACACTTGGGGATGGATAATTCTTTGTCTTGAGAGGCTGTTTTGTGTTTTGTAGAACAGTTAGCATCATCCTTGCCTTTTACCTTCCAGATACCAGTAACATCCCCTGAGTTGTGAAAAAAAATGTCTACAAGTGTTGCTAAATGTCTCTTGGGAGGCTAAATCACCTCCATTTGGGAGCCATTGTTCTGGAACATAAGCTTATTTCCTCTGGTCCAAGAAAACTACAAGATTTATTGATTCACTTCCTCCGGGCATTTTCTTCTTTTTTTCAGTTACTCAACATATATTTTACTAGACATGTACCATGTGTCATAGAATATCATGAGAAGCATGACTGACAGTCCCTTCATCATACAGCATATATACTAGTTGAAGGGTTCACACAGGTGCCATAATACTCTTCCTAAAGCTTAATGTATTCACTATATCACATAACTGCTCAAAAATTTTCAGTAGTATTATATCACCATGAAACTTATTTTGCAATCCTCAGTTTGCCTTCCACAGACTGGCGTCAGTATCAAATTTCCAGACTAATGTCCCAAACTTTTCTCCAGCACGTGCTCCACCAACCAATGTGTTGATTCATTGTACCTGTAAACTTATTCATGCCCTTACCAACTCCATTCCAACTACCCTGCCCATCTTTCTTTACTCAAACCAGAACCTATCTCCAAAACTCTACCTGTAGGGATTTGTACATTTTGTTCATCTATTAGAATTTGCTGATCATGACATTGATTTGGCACATATCTTGCCTTGCCTTACACTATATGCTAGAAGTTCTTATACATATATCATCCCATTACACTATAAATGCAGCTAGGCCCTAAATATCTCTGTATCCCCTATAACACATATTGCTTTACAGGTAGGAGAAGTTCAGTGAAGATTGCTATATTATTTGTTTAAACATCACCCAACTATGTCAGCAGATACTCCATGTCAATGTCTCATATTTTAAGAGATTTAGCAGCATTTGTAGTTTTAGTTCCATAATACTGGACTAGGGAGAGGGAATGTGGGGGGAAAAGAAAACATTTCACTTGGAGCTAGGAAATATTTTGAGTCTGACATCACAATTAATATGAGGGAAAATGAAATTTTCCTGAAGTGTGAATTTGAAGTTCCACAGGCTCTTGCCAGGCAAGAGCAGGTCCTGGTCCACCTGTGATAGTTGCATTAGAGCCAAGCCCTGCATTAAAAGAGATAAGAGTAACACAGGAGCTAAATATGTAATTTAGAAAAAGCAGAGGCTTTTTAAAGGAAAAGTATGAGGTGCCCAAGGAGTCACTTTCATTGTCAGAGTGAAATTTGGCTCTCTGATAAATTGAAGTCTCACCTGACCCCATGTAATGCAAGATCACAAGGTATTTCAAAGGCTGTGCCCTCCATAGTAAGACATTAATCAAAATCTCCAAAGGGACATTCAGAAAGTTAGTCACCTTTTTTGCAAATTAAATTTTATGATTAAATACTTGTGAACATCAGACTTCTTAAAACTTATACTCATTTCCCATATTTTTATGGAGGACAATTTTTTGTCAGTATACTGATGGAGAGAAATGGTAGTTCTTGAAAGAAGGAGACTATTAGATTAATTTATGTTAAAGTAAAATATGCAGAGACTGAAACAGAATGATTTAGTCATGGTTCCCCTTGCTTCCCTAGCCCACTTCCTTTTCATGCATTTTCAGTGAGATTAGTTACCAAGTAAAAGATTATGAAAAGAAAATCTATCTTTACCATTCATTTTGACTCTTCCACAAATCAAAGGGGATTGCTATGGATTGGAGGCAAAGCTTTTTATAAAATATTTGTACAAAAGTATTGGGTACTTGTGTAATTTTTTATATGCATAGATCATGTAGTGGTCAAGTCAGGGTTTTTAGGGTATCCATCACCCAAATAATGTACGTTATACCCATTAACTAACTTCTCATCATCCACCCTCCTCCCACCCCATCACCCTTCTAAGTCTCCATTGTCTATAATTCCACTCTCTACATCCATGTGACACATTTCTTAGCATCCACCTATGAGTGAGAGGATGCAATATCTAACTTTCTGTGCTGGGCTTGCTTCACTTAAGACAGTGACTTCCAGTTTCATCCATGTTGCTGCAAAATATATGATTTCATTCTTTTCATGGCTGAATATAATGGCATATTATATTCAGCCATGAAAAGAATGAAATCATATATTTTATATGAATAAAATGGAATATTTTATATATATAATAACATTCCATTATATATTTAACAATATTCCATTAAATATAGTATATATAATATTTCATTATATAATGGAATATTATTATATATTATTATGTACATATTATATAATGTGATACATACACCACATTTTTAATGGGTTCAGGAAACTTGGTGAAAAACATCATTTATCTCTGTTTGGCCCATGCTATCTATCTCTTTAGTATACTATTGTTTGGTAACTTGGCAAGAGTGTCAGGACAAAAGCCTATAGCTACCCACTCACAAGGAGGCTTCTTAGATGCTCAGTGGTGGGAGTAAGATAGGACGAAGGTGTGAGCCAATTGCCTGAATGAAAAGGGTATACTGTGTTACTATCAGTCATAGTTGCAGAGTTTTAAAGAAAGGTTTAAAGCACCACAAAGCCCTTTGAGTTTTGAGCTATTGCTGGTAGTACTGGAATGAACAATTTTGTTCTATTAAGTGCTTACGCTTCACCCCAAGCACAGTAGTCTGTCTATTCCCAGTTTCATCTGGCTATTATGTGCTCAGAAATACTAACATCATATTTACAGTTGATTTGTAAGCTTCTGAAATTCTCTTTCACTGCCTGCCCTGATTGCCCAATCACCTCTGCCCTTGATCATGGTCTGCTTCTACTAACACAACATCTGCCTCCCTGGGGTGGTCTGCTCCAGGTCTGAGTCTTTCGGCAAATATTTATTAAACAAGTGCAAGAACCCAGACCCTTTGCTGGTTGCTAAGGACGCAGAGTTAAATAACAAGAGTCCTTCCCTTTTAGTTACCCATAGTCTAGTGATATTAAACAAAGATCTACTTTCTCTTGACAAATTCCTTAATAATGAGAAGGTTAAAAATAAAAGTTTTAGTAATTAAATGAAGCAAAGAAAAAGCAGAAGACAAAAAAAGATGAGACAGCGTAAGATGAGAAGAGCCTTTGCTATTCTGGCTGTTCTCACAGGTTATTTCCTAACTGAAAGGCTCCTCTCCTTTCAGAAGTTTGGCTTCTCCACCTACTGCTTCAATGCTATTGTTCTAAAAATACAAATTATTTCTTCCCCGTTCATGCTCTTTTCTTAGCAAAAACATCCCAATTACAAGCCCTCAAAGGAGGCAGCTCCATTATTATAGGGGCCATGACAACAACCAATTGCACCAGAAGTGGAAAAGTGATGCAATTCAGGTTCATCGGAATGCAGGATCTTGGGAATTTGACATTGACACACCTATGTCAGGTAACAGTGATGAGCTCACAATGAGGTCATGTAGAGTCCAAGCTGAAATCAAAGCCATAGTGGGCCCAAACCACATGAAAACTAAAATAGTGAGGGAAGCAGAGGGACTGAGATGGAGAATCTTAATCTTCAAAGCAAGGAAAAATAAGAGGAAGGGGTGTAGGGAGAAGAGAGAGAAAGGGAGAGAGAGAGAGAGAGAGACAGAGAGAAGAGAGAGACACACAGAGAGATGTTCATATGAAATGCAAAGCAATGGAAAGGCATTAGATTAGGAATCATGGTTTCAATTGTCAGCTTTTCCTTGACTTTCACAGATCATTTTTTCCTTTGTGCTCTAAGTCCTCTTGAAGGGCACTTGGAAGAAAATAAAATTTCGGCCATGGAATGGAAATCTAGCTATAGGTTTCTACTTATATTTCTGAGCACAAAATAAATCCACATTTCATGGAATTAACTTGGAGAATTTCCACATTGTATATGAGATCTGATCCTCCTAGAAATATTAAAAATTATTCTGGATGGATCAGAGTACTTACTAATGTGTAAACTGGTCAAGTTGCTCAACATCTCTAAGCCACCATTTCTTCATCTATAGAATGGGCATAAAAATATATTGTAAGGTTTCTGTAAGGATTAAGTGAAATAACATATGTAAAGTGCTTATCAGTGCCTGGCACTTGGTAAAGCACACTATAAATGCCAATCATTATTGGTAGTGACATTTCTAATAATGGTGTTATCAATATTATTTTTATAATCAAGTTCACTTTCACTGTCATTTCTTTACATCTTTCCTGTTTCCTGATACTTCCTGACCCCCAGCCTCCTATGGCTGATGACAGACATCTGTATCAGCTCTTTCACAGTGTCTATGCTCTGAAATTACCGGTTTTTCAATCATTTTACCTTTTCTTATTCCTCTAACCAACAACCCTATGCCCCCATCAACAATACCATTGTCTACGACTTCAACTATAACCTAAAATAGAAGCAATCCAACTAAAGGGCATAATTAATGTTAAAGCTCAAATATCTGAACTACTCAGGAGTATTGGCCTCTTTCAAATAATACTTGTTAAACCTTAAGCTGGAAAAATTTCAGAAAGTATAAATAATACATTTTTTTCTGCAAGACTTCTTAAAAACAGGAAAAGGCCAGAAAAGACTAAATCTGAATTGTTTTTAAAAATGAATTAAAATACATGTAATAGGCCATTTTACAGTAATTGATTTCTAATATTTATGAGCAATGCAATGCTCTGGGCTAGAAAATTTAACAGTTCTTGAAACTTAACTATTTCAGCTCTAAAACTTAAAAAAATAAAGTGGAGAGGAGCACTCCATTGTATTTTCTTGCAATCCTTTCTAAATTGCCACATGGGTAGGGAGGAGGTATTTTGAAAGAATGGAAAGATATAAAATATGTAGCCCCATTAGAAACAGAATTACATTCTGATTCTGACATTTATTTGCCTAGTGGCCGTAAGCAAAGTCTTTTACTGTCAGCTCCTCATGTTTTGAAATAGTGACAATATTATCTATTCAATGTAATATTTTTATTAGCATTTTGTATTTTATTATGGATATACAGACTGGCAAATACAACAGAAGTTAACTGTCATTTATTCAAGCAGTCAACTATGATAATATTGAAAGTAAACATATCTGGTAATTTGTTAGAATCTCTTTGATTAGACCAGATACAATGTAACTACATTCTACCTTCTTGAGTTCCAAGATGCTTTGTGATATTTGTGTGTAATATAGTACCAGAAATGTATCCTATATTTAATAAATGCTTACGATTTATGGATGTCGACCCAATGATTTCTTTATTTATTAGTAGCATTTATAATCTAGCACCTTTGTCAATGGGTAAGAACTTTTTTACTATAAAATTTTTAGTGGCAATGAAAGTCAATTTTTTTAGTATTATATGATAAAATGGAAATGCAAAATTCTAAAGCTTTATAATCCATATTGAATTCAGCTTCATTTGCTTGCTCTGTGGGTTACAAAAATCCAAACTTCCAAGTTGTAAAGGGATGATTTCCATATTCCTATTATAATCTTTTATGTAATTAATACATGAACATATTCTCATTGTAAAGTTTAATCAGTTGAGAAGTTTATCTTCAGCATCGCTTCAGCACACTCTCCCTAGCCCCATTTGCCTCCCAAAAGTATAGCATGAAGAGCTTTGTTTTACATCCCTCCAAAACCTTTCCTAGGCATTTGTTCAAAACCATACACAAACATATTTTCACAAATGTGATCAGACTTTATACATTTTTGCAACCTCATTTAAACATTTTTGTAGGGTCTTATGCATCTCACATGTCAGTATATAAATTTTACTTACAGTATTTCATGGTATGGGTGTAGCATAATTTAGTTAGCTTTCTGTTGGTGAGCATTTAGATGATTGCCTTTTTTTTGCTCTTAAAATAATGCTCCCTGAAAATTCTTGTTCATGGTTTTTTATGTAGATGTACAATGTTTTTTTTAAAGATAGACCTTAATAAATGGAACTGCTGGCCGGAAGGATAATAAGCATTTTTAGCTTGCATAAATTTGGCCAGCTTGGGAGTGCCATTCTGTTTTCTCCCCACTCTGGTTCTCCAGTATATCCGAAATAATTTTTGACCTCTCCCCGAAATCTTTGCCTTGTTGATCACATTCCTAGTCTAATATGGGCTTAGCAAAGTTCTGTCATGTTGCAAGAGCTCTGGGGAGAGCATATAGAGTCATCACATTGAGGAACTCTGTCATCTCCATCCTTTTTTGGATACATAAATAGGCTTAAAGACCTGGAGAAAATCAGGTCCACTGCTCAGCATAATGAAGAATTTTATACTCTGTCCTTTTCTCCTCTTGGAACTTGCTATGGGTTTCAAATATAAGGAAGGTACTTTCTTTTTTCTGATTGATTTTTTTGAGAAAAAATAATTTTGCTTTATATCTGGCTGTAGATATGCATAATATAGATGTAGATATAGAAAAACTTGCCTTCTTTAAACAGTGAATATATATTTCTTTCAAATGCCATGAATCACTTTTGTCTAAAATCATTTTTTAAGACAACAAAAAATTAAAACAATTCCAAACCACAGAAATTACTCAGACTACATCTTCTTCTCTCAAAGCTGAATTTAGTTAGGTCAATGCTAAAGAAAAAGAAAGAAGTAGACACTATTTATGTCTATATGTTTGTTGAGGTTAAAACATAATAAGCCTTTATGTACTATGTAATGTAGCCTTAAAATAATTTTTAAAAATATTCGTTAAAATAGAAAAGAAGCTCTGAAGAAAAACAATAGGGAGGCTTTAACATAAATATCTAAGTCTCTGGTAAATTATGAAGGTGAAAGGTAAATGGAGTGTAACTGTTCTTGAATAATTAGGGCTCATTAGGGTACACACTATAAAGCAACTTTATTCTTTTCTCTTACTCCCTTCAAACTCAGTTAGATCTTTCCTCAGTGTTGAATGATATCTCAGGCAGGTCACAGAGCCACAAGAGCAATCACAATTCAATAATTAAAACATCCAGTCCAATGCAATAATCAGAACTCCAAATTTCATTTAAATGAAAACTTTCTCTCCTTCCTCAGAAACCAGGCAGGAGGTGGGGTCACCCAATACAGCTTCTCTCTTGTGGGGTCTTTTTGCCTCTCCAGGTAGTTCCCTTGAGTGGGGAATCTTAAAATTTCCCAAGTATGTCCCCTTTCTGGGAACAACTTGACTCTTGAGAAACTCAGGCATCCTTGCCCTATTCCGTGGAAGAGCAGTTTGTGCCCAAGCACTCTGATTTCCCTTTACTTCTAAAAAGAGACAACTCCAGTCTTTAGAAATCTTGAAGGAAGTGTCAGGCACCAATTTCTCCAGGGGACATGCTGATGTCTTGCTATGATTCTCTCATAGCCCTTCTCACCTGGCTGAGGTGATGGAGAAACCCTTCCTCATAGTTGGCAGTAAATAAAGGGAGGTGGGGACACACAGTGATTTAACAGTTTCCTCAGCTTCTGTGTCCATGAAACTTGTAGTCATTTGGCTTGAGGTGAGGGGATACAAATGCATCTTCTTTTTCAACTCTTCCACACATCATCTTTTGCCATTGAAAGTACGTGACCACTAGGGAATTGCCTATCTTTTGAGGGGCATGAGGCTGATACAGTTTTGGAGAAGCCTTAAAAAAAATCCAAAGTAACAAATAAAAATTAAGAATGAATGTGAATTCTTATTTAGAAGATAAAAAGAGGCTGGGCGTGGTGGTTCACACCTCTAATCCCAGCACTTTGGGAGGCCGAGGTGGGTGGATCATGAGGTCAGGAGTTCAAGACCATCCTGGCCAAGATGGTGAAACCCCATCTCTACTAAAAATACAAAAAAATTAGCCTAGCCGGGTGTGGTGGTGGGCACCTGTAATCCCAGCCACTTGGGAGGCTGAGGCAGATAATTGCTTGAAATCGGGAGGTGGAGGTTGCGGTGAGCCGAGATTAAGCCACTGCACTCCAGCCTGGGTGACAGAGCAAGACTCATCTCAAAAAAATAAAAGATAAAAAGAAATCAGAACTAGTTACAAATTTTGAAAATCTCACAAATACTATAAATCTCACAAAATAAAAAATATATATTTTTATTAACTGCCTGACATACCTCTAAAGCCATATAACTTTTGGCCGTCTATTCATTGATCTCCTCTTCATATTCCAGTGATTTAGAAATATGATTTTCTTCAACTTTTGTTTTAGGTTCAGAGGTACATGTGCAAGAAATGTGATTTTTCAATACACGTAATAGGAAGGTATTTCAATTTTTGCTCTGGCATGGTTTATTACATTTTTTATTAGTTTAGAAGTTGTTTCTACCTTTATACATCTCTATTGGAACTGCCATATAAATTTTTGGGATTCTTATTCTTACAAATTATTGTAACATGCAAAAATTACTATTAAGTTTTTTTCATATTTGAGTTATAAAATCTCAGGATGTTTCAAGTTTTCTGGTTCAGTAATATTAAATACTCTTTTAATTAACATTATTTATTGTCTAGAAAGGGCCCTGTGCAAGAGAAGAGGCCCTGAAGATTAATCTTCATTAATTTGCAGCAAATCCAATCCAGAGTGACCTGCTGATGTTGGAAGAACTGGCTTTATATTCTCCTCATATTTATCATCTAGGCCATCCAGCCCCTCGAATTGCCATTTAAGGATGATGCTTGGCACCTAAGCCATTGCTCTTAGCCTTAAGAAAGGTATTTAGGACTCAACTGAAATTGAGACTTTAAGTGATATTATGTAATAATATATGGGATATGAATAAGATGATTATGTTAGTTTAAAAAACTAAATCAGACTTTGTGCCCTATGGACAGAGAACAAATATTGCATCTGTCAAACTTATAAGACACTGTAAGGGCTGCAATCTCTGACAACAATGCAGAAAACATACAAAGTCATTATAAAGAAATATTAGAAAAGATGAATCACTCAAACACTGAAAATGATTATTCTCAGTAACAGTAGGGACAAACAGGAAATAAAAATTAGCAATTACCCAGAAAAGAATATTAATAAAATCACTACCTATAAAGGTCTATGGAATGGTGTTAAAGTTGTAACTAAAGATATACTGAATACATTAAAATTTTATTATTAAACAAAAACAATAAAAACAATATAAGCATTATCCTAAAATATAAAAAGGAGAATAATATATATAAGAAATACAGAAGCTGAGAGTACATTTGTATTCAATAACTGGAAATCAGATAAAAGTAGGAATCATGAATAAATATTGAGTCAGTAGGCCTTGCCTCTCTTGAGGATTTGCTTTGTTTTCCAACTAGGAATCAGATTTGAGACTTAGGCACTTTAGGGAATAGTGTAATGAAGCATCCATTAGCCTATTTATATGTGAATACTGTTTCAGACAAGACTGAGCTGAAAGTTAGAAGAAACTAGCAGGAGATATGTCACTATTTTGAATTATTTTATTAGACATTTCCCGTTCATGACTTGGTGAACCTAGTGCATATTTCTGTATCTATAGCTAGTACAATAGATTTATAACTTCACTATAATTGGCTTACTTTATACTTAAATGTATATGAAACGGTGGAATTTTTAAATAGAAAGGGAAATTTATGAGCCATGAGAAACATGACAAAATTTATCATGGAAATGTTTGCAATACTTCCTGGTAGAGACTTCAACTAATAATAAGTTATGTGAATATTGATTGATTTCCTGTGGTTATATCTTTTTTCTTGTGGTTTTATTTAAAATAGAGACAGGATACAGGTAGAAATACTGGCTGTCCTTCATTTTTGTTTTACATTTTTGCTTTGCATAGTATTTTTTTTAGAATAGGGTACATTAGAAAAATATTGTAGGTATAAAGTCGGTGCATATATTTACGGGGTACATGAGATATTTTGATACAGGCATACATTGTGTAATAATCACATCAGGGTAAATGCAGTAATCATCACTTCAAACATTTATCATTCTTTGTATTATAAACAATTCAATTATACTCTTTGGTTATTTTGAAATGTACAACAAATTATTGCTGATGGTAGTCACCCCATTGTGCCATCAGATACTAGCTCTTATTCATTTTATCTACTATATTTTTATGGTCATTAACCATCCCCACTTCCCTCCAGCCCTATCACTACCCTTCCCAGACTCAAGTAACCGTCATTCTACTCTCCATCTCCATGAGTTCAATGGTTTTAATTTTTAGCTACCACAAATAAGGGAGAACATGTGAAGGCTGTCTTTCCGTGCCTGGCTTATTTCACTTAACATAATGTCTTCCAGATCCATCCATATTGTTGCAAATGACAGGAGCTCATTCTTTTTGATGGCTGAATAGTACTCCACTATGTATAAGTACAACCTTTTCTTTATCCATTCATCTGTTGATGGACACTTAGGTTGCTTCCAAATCTTGGCCATTGTGAATAGTGCTGCAATTAACATGAGGGTGTAGATATCTCTTCTATATACTAACTTGCTTTCTTTTGGGTATATACCTAGAAATGGGATTACTTGTCTATTAGTCCGTTTTCACACTGCTAATATAGACATACTCGAGACTGGGCAACTTGCAAAAGAAAAAGAGGTTTAATGAACTCACGGTTTCACGTGGCTGGGGAGGCCTCACAATCATGGCAGAAGGCAAAAAGCAGTCTCACATGGCAGCAGACAAGAGAAGCGAATGAGAGCCAAGAAAAAGGGTTTCTCCTTATAAAACCATCAGATCTTGTGAGACTTATTTACTGCCACAAGAACAGTGTAGGGGAAACCACCCCCATGATTCAATTATCTCCCACTGGTCCCTTCCACAACACAAGGGAATTATGGGAGCTACAATTCAAGATGAGATTTGGATGGGAACACAGCCAAACCATATCAGCTGGATCATATGGCAGTTCTATTTTTAGTTTCTGAGGCACCTCTAAATTGTTCTCCATAGTGCTTTTACTAATTTACATTCCCACCAACAGGGTGCAAGCATTCCCCTTTCTGCATATCCTCACCAGCATCCATTATTGCCTGTCTTTGAATGAAAACCATTATAATTGAGGTGAGATGATATCTCACAGTAGTTTTGATTTTCATCTCTCTGATAATCAGTGGTGTTGAGCACATTTTCATATACCTGTTTGCCATTTGTATGTCTTCTTTTGAGAAATGTCTACCGAGATATTTTGACTACTTTTTAACTAAATTATTCTATTTTTCCCATAGAGTTGTTTGAGCTCCTTATCTGTTCTGTTTATTAATCCCTTGTCAGAGGGATAGTTTGCAAATATTTTCTCCCATTCTGTGGATTCTCTCTTCACTTTGTTGATTGTTTCCTTTGCTGTGCAGAAGCTTTTTACCTTGATGTGATACCATTTGTCCATTTTTGCTTTGATTGCCTGTGCTTGTGGAATATTACTTAAGAAATCATTACCCAGACCAATGTTCTGGAGAGTTTTCTCAATGTTTTCTTCTAGTAATTTCACATTTTGAAATCTTAGATTTAGGGTTCAGTATCATTCTTCTGCATATGGATATCCAGGTTTCCCAGCACATACATTGAACAGACTGTCTTTTCTCCAATTCATGTTCTTGGCACCTTTGTTGAAAATGAGTTCACTGAACATACATGTATTTATCTGTAAGTTCTCTATTCTTTTCCATTGATCTATGTGTCTGTTTTTATGCCAGTATCATGCTGTTTTGGTTACTGTAGCTCTGTAGTATAATTTGAAATCAGGTAATATGATTCCTCCAATTTTGTTCTTTTTGCTTAGGATAGCTATGGCTATTCTGGGTCTTTTGTGGTTTTATATAAATTTTGGGATTGTTTATTCTATCTCTGTGAAGAATGCCATTGGTATTTTGATAGAGATTGCACTGAATCTTTAGATCGTTTTGGGTAGTGTGGACATTTTGGCAATACTGATTCTTCCAATCCATGAACATGAAACATCTTCACATTTTTTGTGTCCTCTTCAATTTCTTGCATCAATGTTTTATAGTTTTCAATATAGAAATCTTTCAGTTCTTTGGTTAATTCCTAGGTATTTAATTTTATTTGTGGTTACTGTAAGTGGGATTGCTTTCTTGATTTCTTTTTCAGATTGGTCAGTGTTAGCATCTAGAAATGTTACTGATTTTTGTATGTTGTTTTTGTATCTTGCAACTTTAATGAATTTGTTTATCAGTTCCAATAGTTTTCTTGTGGAGTCTTTCATTTCTTTTTCCAAATATAAGATCATATCATCTGCAAATAAGGATAATTTGACTTCTTCCTTTTCAATGTAAACACTCTTTATTTCTTTGTCTTCTCTAATTGTTCTAGCTAGGACTTCCAGTACTATGCTGAATAACAGTGGTGAAAGTGGGCATCTTTGTGTTGCAGATCTTAGAGGAAAGGCTTTCAGTATTTCCCCATTCAGTATAAGACTAGCTGCGGATATTGTGCATATGGCTTTTGTTGGGTTGACATATGTTCCTTCTATAACCACTTTTTTGAGAGTTTTTTTAAATCATGAAGGGATGTTGAATTTTATCAAATGCTTTTTGTGCATCAGTTAAAATGATCATATGATTTTTTGTCCTTCATTCTGTTGAGATGATGTATCACATTGATGGATTTGTGTATGTTGAACCATACTTGCATCCCAGGGATAAATCCCACTTGGTCATAAAAAATGATTTTTTAAATGTGTTATTGAATTTGGTATGCTAGTATTTTACTGAGGATTTTCACATCAATGTTCATCAAGGATATTGGCATGTAGTTTTTTTGTTGTTGTTTGTCTTGGTATGTCTTTACCTAGTTTTGGTATGAGTGCAATTGATATAGTTTGGCTGTGTCCCCACCCAAATCTCATCTTGAATTGTAGCTCCCATTATCCCAACTTGTTGTGGGAAGGACTGAGTGGGAGGTAATTGAATCATGGGGGCAGGTTTTTACTGTGCTATTCTCATCATAGTGAATAAATCTCATGAGACCTGATGGTTTTATAAAGGGCAGGTTCCCTGCACACACTCTCTTGCCTGCTGCCATGTAAGACATGACTTTGCTCCTCCTTTGCCTTCTGCCATGATTGTGAGGCCTCCCCAGTCATGTGGAACTGTGAGTTCTTTAAACCTCTTTTTCTTTATAAATTACCCAATCTTCAGTATTTCTTATAGCAGTATGAAAATAGACTAATACTGGCCTTGTAGAAAGAGTTTGGAAGTATCTCCTCCTCCTCTATTTATTGGAATAGTTTCAATAGGGTTGGTATTATTTCTTCTTTAAATGTTTGGTAAAATTCAGCAGTAAAGCCATCAGGTCCCAGGCTTTTCTTTGCTGGGAGGCATATTATTGTGGCTTCAATCTTGTTACTTGTATTAGTCAATTCAGGTTTTGAATTTCTTCATAGATCAATCTTGGTAAGATGTATGTGTCTAGGAATTTATCATTTTCTTCTAGGTTTTCAATTTATTGGCATATAATTGCTCATAGTAGCCTCTAATGATCCTTTGAATTTCTGTGACATCAGTTGTAATGTCTTCTTTTTTCTTCTCATTTTATTTATTTGGGTCTTCTCTCTATTTTTCTTAGTTAGTCTGGCTAAAGATTTGTCAATTTTATCTTTTCTAACAACCAACTTTTCATTTCATTGGTGTTTTGTACTTTTTTTCATTTATCTCTGCTCTGATCTTTATTATTTCTTTTCTTCTACTAATCTTGGGTTTGATTTGGTCTTGCTTTTCTAGTTCTTTAAGATGCATTGTTAGGCTGTTTATTTGAAGTTTTTTCTACTTTTTTGATGTAGACATGTATAGCTATAAAGTTTCCTCTTAGCACAACTTTTGCTGTATCCCAAGGTTTTGTTATATTGTGGTTCCATTGCCATTTGTTTCAAGAAATTTTAAATTTCATTTTTAATTTATTAATTAATGCACTGGTCATTCAGGAGCATATTGTTTAATTTCCACATATCTGTATCATTTCCAAAATTCCTCTTGTTATTGATTTCTAGTTTTATTCCATTGTGCTCAGAGAAGATGCTTGATATTATTGTAATTTTTTAATGTTTTAAGACTTGTTTTGTGACCTAACATGTGGTCTATCCCTGATAATGATCTATGTGCTGAGGAGAATGTGTATTCTGCAGCCATTGGATGAAGTGTTCTGTAGATATCCACTAGGTCCATTTGTTCTATAGTGCAAATTAAGTCCATAGTTTCTCTGTTAATTTTCTGTCTGGATGATCTGTCAATGCTGAAAGTGGGGTGTTAAATCACCAGCTATTATTATATTGCATTTTCTCTCTCTCTCTTTATCTCTGATAGTATTTGCTTTTTATATCTGGATGCATATATTTTTAGGTGCATATATATTTACAAGTGCTGTATCATATATAATTGCTCTATCTTCTTGATGAATTGACCCCTTTATCATTATATAATGACCTTCTTTTACTCTTTTTATGGTTTTTGTCAGTGATATTGTTTGGCTGTGTCCTCACCCAAAGCTCATCTTGAATTGTAGCTTCCATCATTCCCTTGTGTCATGGGAGGGTCCTGGTGGGAGGCAATTGAATCATAGGGGTGGGTCTTTCTTGTGCTATTCTTGTGATAGTGAATAAGTTTCATGAGATCTGATGGTTTTACAAAGGGGAGTTCTCCTGAACATGCCCTCTTGCCTGCCGCCATGTAAGACATGACTTTGTTCCTCACTCACCTTCAGCCATAATTGTGAGGCCAGCCATTTGGAACTTTGAGTCAATTAAACCTCTTTTCTTTATAAATTACCCAGTTTCAGGTATGTCTTTATTAGCAGCATGAGAACAGACTA
Organism: Homo sapiens; assembly: GCF_000001405.40. Lineage (NCBI taxonomy): Eukaryota > Metazoa > Chordata > Mammalia > Primates > Hominidae > Homo > Homo sapiens. The sequence continues at coordinate 116,294,300 of NC_000007.14, read as the reverse complement.
ATACAGTCAGGAAAACCTATTTTGTCTGATACAAATATAGTAAATGTTGTTCTTTTTTTGTTTCTATTGGCATGGAATATCTTTTCCATCCCTTCATTTTCAGTCTATAGTTGTCTTTATAGGTGAAGTGTGTTTCTTATAGTATCATTGAGTCTTTTTAAAAACTCTATTCAGCCATTCTGTATCTTTTGATTGGAGAGTTTAGTCCATTCACATTCAATGTGATTATTGGTAAGGACTTACTCCTTTGATTTTGTTGTTTTCTGGTTGTTTCATAGTCTTCTCTTCCTTCTTTTATTCCTTCCTGTCTTCCTTTTAGTGATGGAGATTTTCTCTGGTGGTACATTTTAATTTCTTGCTTTTTATTTTTTGTGTATCTTTTGCATGGTTTTTATTTGAGATTACTATGAGGCTTGCAAATACCATCTTGTAATTCATTATTTTAGACTAATGACAACTTAACACTGATTGCATAATCAAACAACAAGCAAAGAGAAAACTAATAAATACTCCATATTTTAACTTCATCTCCCTGCTTTTAAACTTTTTGTTTTTTCTATTTATATCTTATAATACCGTCTATATCTTGAAACATGGTTATAGTTATTTTTTATAGGTTTATCTTTTAATCCTTCTACTCGATATGAGTAGTTCACACACCGTGATTACAGTATTATAATATTCTGTGTTTTTCTGTGTGCTTACTATTACCAGTGAGTTTGGTGCTTTCAGAGTATTTATTACTCATTTATGTCCTTTTCTTTCAGATTAAAGAATTCCCTTTACTATTTCTTGTAGGATAGGTCTGGTGTTGATGAAATTCCTAAGCTTTTGTTTGTCTGGGTGTCTTTATCTCTCCTCCATGTCTGAAGGATATTTTCACCAGGTATATTATTCAAAGGTTATCATCTTTATCCTTCAACACTTTAAATATGTCCTGCAACTCTCCTGCTTGCCTGTAGGGTTTCCACTGAAAAGTATGCTGCTAGATGTGTTGGAACTCCATTGTTTGTTATTTATTTCTTTTGTCTTGCTGCTTTTAGGATCCCTTCTTTATCCTTGACCTTTGGGAGTTTGACTGTTAAATGTCTTGAGATAATCTTATTTGGGTTAAACTTGTACTTGAATATTGATACGTTTATATAGGTTTGAGAAGTTCTTTGCTATTATCCCTTTGAATAAACATTTTACCCCTATCTTTCTCTCTCCACCTCCTCTTTAAGGCCAATAACTCTTAGGTTTGCCATTTGAGGCTATTTTCTAGGTGTTGTGCATGCTTCTTTTTTAAAATTCTTGTTTCTTTTGTCTCCTTTGATTGTGTATTTTTAAATAGCTTGTCTTCAGGTTCACTAATTTTTTCTTCTGCTTAATCAATTTTGTTAAGAGACTTCGATGTATTCTTCAGTATGTCACTTGTATTTTTCAACTCCAGAACTTCTGCTTGATTCTTTTAAATTATTTCAATCTGTTTATTAGATTTATCTGATAGGATTCTGAATTCTTTCTCTGTTTTAACTTGAATTTTGTTGCATTTCTTCAAAACAGCTATTTTGAATTCTCTGTCTGAAAGGTCACGTATCTCTGTGTCCCCAGGATTGACCCCTGTGCCTTATTTAGTTCATTTGGTGAGGTCATTTTCCTTGAAGTTTGTCAGTGTCTGGGCATTGAAGAGTTAGGATAAGGTATTTATTGCAGTTTTTGCAGTCTTGGCTTGTTTGTACCTGTCCTTCTTGGAAAGGCTTTTCAGGCATTTGAAGAAACTTCAGTGTTGTAATCTAAGTTTTTGGTTACTGTAGCCATATCTGCATTAGGAGCCACCCCAAGCCCAGTAATGCTGTGGCTCTTGCAGACTCATAGAGGTATTGCCTTGATAGTCTAGAATAAAATCCAAAATAATTCTCTGGATTACCTGACAGAGACTCTTGTTCTCCTCCCTTACTTTCTCCCAAACAAATGGAGTCTCTCTCTCTCCCTCTCTCTCTCTCTCCCTCTCTCTCTCTCTCTGTGTGTGCTGAGTTTCTTGGAACTAGAGGAGGGGTGACACAAACAACCCTGTACCCACCACCACTAGGACAGTGCTTCAGACCTGAAGCCGGCACAGCATTGGGTTTCACTCAGAGTCAGCTGTGAAACTGCCTGGCTACCACCTATGTTTGCTCAAGGCTCTAGGGCTCTAAAATCAGTAAGTGGCAAAGCCAGACAGACTGTGTCCTTCTCAGGGTGGTGAGTTCCCCCTGGCCCTGTGCAAGTCCAGAGATTCTGTCTAGCAGCCAGGGCCTGGAGTTGGAAACCTTAGAAATATACCTGGTGCTCTATTCTACTGTGGCTGAGCTGGCACCCAAGCCACAAGACAAAATTCTTCCCACTCTTCTCTTCTCTTTCCACAAGCAGAGGAGTCTCTCCTCATGGCTACCACTGCCCTAGGTCCACAGTGAGAACTGCCTTGCTACTGCTCATGTTCACTCAAGATCCAAGCACTCTTCAGTCAGTTATGGTAAATGCTGCCAGGCCTGGGACTCTTGCTTCAGGGCAGTCAGCTCCCCTCTGGCCAATGGCAGGTTCAGATATGTCACCTAAGAGCCAAGGCCTGGAATCAGGGACCACAAGGATATGCTTGCTGCTCTACGCCACTGTGGCTGAGCTGGTGCCCAAACTACAAGACAAAGTCTTGTTTATTCTGCCCTCTCTTTTCTTCAAGTAGAAGAGTTTCTCCTCATAGTCACAAAAGCTGGGAATGTACTGGGTCGTGGCTCTGAATCTCACCCCAAACCCATGGTAAGTACTGCCTGGCTACCACTGCTGATTGTTCAGGGACCAAGGGTTCCTTAGTCAGCAGGTGATAAATCTTGCCAGAACTAGGTCCTTCCCTTCAAGGTGATGGGTTCTCCTCTGACCCAGGGTATGTATAGAAATGTCATCTGGGAGCTAGAGCCTGGAATGGGAGCCTGGGACTCTGCTCTGTGCTCTATCCTGCTGTGGCTAAGGTGGTATCCAAGTTGTAAGACAAAGTACTCTTTACTCTCCCTTCTCCTCTCAAGTGGAAGGAATGGTTCTCTCCTGAAGTTGCAAGCTTCACTGCCTAGAGTTTGGGAAGGGTGACACAAGAACTCCTTAGGCCACCCCAGCTGATGTCTCACTAAGTTGTGTGCACCCCAAGCCCATTGGTTTCAAGCCCAGCACAGCACCAGGAGTTGCCCAGAAATTGCAGTCCTTGTGGCCTGGACTGCCATTCATTTCAAGTTTATTTAGAACCCCAGAGCACTTTAGCCTGTGTTGGCAAGACTTGCCAAAACTCAAGTTCTGTCACTGGGATGGGCTATTTCCCTCTAGCTAGGGTTGGTTGAAATGCTCCCTCTATGGGTACTGGCTGAGTTCTGGCCTTTGTTGCTTTCTGCTGTGACAGAGCAGCACTGAATTCCAATGCAAAATTCCACAGTCACTGCACTGTCCCACCCTCAAGCATACAGATTCTCTCTCTGCATCATGAGGGGCTGCTGTCTGGGGATGGGGGAAGAGTGGTGTAGGCAATTCAAGTCTGCCTTTCCTATCCTCTTCAGTGCCTCTTTCCTTAATATGATGTGGAGAAATAGGAACACTTTTACACTGTTGGTGGGACTGTAAACTAGTTCAACCATTGTGGGAAGACAGTGTGGCTATTCCTCAAGGATCTAGAACTAGAAATACCATTTGACCCAGCCGTCCCATTACTGGGTATATACCCAAAGGATTATAAATCATGCTACTATGAAGACACATGCACACGTATGTTTATTGCGGCACTATTCACAATAGCAAAGACTTGGAACCAACCCAAATGTCCAACAATGATAGACTGGATTAAGAAAATGTGGCACATATATGCCATGGAATACTATGCAGCCATAAAAAAGGATGATTTCATGTCCTTTGTAGGGACATGGATGAAGCTGGAAACCATCATTCTCAGCAAACTATCGCAAGGACAAAAAACCAAACACCGCATGTTCTCACTCATAGGTGGGAATTGAATAATGAGAACACTTGGATGCAGGGTGGGGAACATCACACACCAGGGCCTGTTGTGGGGTGGGGGGAGGGGGGAGGGAATAGCATTAGGAGATATACCTAATGTAAAAGTCGAGTTAATGGGTGCAGCACACCAACATGGCACATGTATGCATAAGTAACAAACCTGCACGTTGTGCACATGTACCCTAGAACTTAAAGTATTTTAAAAAATGATGTTAAAAGCAGGTACTGTGATCACTCACCTGATTTTTGTTTTTTATGAAGGTACTTTTTTGTTTAGATAGTTGTTCAATTTTGTTTTGATAGTTGTTCAATTCCTTTCGGGGAGATGATTGCTGGAGGCTTCTATTTGGCCATCTTGTTCCATCTCCTCCTGTATAGTACTTTTTAATGCTGTCTTATGATTTTCTGATCTTACACAAAGGTCTTAAGTACGTTTGCCTGCTCAGAGAAAAAAAAGTGTATCAAATGTAGGTCTTCCATAGTATGATTCATTTTAATTTTGAGGACTTTATTGGCTCATTACAAAAAATGTTTTCACTAATAATAACAACTTTCTTTTAAATCAAAACACATTATGAAAACACACAATTTTTTTTAGAAAAAGTGTTCAGTAAATATTATTTAACAATGCTTCTCTAACTTCAGCCAAACCAGAGAAGAGTAATTTATGGATTTTGAAAAGTTCATATGTGTAGTTTGCAGAAGTGATATTTGGTACATTCTTTGTGTAGTTGCCAAAATTTCTCCACCAAAAATTAGAACTCATTTGATAAAAATTGTTGACAAAAATAACCACAATAACAATACACAATGTATGATGTGAGAAGCTTATTAATATGATAAATAATATATCTTAAGCGTAATGAAAGAGTTTTTTAACTCCAAAAATTCAGTTTGTATTTAGTACAGCTAGAAGTTCTGTTACAAAAATGCATAAATTCAAGGTTCACTTCTTAATACCTAATTGGTTTTGCCCACTATTCTATAAATAATCCATAAAATTACATGTTCTTTACATCTTCTGTGATAATTAAAACAATATTTAACCAGATTTTAACAAATCTAGCTAATTGTTTCTTCTGTACTCAATTATTTCTACTTACTTCAAAAAAAGTAAACATCAGAACCAAGATCAGGTTTCACGTGTGAGAATTTGGAGTTTTTTTTTTTTAACATAACATCTAAATTTGAAGTACTCTAATTTTAAAAATTAGGATATGATGAATATTTATCAGAAGATCCTCTTTTTCAGATAGTTGAAAACTTTTGTGTATACATTCAGCATCAGAAATAACATATTGATTATTTTGGCTGGGCACGGTGGCTCACGCCTGTAATCCCAGCACTTTGGGAGGCCGAGGCAGGTGGATCATGAGGCCAGGAGGTCAAGAAATAACATATTGATTATTTTAATGGATTGATAGCCATCTTTAATGCCAATACAACATTATGCCTGTAAATTTAGCATTATTGCTTTTCATAAGAAAAAGAAATACAGTGGCATGTTATGCTTTTAAAATTTCCTGATTTGGCCAGGCGCGGTGGCTCACGCCTGTAATCCCAGCCCTTTGGGAGGCTGAGGTGGGTGGATCACAAGGTCAGCAGATTGAGACCAGCCTGGCTAACATGGTGAAACCCCGTCTCTACTAAAAATATAAAAAAAAAAAAAATTAGCTGGGCGTGGTGGCAGGCACCTGTGGTCCCAGCTACCTCAGAGGCTGAGGCAGGAGAATGGCATGAACCCAGGAGGCGGTGCTTGCAGTGAGCCGAGATGGCACCACTGCCCTCCAGCCTGGGCGACAGAGCAAGACTCCGTCTCAAAAAAAAAAAAAAAAAAAAATTCTTGATTTAAGGTAGCAAGGCTTTAAAAATAAATCTACAACTATTTCTTACAAACACTTCAAACTCTGAGAAAGATGAAAGCTAAACAAAGGACAATACTGGTATGAGTCATATATTTATTGAAAAGGAAACATAAAGAACTACCGTGCAGGCACACACTGCTGGACTGTAAATGAGGCTCATTTGAGGCTGGGGATACGTGAATGTGCTTGTTGTGCTGGGCCCAGGGAGCCTCTGGGCACAGCTCTTCATGGAAGTGGCCTGTAGGGTGAGTAGGGGTGAACCCCTTCCTGCAAGCCATGGACGGCAGAATACAGTGGAAATAAAACTTACTCGGTCTGGATGGCAGAATTAGAGATAGCATAGTGGCATGGGTTGACAGCCTCTCCTTCTCCCAATACCTATCCGAAACAAAACCCCAAAGTTAAAAATTCACCAATAGCTTAACAAGAAAAGATAAAACTTCTTTCCATAAAATGTGGAAAGTGATGACTTGATAGAGAGGAAAAAGAATCTTCTGGTTAAATATCATCCATGTACCCCAAACTGGCCAATGGTTTCTCATTTTCCTCAAAGTCCAAGTCCTTAAAATGCCTTCCAGGGCTCTCTATGACCTGGGTCCCAATACTGTGACTTCATCCCCTATTATTCTCCTGATTCACTCCTCACCGGTTGTGTTGGCCTCCTCACTGTGCCTCTAACATGCCGATCACTTTTCCAGTGCAGGCCCTTTCCATCTGTATTTCCTCTGCCAGAGCAGTTCTTCCCTGACAATGTACAGGGCTCATTCCTCCATTTTCTTCAGGTCTATGCTCAAAAGTCACCTTACCAGAGGTCCTTTCAGAACACCCTGTCCCAAACAGCAGACCCTATAGTCTCTGATATGCTTACTGTGATGGTTAATATTGAGTGTCAGCTTAATTAGACTGAAGGAAGCAAAGTATTGTTCCTGGGTGTGTCTGTGAGGGTGTTACCAGAGACTAACATTTGAGTCAGTGGATTGGGAGAGGCAGACCCACCTTTAATCTGAGTGGGCACCATCTAATCAGCTGCCAGCATGGTTAGAATAAAGCAGGCAGAAGAACTTGGAAGGAGCAGACTTGCTGAGTCTTCTAGCCTTCATCCTCCTCCTGTGCTGGATGCTTCCTGCCCTCAAACATCAGACTCCAAGTTTTCCAGCTCTTGGCCTCTTGAACCGACACCAGTGGTTTGCCACAGTCTCTCGGGCCTTCAGCCACAGACTGAAGGCTGAACTGTCCACTTCCTTACTTTTGAGGTTTTGGGACTCGGACTGGCTTCCTTGTTCCTCAGCCTGCAGACGGCCTATTGTGGGGCCTTGTGATTGTGTGAGTCAATAATCTTTAATAAACTCCCCCTCATATATACATCTATCCTATTAGTTCTGTCCCTCTAGAGAACCCTGGCTAAACACTTATTTCATTTTTGTCTATAACACTTATACAACCTGGCTTATATAAATCTGTTTTGTTATTCATTCATTGTTGTCACGTCAACAATAGTAATATTCATAGTTCAGGCACATTGTGTATTTTGTTCACTGCTGTAAAACTAAAATGATACTTGGCACAGAGTTGACACTCAGAAATATGTGTTGAATAAGTAAATTCTGGTGTGGCATAGAGTTCTGGCTGTGGTCCCATCCTGCAGAAGCAAAATTCTTTTAGTATTGTGAGGTCACAGAGTCATGGCATTCTCACTCGCATCTTCCATGGGGAGACAGGTGGAATGGTGAGGTACCCTTGGAAGGTTAAGAGAAAAATTTAGTAAACACTTTTGAGTATATAGACTCTTGCTGCATGATCCCACTGTGTAAGAATTTGCTTATTTCCAGGGCTTCATACCAAGATGGGTATAGCAGAAGCCTACCTGTATGATAAAGGAGTGAATACACTCCCAGCTGGGTGCAGGGGGGCCTGCCAGAGTATCTTTAACAGTGTTTCAGAAAGGAAGTATGTGGCTTCATTGGAGTATTCCCTTTCTTCTCCTTCCTAGCCTCAGTTTACAGAAAGTGGAAAGAAAGTAATATCCAGCTTTCAAAATTAGAGCCAAAATGTCCTACAAGAGATGGCAAGGATGGCAATCAAACAGATTTTACTATGTAATATCCAAGTTACAAATGAACAAGATGTAGAAATATGACCCCTCAATCAATAGATATATAGATCTATTGAGGAATATGTGAAGAATGAATGTAGACATTGATTTTTCTTCTTACTTTTCTTCCAATTAAGCAATCTCTATCTGTGAACCTGTAGTCAATTCAGAGTTCCCCAGACTGGCGTTCTGTTACAGAGGGAGTTTAGATTCAACTTCAGGTGAGTGATGGAGACCCTCTAGGCTGAGCTCCAAGGTGTGGCTTGGTAGTGACAGGCTTGAGGCTGAGCAGAGGGGCATGTTGGTCTCCTGCCTCTTAAGGCTCATATCTAGCTGATGAGATCCCCTTTAATGTCATGTTGTTGTTTTATTTCCTATTTATATTTGAATTCACGATTTTACACATTTTTAAGATGAATATAACATGCCATATTCCTCATCTATACCTAGATCAATTAATAGCTATATATAAATAGACATATATATAATGAACTTAATAACATGAGTTATTAAAGTATATAAAAGAAACTTAACAAAATCCCATATTTCTCATCTATATGTTTGTATATAAGAAGAAAAATCAATGTCTACATTTACTCTTCACATATATTTTACAGGCACCTTCTTTACTATGGTCACCATATTAACACTGAGATCATCACTGTCCATCGCCACCTAACATTAAGCTAACAAAAGTTATAGAAAATGAATTCAACATTCAATGAATACCTTTTGAGCATCTATTGTGTATCAAATACTTTCAAATATAACTTACTTAACTTTCTCAACAATTTGGTGGAGCAGATACTGTCTCTTTCTTTATAGCTGGGGAAATTGAGGCTAAGAGAAGTTGGGTGAGTCATACTTTGCACTCAAACCTCTTTGTTTCAATTTTACTCTATGGAAGTGCCATATAATGCCCCAGAAAAATAATAGACTGCAATGTTTCTCAGCCCTGTCTGTTGAAAAATTATTGGTACCTAGGGAACTCAGCACAAATATTAACACCTTGGCCGCATCACAGAGAGCCCAATTTAATTGATTGGGTAGGGAAGGGAACAGAGGAAGCTAATTTTTAAAAACTCTCTTGATAGGTCTAACATGCAGTCATGGTGAAGATCTACTGATCTATTGTTTCTTATATATACTAAGTTATATTATATTATATATTCATATATTATATATTATAACTAAGTTTCTTATATTTACTGACTGCTTTCAAATTAATATGGCTTTAATTGTTGGGGGGCTGTATATAGTTAGTTCAGCAGTATCATAGACACTTCTGTTTCCTAAACTGGCATGATTTACTCAAAGCTGGCAATCATTAGAATTTTGATATTTATTTTACTGCTTACTCAGTAATATCTATTTCTGAATTGCTATTTTGGAGCTCCTACATGACTCATTAATTGCTATAATAACACCCCAGAAACAAATGTTAACACATCATATTAATAATTTTATCTTAAATCAGAAATATTTGCTCTAAATTTTTAAGGATCAGGTAATGAAAGTGAGCATCCAAACTCCATCTAGCACTAGGGTTTAGTCCTCTACAGCAAATGTGAAGGTCAGGGAAATCTCCAGAGTTTAGTATCACCTGAGAGTTGGGCAAAGTTAGAGCCAAATCCCTGGTAATAAAAATAGGGATCGGGTCATGTGTATATATACTATACACATGGCAAGTTTGTGTTGTGGCAAGTTGTGGCAAGTTTCATCACTGAAAGAGTGAAGGGTCATAGAGAAAATATTTCAAGCTTCCTGAATGCTCCAGGATCAAGGACATACCACAACAAAGTCACACTCTCTTAAGTTATACGGAGTGAGACTTTTTAGCCAGTCAGAAGCTATTCACAGAGCATTTGTAGAATTAGATGAGAGGAAACCTCATAAATCGTTTCATAAAATATTTTCTCTTTACAGATGAGAAAAATGAGGATCTGACATGAAAAGTGACTTGCAGTAGGTGCAAACTAGTGTCCAGGGCTCTGGCCTCCACCTCTGGTCAACTTTCACCACCCCATGTTATGCTAACCCCTGGCATTCTGTTTGTGCACAACCAAGTCTTTAATTTGTCCTAGTAGTCATATTTTTTTCCTCTTCTTCTTAAATTGATGTCTTCACTTGCTGTTTCCTTGGGTGTTGAAACCCAAGTCCCATCCCCTGAGGAACCAACAACATTGAATACGAATATGGCCATGAACTGATTGGCCAAATCTACTCTGACCTGTGCTCCCAAGGTGAATGACCTTGTTGGGGTTGACTAAGTCTTTTCCAGGGAGGTCAACATCACCTCAGCTATTTCAAAACAGAGCTAAAGTTCCAGTCCAGGGAATGGCTGATTCTTCAGGTGTGTTTCTGTGTGCACAACTTGTTCTTTCAACAACCTCCCCATGAGTTTCTGGAATGTGAAGACTACTTTTGTCTGAAGAAACCACTGGCCTACATATTTTTGTTATACACACATGAAAAAATTGTTACAAGAGGTACTGCTGTGACAAGCAATATAAAGTCTTGGACTGTTTCCTAGTTATTTGTCCGTACTTTATCCACCTGCCTGAGGAGAGTGGTACAATTTTGAGAGGAAGCTTGTGAGCGAAGTAGAGTAAATAAATTAACAAATAAGTAGACTGAAGAATAGGCATTAAACTATAAACCAAATACTTTCCATAATGGGTCCCTTTTGGCTGCATGACTTTCTTTGCAAATATCCTTTTTTTTCTAACCACTTGTACTTTCTCATTTTTAACACTCTCAGCCTTACTTAAACCCAAATTACTTCCTTTCTTTTCTCTCTTCTTTCTTCCCATTCCCCAATTCCCACATATTCCTCTTTGACTTTTCTAACTAAAGAGTAATTTTGATCACTGAATATGTAATATATATTATGGAAATTATGTATATATAAAATGTTTGTGTTTATATATATGCTATACGTAGTAACACACACAAACACTTTTCCTCTGCTATTGTATATATGTTATATATTCCTCTGCTATTATATATATTATATATAATTTAATATCAGAGGAAAAGAGAAAAAGCATTTTTCATGCTTATTTCATATAACAGTTCTAACTTTTTCACACTGGAGTAAACTAAAAGGGATTTGCAGGCATCTGCATGGGACCTGTTGAAAAAACATATTATGTATACTTTATCTATATCATTGTGATAAACACAAATATTAATGAAAAGATTGAATATTGAAACAGTCAAATCTTTGCAGTTTTTAAAATGAGACTTCAGTATGCTTTCCTGACCTTTTTTTCTTTGGCATATTTTCATGCCTGAAATGGTTAAACACTTCCTAGTCTCCTAGTCAAGTCTTATTAATGATGATTCCTGCAAGGTCTTAACAATCCTCATTGATAAGACACTTTTTTGCATAAGTTATAAAAATTAAAACCGTTAACATAACAGTTAAAGTGTATTTGAAAAATTTAGCACCTTGTGCCTTTTTTTCAAAAACAACTGTAAAATTAGAATTTCCCTTGCTAAAAAGAATAGATCTTTGAATCCAATACTTTTTTTTAATGCCAAGTATTTTGAAATAATGACAATTTAATTTGGGGACAGGTCTGTGTGTTAGAGGAGCTACTATGCAGCCAGCTTGGATGACAAAACAGAAATATTCAATATCTGTGATGCCAGAATGTAGGGGCCACTACTTGGAGCTACCTCTTTCCCAGCACCCACCTGAGCTTTCTGCTTCTTCCTTCCCTGTCCCCATCCCTTCCCCTACCAGGCTCACCTTAAGCTATTGAACATCTTGGACACCAGCTCTCTTGGCAGTCTCATGGACTCTGTAGTGAGTTGAATAGTGGCCCTCACAAAATATGCCCATGTCCTAATTACCAGAATCTGTGACTATTATCTTACGTGGGAAAAGGAACTTTGCAGATATAATTAAATTAAGGATCTTGAGATGAGGAGATCATCCTGGATTATCTGTGTGGCTCTAAATCCACTGACAAGTTATTTATAAGAAATGCACAGGGAAGACTGCTTAGACACTTCAGGGCATTATAGCAGAATATCATAGTCTGGGTGGCTTGTCAATAATAGGAAATTATTTCTCACAGTTCTGGAGGTTGGAAGTCTAAGGTCGGGGTGCCACCATGGTCAGATTCTTGTGTGAGCCCACTTCCAGGTTGTAGGCTGCCAACTTTTTGCTGTTTCCTCACATGACTAAAAAAAGAGCAAGGTAGGTTTCTGGCCTCTTCTTTTAAAGGCACTAATCTCATTCATAAGGGCTCCACTCATCCCAAAGTCCCTATCTCCATATACTGTTACATTGGGATTAGGGTTTCAACATGTATGAATGTGGAGCACACACATTGAGTCTGTAATAGCAGATTCGGCAGAAGTGGAAGAGGTGATATAGCCTCGGAGGCAGAGATTGGAGTGATGCAGCCACAAGGCCACAAGTCAAAGAATGCCAAAAGCCTCCAGAAACTAGAAGAGACAAAGAAAGACTCTCCTAGAGCTTCCATAAGGAACATAACCCCTGCTGACACTTTAATTTCAGACTTCTGTACTCTAGCACTGCAAGAAAATAATTCTTTTCTTCTTTTAAGTCACTGAGTTTTCGGGAATTTGTTACGATAGCTACAGGAAACTAATGTAGGACCCTTGTCTACAATGGGCAGTAGGCACTTGGGAGGTGGCTGTTGCATCCCACCTGGGCAAAGTGGCAGGAGTGGCCATCTTGGGGTTCCCTACCTGTGTGGCCCATAGCATACCTCAGGCTGCCCTCTGAGGAGCCCAGATGAAGTTCTGCCATCCCTGGCCTTGCTGCCCCAGCGCTGAGGGTCTCAGCATGTTATAGCACAGTAGCTCAGCCCCTATGGACACACTGTCCTGGGGGTGTCACCTAGGGTTGCTATTAGCAGTAAGCTCATCCTCTGCTTGTGATTTCTTCTCATTAGGGTTACTAACTCTGTGTTGAAAAGGCAAACTATTGTGTGTAAAAAAATATCCATAGTTTTGGTAAGAAAAATATAGGTTCATCATAAATTGGTACTAGGAAAAATCACTCATCAGAAAATATTTCTAATTTTATTCTTTTTTTTTATTAAAAGCATTCCTTGAGCAGAATGCAAAAGACACTTGAGAGGTGGTACATGGGTAGAAACCCTTACTGCTTTCTCTAGTTGGGTTTGGAATTATTCTAAATTCATGCATTAGTCTTTTTGAGCTTCATTTTAATTAAATCTCAAACACATTCTTTATTGAGTTATAACAGAATTTGTGAGAAGTTTCCTTCAACCCACTTCAGGTCCCAGTTTGCTCTTTGCACTTCCTTCCTCTGCATCATATGTGGCCCTGATCAGTGAATACTTCCTCTGCCTCTTTGTGTCTGCTTTCCTGAACATTACCTCATCGTTTCTGTCTCCTATAATCATACTGAAACAATTAATGGGACATGTAAAAGACATTTGAAGAAATATTCTATTTGCTTCAGAGAGATCATACTGACCATCGAAGAGGGTGTTTTCATGAACATGCAGTCATCTGAGTTATCAAGAGATGGATTTAAATTGTTATTGTTATTTATTTTCCTGTAACAGGTGCTTTTTTATTTTTATCTTTTTTTGAGATGTAGTGTCGCTCTGTCACCCTGGCTGGAGTGCAGTGGTACAATCTCGACTCACTGCAACCTCCTCCTCCCAGGTTCAAGCAGTTCTCCTGCCTTAGCCTCCTGAGTAGCTGGGATTATAGGCATGTGCCACCATGCCTGGCTATTTTTTGTATCTTTAGTATAGATGGGGTTTTGCCATGTTGGCCAGGCTGGTCTCGAGCTCCTGACCTCAGGTGATCCACCCGCCTTGACCTCCCAAAGTGCTGGGATTACAGGCGTGAGCCACCGCGCCTGGCCAACAGCTGCTCTTAAGTGCCCTGTTCTGTCAAAACTGTTCAGTGGAGACCATGCTGCATAACAATGTTTCCTCAAAGCATTTTGCAAAGTGTGTATACCCTGAGCATTTTTATGTATTATATAAGGTAGAATGATCTCACCCATGGAGTCTAAATTGGGCTTTGCAGTGGTATTCTACAATCTGCACATGATGCCACATCCATGCACAACCGTGGCTATTCCTAGCCTCAGATGATATTCCAAGGAATTGGGACAAGCATTTTACCCAGGATAACCTGTGGCCATAATTTATTGAAAAAATTTACAAGGAAAATACCAAAATAGACAATTTGATAATTTAAAATTAGTGATCGACCAGCTTTTAGGGTTCTTGAACTCTAATGATGAGCTCACAGTTGTTGGGGCAGAGGGAGGGAGAAGAAAGGTGGGTTCCCTTCTTCTAGGCCAGAGCATGGTAATATTAAACAGTACACAGGCAGAGCATGAGCAGTGACCACACTCACTTCTAGAAACTTCCTGGGGTCATGGCAGAAGTGACAGCAGCCATAGCAGCAGCGCTGGGGACATTTGTTTCTGTAACTGCCAGCTTATGAATAATGCTGGTGGAGTCCTTTCATCTCAAGAAATACTATCTGCATTGTAGCTAAGAAGTCCTAAGGCTGACCCTTCGGATATAAGTAAGCACCTCTGTAGTTTCTTGGCCAAGAATTATATTCTGGAGGAAGATGAAACTCTGTTCATCTAGGCAGGTAGGATTCATTTTCCTTTGGCAAATTGATTTGGCACATAATGTGACCAAAGCTCTAAGTAATGTCATTGCTCCATCTTGTAGATGGGAAAACAAGGCACAAAGAGATTCCATACCTTGTACAAGATCACAGTTCATAAGTGGCAGACTCAGACTCAAACCCATGCAGTCTGGCTAGATACTCTGATATTCTTAGATTAGCATTTACAGTAAAGACAGCAGAAACACTGCTTTGCTTTTATTCAAATCATTGCTCCAAGGAATGGAATAAATTATGTATGAGATATTTACATGTCAAGATGAGCTACTTCACAGTATGATGGGAGGGTATCTCTGGAATTTTACAACAGACCAGGGTCAGGCAAGAATGTCTAGTGTTCTGCTTTGGAAAAGTTGAAATTGCCTGGGTACACATGATTAAAATTATATTTATTTTAGCAAAACATTTTGAGTCTGTCAGTTTTATACCTTGAGGTTTGGAAAACCTGACATTTTCTTAGTCTTAAATTAGTGTAATCTATTTTAGCATCAGCTTTCTTCATTTTCTAATTAAATTCGAGCTTTATTTAAAAGTGAAGTCTTTATTAAGGCAAATGTTTTCACAGGTAGGTTGTTTAGCTTAACCAAACTAGTATCCAAGGTGACCCCTAGAACATAAACTCTGGAGATTGTGAAGTTTAGGAAGGTTGAAAACATGTGCTTGATTTTCTTGAGGAATTTTAAAGCCTCAACTAATATCATTTTCAATCAATTTTTGGAACATATACAAAATTTTCTTCATTGCCATTAATGTCTGCAATGCCAGGTTGTGGCTATTGCTAGATCCCTACTATCAATTGACACTTATTCAATATAATACCCTTAAATTTTTCTTCTAAACTTAATTATAAATTGTTTATGTCACTATTTTTTCTAGGAGAGTCTAGCTCATAAAAAAGGAAAATTTCATGTATTATATTAAGACCCAAGCCAAAGTTGCAGGTTTGCTTTGGAAAAATTGTTTAAATGAAGAGAGAAATTGTCAGTTAATTAAAAACACCAGCAAGTGGAGAATATCTTTTTTTAAAACCTTTGTTTTATGTTCAGGGGTACATGTTCAGGTTATATAGGTAAATTGTGTGTCACGGGGATTTGGTGTACAGATTATGTCACTACCCAGGTAATAAGCATACTCTCTGATAGGTAGTTTTTGATCCTTACCCTTCTCCCTCCCTCTACCCTCAAATAAGCCCTGGTATCTCTTGTTCCCTTCTTTGTGTCCATATGTACTCAGTGTTTAGCTTTCACTTATAAGTGAGAATATGCACAATTTGATTTTCTGTTCCTGTGTTAGTTTACTTAGGATAATGGTCTCCAGCTCCATCCATGTTGCTGCAAAGGATATAATCTCATTTTCTTTATGCGTGCATAGTATTCCATGGTGTATATGTACCACATTTTTAAAATTTAGTCTACCATTGATGGGCATCTAGGTTGATTCCATGTCTTTGTTACTGTGAATAGTGCATGCATGTGTCTTTATGGTAGAATGATCTATATTCCTTTCGGTATATACCCAATAATGGGATTACTGGGTTGAATGGTAATTCTGCTTTGAGTTATTTGAGAAATCATCAAACAGCTTTCCATAATGGCTCAACTAATTTATATTCCCACGAGCAGTGTATAGGCATTCCCTTTTCCCTGCAATCTTGCCAGCATTTATTATTTTTTGACTTTTTAGTAATAGCCATTCTGACTGGTGTGAGATGGTATCTCATCGTGGTTTTGATTTGCATTTCTGTAATGATTAATGGTGTTGAGCATTTTTTCATATGATTGTTGGTTTCTTGTATATCATCTTTGAAAAGTGTACGTTCATGTTGGATAAGAAAGCAAGACGCAGCAGTATGCTGTCTTCAGAAGACCCATCTTATATGCAATGACGTCCATAGGCTCAAAGTAAAAGGATGGAGAAAAATCTACCAAGCAAACAGTAAACAGAAAAAAGGAGGAGTTGCTAATCTAATTTCAGACAAAACAGACTTTAAGCCAACAAAGATCAAAAAAGACACAGAAGGGCATTACATAATTGCTTATTTTGTTTGTTTGTTTTTTGCTTGTTGATTTGTTTATCATCCTTATAGATTTTGGGTATTAGACTCTTGTTGGATGCATAGTTTGCAAATATTTTCTCCCATTCTCTCTGTTTACTCTGCCAATATTTTGTTTTGCAGAAGGTCTTTAGTTTAATTAGGTCCCATTTACCCATTTTTGTTTTTGTTGCAGTTGCTTTTGGCATCTTTGTGGTAAAATATTTGCCACCAGACCTGCCTTACAAGAGGTCCCAGAAGGAGTGCTAAATATAACCTGCCTTACAGGAGGTTGCCAAGGGAGTACTAAATATAGAAAGGAAAGACTGTTACCAGCCACTACAAAAACACACTTTAAGTACATGGACCAGTGACACTATAAAGCAACCACACAAACAAGTCTGCATAATAACTAGATAACAACATGATGACAGGATCAAATCTGCATATGTAAAAACTAGCCTTGAATATAAATGGGCTAAATGCCCAATTAACACTGAGTAGGCAGTTGGTTAAAGAAGCAAGACTCAACAGTATGCTGTCTTCAAAAGACCCATCTTATATGCAATGATGTCCATAGGCTCAAAGTAAAAGAATGGAGAAAAATCTACCAAGCAAACAGAAAACAGAAAAAAGGAGGAGTTGCTAATCTAATTTCAGACAAAACAGACTTTAAGCCAACAAAGATCAAAAAAGACACAGAAGGGCATTACATAATGGCGAAAGCCTCAATTCAACAAGCTGACCTAACAATCCTAAATATATATGTATCCAACACAAGAACACCCAGATTATAAAGCAAGTTCTTAGAGACCTATGAAATGACTTAGATAATCGCACAATAATAGTGGGAGAATTCAAACACCCCACTGACAATATTAGATTATTGAGGCAGAAAACTAACAAAGATATTCGGGACCTGAACTCAATGCTTGACCAGATGGATCTAACAGATATCGACAGAACTCTCTACCCAAAAACGATTGAATATACGTTCTTCTCATCTGCACATGGCACATACTCTAAAATCAGCCATGCAATAGGCTTAAAACAGTCCTCAGCAAATAAAACAAAAAAAAAAACTGAAATTATACCAACCATACCCTTGGACCACAGGGCAATAAAAGTAGAAATCAAGACTAAGAATATCACTCAAAACCACACAATTACATGGAAATTAAACAACCTGCTCTTGAATGACTTTTGGGTAAACAATGAAATTAGGGCAGAAATCAAGAAATTCTTTGAAACCAAAGCAAACAAAGCTACAATATACCAGAATCTCTGGGACATAGCTAAAGCAGTGTTAAGAGGGAAGTTTATAGCACTAAATGCCCACAACAAAAAGAAAGATCTCAAATTAAGAACTTAACATCACAAACCAACCCCAAAGCTAGCAGAAGACAAGACATAACCAAAATCAGAGCTAAACTGAAGGAAGTTGAGATGTGAAAAACCATACAAAAGACTAATGAATCCAGGAGTTGAGTCTTTGAAAGAATTAATGATATACCTCTAGCTAGACTAATAAAAAAAGAGAGAAGTTCCAAATAAATACAATCAGAAATGACAAAGGGAATATTACCACCAACTCCACAGAAATACAAACTCTCAGAAACTGCTGTGAACACCTCTATGCACTCAAGCTAGAAAACCTAAAAGAAATGATACATTCCTGGAAATATACAACCTCCCAAGATTGAACCAGGAAGAAACTGAATCCCTGAACAGAGAATATCTCTTGTAAAGATGTCTTCAAAATCTCAAACTCCAGTGCTCCTTCTTTTAAGAACTCCAGGCGTGTCTTACCAGTAATGTCCCCCTGGAGATGATACTGACATTTTGAAAAACATTCCTCAAACAGAAATCACCATCTTCCTCTTTCAAATCCTGTTCCTCTCTAGCCTGTGCTCTCCATATGCTCATCCATTACTGAAGCTAGAAACTGAATAATTGTCATTGATTCATATTTAGTACCTGTTGGCTTTGCTTCTTAAGATAAATTCCAAATGGGGTTGCTGAATTATTTTTTTAACTTTTTATTTTCAAATAACTTCAAACTTACAGAAAATTGGCAAAAATGTACTAATGTTTTTGTATAGGTCCTTCACCCAAATTGGTTACCAAATTTTAACATTTTCTCATATTTGCTTTGCTTTAGCATTCTCTCTATATACACATGTGTATAAATATATAGTGTATATATGTACATATACACACAAACACACACACATAGACACCAACCAAGACCGACCAATTATATAAATATATGCATTTTATATATAATATTTATCTATTTTATTCTGTGTCATTCAGGAGTAACTTACAAAGTTCATGTTTCTTTCCCCTTAAATATTGCGTTATTTTCTAAGAATAAAAACATTATCCTATGAAATCACAGTAAAATTTTCAAAATCAGAAAAGTTGATATTGTACTATTATCTAATTCATAAGATCTATTCAATTTATTCTAATAGTCTCTTTGATGTCTTTTATAGCATGTATTTTACAGGTCCACAATGCAATGAAGAATCACAGTTGCACTTAGTTTTCAAATCTCTTTAGTCGTCCTTGATCCGGGGTGGTTCTTTGACCTTTCTTTGTTTTTTATAACTTTTTTTTTTTTTTTTTTTTTACAGAACAGCCCATTGATTTTATAGAATGATTTTCAAGACTAGTTTCAGCTTATGCATTGTTGTCAGGGATGTAACATAAGTAATGTAGTGTTCTTCTCAGTGCATCACATCAGAAGGCTCACAATGTCTGTCTCATTACGAATTATGTTACCTTTGATCACTTGATTAAGTAATATATTGACATTTTCCCCTCATTCACTTCTTCACTCGCCATGAACACCTGGATGTTTAGTTATGAAATTCTACCAATTCAGATATTCTCCTTCATTCCCATGGGCTTTGCCCAGACACTAGTTTCCCAACTATATCTCACGTACAAACCCTTCTTCCATATTCTTGCCAAAGTTAGGTTTTTAAAATACAAATTTGGCCATGAATTTTCCACATCTTTATTAATTAAGACTTTCTGTTTTACTCGATTCCTTATAGTAGCATTTCCAAACTCTCTTATATGGAACACTAACTTTTCAAAATATCCGTGCAGCTAAAGGGATATTTGGTGAACTAAGTATGGGGAATTTTATCTTTATTAACATATCTTGCAGAACCATATACATTAGCACATTGAAGACTGTGAGAAGTTTTACAGAAAAAAAATTGAGCATTTCCCACACTTTCTTGAAAAAGAAAAATTTGTTTGCTAGTCCCCATAAATAATCCAATAAATAAGTGGTCTATGGAGTTAATATTTTATAAAACACCTTTGGGAAAATGTCACTGAGTATAGTCATACTCTTCAGCTAGCCTTACAGTGATACTCATACCCCACTTCCCTTCTTCACCAACCCAAAGTCCATTAGTCTTCCTGCCAATAACCCTCTTATCATCGGTCAGAACTGTTACTTCTCCCTGATGCTCATGTCTTCTTACTGCATAATGCCTTCTGTCTACAAGACTGTGGTGAAACTATGTTTGGAATGCCCTTTGCTATCCCAATTCCCACCCTTCTCCTCCTGGGTCACTTATTATCTTATTAAGACCCAGTTCAAAGGTTGCCCTCCTCCCCCAAGTCTTCTCTGCTCTCTTCTTCTCCCTTTTTGTGTCCCTCTATTGAGGGCTTATCACATTGCATATGATGGTCCTAGTCTGTTAGAGCTGCTGTAATAAAATACCATAAACTGAGTGGCTTATAGGCAACAGAAATTTATTTCTCCTAGTTCTAGAATCTGGAAAGTCCAAGATCAAGGCTCTGGCAGATTCACTACCTGGTGAGGGCCCACTTCCTCATAGTCATCTTCTCACTCTAGCCTCACAGGGTGGAAGGGGCAAAGGATTTCTCTCAGACTTCCTTTATGAGGGCGCTAATGCTATCCATGAGGGTTCCCCCATCCTCCACCATGACCTAATCACTTCCCAAAGGCCCACCTTTTAATAACCATCACCTTAGGGGTGAGGATTTTGGCATACGAATTTTGAGGGGACACAAACATTCAGTTTGTGTTTGACAGTTACTTGTTTGCATGTCTGCCTCTGTCCTCACTTGGTGAGCTTCTTATATGCCTTGTAAATATCACGGTATTTGGTAAGCTCTGAGTGTTGACTATTGAATAACTGAGTAAACACAGACTTGACATTTTCTACATACTGATTTAATCTGGTGGATTTGTTAACATCGGCTATACCTGGTGACCATATCAGATTGTTGGTACTGAAGGAATTTTTGTATCAAGCCCAAATTACAAGTAACCAAATAGAAATTTTTATTTTTCAATCCCCTTTTCTCATGCAACTCACCTGTATTTAGAAATGTGTGTTACAAATTATAAGAAGGAAATAACTTGATTATTTTATTTGAATATTAGTCAAAAGCAGCAGGTAACAGACATATTTCCATTTCATTTACTTTATAAGATTCATTAATTAAGAAGATATGATTATTTTATTGCTTAGTAAACAGAGCAAACTTTCTGGCATATATGTATTTTATATTTCTGAAGCATAACTAATTCTCTAATTTGGAAGAATATGTGAGTTTGATACATCTAGCTTATAGTATAATTCTAAATTTCTAGCCACAAATTTTCCAGTTTTTCCGTTCATTCAGTATGTCGTCACTAATCTTTTTTTCATTTCAGATATTTGGGTATCTAATGATATTTAAAAAGAAAAAAATATAATATTTGGTTAGTACAGTGTGTCTAGTTTTTTTGAAATTATATTTAGACCTTGATAGTCTTAATTTATTTTTCTAGATAAATGCATGTTACTGCATTTAATAGTAAGAAAACCCATTTTCCTGAACTTACTGTAAACAGGTGAATATATGGTGATAAACAGTGTTCTTGCATCATCTATGACTTTTGTAAACACACTTTGTCTTGTAATATTCTTTACCTTCTTTCAGTTAAAGATGTGATCTGTCAGATGCTTACATTTGTTAAACAACATTGACAAAAGCCTTAGCCTGTGACACTTGTGCATTGTCAACTTCATTTTCCCACTTTCCTTCGCCATGGGACTAGCTACTTCATTGCCATAACAGGAAAGCAGGATCATCTAAAAAAGCCAAGCTGTGGACTCTTTCCTCATCAGAGACCTCAGAGCCTGAATGAGTGCAATTTAGTTTCTGTCCCTTTGGAGACAGTTGTAGGGGAGTAAGCTTTCCGTAGCAGGAGAGACATGGTGATTTTTTCCCTATTGCACTCCAATTTTTCAAGAATGTGTTTGAAATCAGATGTCGAACTAAACTCTAAGTTTAGTTTTATTTCAAATACATTCCATACAGATTGTAGCACAGGATAGGGTATATTACTCAGCCTCCCTCCACACTGTGACTCATAAGGAAACCCCTTTTACCAGCTGCCAACAAATGAAGAGCTTGGGTTACCAGAGTTTGAGCAAGCACAGATGCAGAATGATCTGGAGCTGGGCAGGGACAGAGTGTGCATTCCAGGTTGGCAAAAGTGCACAGTTTACAATTGCAAGGCAAGGTTGGTGCTTGAGAACAGTCAAGGAGGCTGATAGATGCTTAGTAAATCAGGCTAAGAATGCATGATTTTCTCCCCCCGCATACTCCTAATGTGTTTTCAAAGCGGAGATATTAATTGTAAATTTTCCAAAGTGCTTTCTTTGTTGTTAATGGGTAAGCCATTTAAATATCTCTACAGCTGCATAGTTCTGATCCAACCCCCAAATCACAGCTAAACTTCTAATGCTGCAGTATGTGGTGGCTTGAATCAGCATTACCATACAAGGCAGCTTTGAATTCCTCGCAGTAACCTTTTATTACTGTTTTTAAGTTTCCCAAGCACTGCCAAATGTCTTGAACTTTGTGGAATGATTATAAACTTTATAAATATAAACCTTTGGTTCCCCTTTGAAATTCTGCTAAAGAAGGCCAAAATTATATTAACAGTGCATATATTTCAAAATCAAAGACCTGTAATACCATTTTGATTATTCACTCTTGGAAAAAAAATTGTTGGGATCATTGGACAATTGATAAAGGGGCATTGCAACAGCTGTGCTGACTTTCAGGAAAAAAAAATGATACAACCCAGAAACAATGTTTGGGCTGAAAAGCGGGCCTGCATGTCTGGTTGTTTGCAGATGCCTGGGATATTTAGAAAGCTGCCCCTTTAAAATCTCCAAAACATTTTGTTAGAAACACTTCGTAATGGAAGTATGTTGCCCTTGGCACCTCGGCAGAGCAATTCTTGCTTTCATTTCAAAATATGAGAAATTTCTTTAGAAACAGAAAGGGTTTTGTCTTTTGCAAGCTGACATGATGCATGGCCCAGAATCAATCCGATGTGGAGCAACTCCTTAAGGAGAGAAGAGCTTTCTCAAAGAACAGGCTACAGCTTTTGGAAGCTGCAAAGGCACATGGAAGAAATCTCTGTGAAAGGGCAAGCAAGCAAAAGAAAACTATTTCTATGTGGTGCTGACATCGTGACCTGACATAGTTCATATGAAAGGGAAGAAGATATACATTCAGTATTAAGTATGTCATGGTGAACACAAATTCACACTTTAGGCCTTGATTGTCAGGGTGTGAATTCCAGGTCTTTTACTTCTTAGCTTGGTGGCTTTCCAAATTACATAATCATAATAATTCTACTGCCCTCAGTTATTCTATCTGTAAAATGATAAAGTACCTACCTCGAAGGGTCGTTGTGAGGATTAACTGAGTTTGTATGTATAAAGTAGATATAACATTGACTAGAGCCACTTTTTGAAATAATGCTAAGAAAATTTTAAATAGAACAGAGTAAGAATAAACTTTATCTTTAAAAGTTTTCCAGTAAATTTACTCTCATATGATAATACTTGCCCTAACACACACACACACTCGCTTGCTCTCACACATGCACACTGCTCACACACGCTCACACACACTTGCACACACACTCGATCACACACACACAACTCACTCGCTCACACATGCATGCAAGAGATGATAAAGAGGTCATTCTAATGTTTTTTCCTCTCCTATTTGTAAAATCTATAAGTACTTTGGAAAAGGTTCTATAATTATCCTGCAAAGTTCTTCTGGATGGGAATAAGTCATAGAAATTCCATTTCATTTTATAAGTTAAGAATCAAGAACCCATCTCAGCCTTCGATGAGAATACTGAATCTTCCCTCTGAGGTGCCACCCTTTAAGGCAGGGGCTTCACCTGCCATGTTTGCCATCTTATGCCAGCCATTGGAATGGGCAGAAGGGAGTGCTTAATAAAGATTGAGTGGTGATGATAATTCATAATAGTGTTTCATAGTTCATTACCTTACGGATTTTGCAAAACAGCATATGGTATTTCCCAGTAGAGGCAAATGCTGAGTGCTGTGCCATTTGGTGAAAAAAGGAGCATGACATGGAAAACCAATTCAAAATGAAAGCACCTCATGTTGCTGCGGACCTATGCTGTCTTCCAGCTCCTCTCTTCCTTGCTCCCATTTCACACCCATCCTCAGAACTTTGTTTGGACCAAGGGAAAAGAGAGAAAATGTGTGTGGGATAAAAAAGAATGTACTATATGACTTTGTCAAGCAGAGCTGCCAGTACTCTTATCTCCTTCCTTACAATTCTCTCTTACAAACACATAAATTATTCAAAGGTATCTTACCTAAATTTTATCAGTTGCAATTAAATAGAAGTAATTTATTTAAAAATTTGACAAAAAAGTAATAAATCAGGTAAGTCACTAATTACGAATACTATTGCATACCATCTTTCTTTGGAAAATTGTACATATTCACAAACTTCAGGGCTAAGCACTAGATTTTCTCGCTACTATTGCATTTATCACAATGGATTGCCAGTTTGTTTAAATACCTCTCTCGTTTATGAGATACGACACTGTAAACTTCTTGAGGCCAAGGTCTACATTGTATAAAAGTTTGTACTCATAGTACTCTGGAGTTCATGAGTGACTAATAAATCCCTACTTCCCCCAATCTTCCTTAAATAAATGTCCTTTATTTCATAGAATCTGGAGAACAAACAAGGTCCTGTATTCTAAGTTCTTTCCCACTGAATCTTTAGCAGCACCAAAGGTGTTTCTCACTTTAGCACCTGGAGTGTTGAGGATTCCATTTGTTCAGCATAGAAATTCAAGAACCAAAGACTCTCTGTGAAAATATAGGCTTTCTGTTTGCTCCATGACTGTGATCCTAACCTCTGGAATGTACTGTCCTGAAAATAGTGCTCACCAGAATTTCTGAGTCTAGAATATTATAAATATTCCTGATGTTTATAAACTCTTAAATAGAGTTAATAGAATTAAGTTTAAGGCTGCACAACTGCATGAATAACTAAGCAAAAGAAGAAGAAAGGTAGATGAGAAGATGAAAGTTAATATCCAAAAAAATGCATCTGTGTAAATAACAAATTATATGAATTTGTATAAATAACATTTTATAGCATACAGGGCAAATGTATGTGTTTTATAGAAATTCCCTTTTATGTATCTGTTATATAATAACAGAATTATTATATAATAATTCTATTCAGTAGGTGTTAGATGTCTTGGCCACATAAAAAATGACCCCAAATTCAGCAGTATAAAACAACCATTTATTCTGCTTATAGAGTCTGTGGCTTAGGAATTTGAATGGGACACAGTGGGTTCAGGTTTTTCTTCTGATGTCAGGGGCTTCAGCTGGAAGACTAGAGGCCCAGGATTGGAACTGTTTGAAGATTTGTTCACCCAGGTTTCTGGCAGTCAGTGCTGGCATTGGGCTGGGAGCCTCAGTTCGTCTCCATGTGTCTTTCCACATGGACTCTCTGGGTGGAAAACTTTGGGTTTCTCCACAGTATTATGATTGGGTTTCAAAAGCAAGCATTCCCAGGGTAGATGGTGGGGGAGAGAGAAAGAGACAGAAAGAGAGAGAAAGATAGAGAGAGGGTGAGAGTGATCCTGGAGAGCTCCTATCACCTCTGATGACCTTGCCTAGCCAGACAGACATGCTGCAGTCTGTTAGTCCAGGCAGTAACAAAGTTCCACTCAGTTTCAAGGAGAGGGAAGATAGACTCCAGATGATTGTCGACAAGGTTCTGCAAGAACGTGTGACCAGAAATATTGCTATGATCATTTGTGAAAACATAAGCTGCCATATAGGGATTGATAGTCCTGTTTCATAGGTGAGAAATCGAGGCACAGCTTAAATGGTTATTCACATCCCCACAGCTGGTAAGTTGAGGGTTCACACTTCAATCCAATTCTTTTGATTTAGCAATATAATTTTGCCACTACACTATAACTGTGGAGAGCCAAACCTTCACACCAACACTCCACTTATATGAAGAGATGAATGACTTTCGATGAGATGTATTTTCTTCTTTCAATTGGTAAAATATAATTATGAGACTTCTTATGAAACATGATATTTTAAACTGAGAACATTAATAAGAGAAAATTATAATAAAAATTTCCAAATTTCCCCTGAACTATGGACTGATAACTTTTAAAACTTTGTATTTTGAAATAATTTGAGGCTATAGAAAAACTGCAAACAATATTACAAAGAATTTGTTTACCCTTTACCCAGATTCCTCAACTGTTAACATTGTACCACATTTGCTTTCTCATTCTCTCTCTACTATACTTTTTTTAAACACTTATGTGTAGGTTGCAGATACGATAACTCCTTTACCCCCAAATGCTTACTTCAATGTGAATTTCTTTAAAACAAAGACATTCTCTTGCATGATCACAGCAGGAAATTAAATATTATATAATGCTATTATCTAATATATGAACCTTACTAGCTACAATTTAAATAGACACTAGAATAGAATAATTTTTTTCAGGAAAAGCAGCAAGTCAATATATTTCCTTTTATCTTCTCACAAAGGAAAAAGCTGCTATTCAAAGGAGTAACTACTACCTTGGAGAAGTTCATGATTCTTTAAGACATAATAGATGTGGGTTTTAAAAAATAAACAAAGCTAATTTGTCTAGGAATTATTTTTCTCTGTGTGAGTCTGCTTTTGTTAATGGTCCTCTTCTCTGTCAGTAAGATGGGACTATAAGATGTCTATCATTTATAGGATGCAAGTGAAAGCAGTGTAGTTAATGAAGAATCTCCTTCAACTTGTAAGAGTAGCTAATGAAACTCTAGCTAATGAAGCTAATGAATACAGAATGAAACTGTAGCTAATGAGTCATTGGGCTGCAGTATTTAGGCTGATTCAATGTAATATACATGAAATATATTTATTTTTTCTTTTTATCCATATCTGGATTATGGTAAATATTTAATTCCTGTTTGATGGATTTTATTAATGAATGAATAAAACTATAAATTAATAATACATCAAATAGAGAAAGAAGAGAATAGATCAGGAGTAAGTTTGGGAAAGAAAGTAAAATTTAGAGGAAGAAAAGTTTAGGAGAAAAATTCAGAAAGGCAAAATAAAATGAAAAAGAAAGATAAGAGAGGAATGGGTGATATATTGTCATCTGTTGCATGGTTTATGCATAGGTGAAGTTAATGGATACGGCAATCAGTGGCTCATAATAGTACAAGAAAATCAATGTGCAAACTGGGACCTGAGATTTTAGAGGAAATCTGAAATTCCCTAGGGGAAAAGGGAAAATAAGGAATTGGCATTGCTAAAACAGTTAATACTACAATCTTTTCTGTAGTTTATTGTCAGATAAGCAGATCCTTGACAACCTTTGCAATGCAATGAATACTCAGAATTTTTTAGGTCTCGGAACTTGCAGTATCTATTGTGGAAATACAGAAACTGCTGATATAATTTCACCAAAAAAGAGAAAATACACTAAACTTGTCATTGCTACCTGGAGAAAAATAAAGTAACGTAAAAATCATTTCAAAACTGTCTTTGTCCTATCACATTTGATAAGGAGACTGGAGCCCCAGTAAGCTATTATCAGATGTGAATGGTAACTTTTGTCTGTTGACTTCTTCATCTATATCTCTAGCCAGAGTTTTTTCTTGAGCATCCACTTTCAGGTCCCAAACTGCCTGCTGTACTCCTCCACTTGCCTCAAGCTCCACATACTCCCAAGTGAACTGATCATTTTTCTTCTCAGCTCTTCCCTAAGTGGATTTCTCATTTCTGTTGAGGTCACCACCATTCTTCCAATTGGCAGGGTTGTCTTTGACTCCTCCCTGTCCTTCAGTCCCACTGTGACCATGCCTCATAGATTCTATTTTTGCAAAGTTCCCTTTTATCCATCCACTTACCTAGGGTAACAGTGAGAGCAACCTCTCATACTAGAGAAGATATTTTGACATCACAAACAGCTGCTTTGGCATCACTTCCGTTGTCTCCTGTCAGTGACAGGTCTTCATTATTTTCATTTTCTGTTACCTGCATGTCTCTTCCATGAGCCTTTGAACAATTGACAGCAGAAGTTTTTGCTCTATTCACCCTCAGTTCCCCAGCATCCCAATATGACTCATGACTTAGTAAAGGGATATTTTCAGGATGAAAGCGTGATCTTCATTATTTATTTATCTGTACTAGTTAGGGAAGGTTAACTCCTATGACCAACAAGCCCAGTATCAGTGGCTTGAACCAATAAATGCATATTTCTTGCCCACGTTATGTTTCCATGCACAACACTGCAAAGGAGAAATCCTGCTTTATCTCTTGGCTCCACCATCTTGCCCTGAGTTGTCATGGCAAAGCCTGAAGGAGACTACATTGCTTCTTTCCTTGATCTCTTGGCCAAAACTCAATCAGAAAGATCCACACAACTACAGTGGATGCTGGGAAATATAGTTTCACTGGAAATAAGCTTAGAGATCATCTAGCCAGTGTCTGCCATGCTATCCTTCTAACTCTCTACTTACAATTATAATAATAAACTAGAAGAGTGTCTTTCCACTCACAGTGACCCCCTAAACTCCTTGATTCACTCCCACTTATTTCCACTGTGTTCCCCTCTCAAACTTCATTTGGTGAGATTTTTAACTGTTTTGCTTAGGTTGCATGACTCTGTCCCCTGATCATAAACTGGTTTGTCTATCTGTAAAACAACTGAAGACAATCAGGTTTTTTTTTTTTTTTTCCTGGGGAATTTGGAATCAGAACCAAGAGTTAGCCCATCAGTCTCTCAGTGTGACAACATTTGTAATCTATGAACTCAGAAATTTTAGGGCACCCATCTTTACTAACTGATCATGCAGATAAGGAACAGAGAGACTGTGCCTACAGAGAAAGAAAAAAGAAGCAGATATTCAGGGAGGAACTTGGAGGGAGGGGAAAAAGACCTGGTGGCTGCCCAGCCTTGGCTTCTGTTCCATCTGTAGGCTACTTCCTATACTCCTGGCTGTACCCTTATAATGATCAATGTTTTTTGATACTTAGAAAAGATAAATAATCCTAACCAAGAAGACCCCCTGCCAAATTCCACAAAGAATTTGAAGCAGGCTGAAATGAGAATTCATACAACAACATTGTCTGGAAAAAAGATTTAAATCATAATTGCTACGTTAGTGAAGGGTCAGATTTTGCTCAAAGCTTCCTGGAAGTCAAAATGAAGAAAAAAATATACAGTTATTGACATTACTCTCAATTTCAGAAAGGAGGAACTATACACTTTTATTTGGGGAGTGAAGCTCTGTTAGTATTAAGATCTAATAGTAATTTCTTAGGCAGGTAAAAATGATTCATATGTGAAAGATCATAGCCTTTCCTCAATCCTTCCAGATTGTTGAAGAGAAATCCAATTTTCACATGTCAAGGTGAAGAGCAATGCTAAGAATCTGAGAAGAAAATTTGAATCTCCATTCTAGGTATTATTGCAGGCCCTTCTGAAATATTTTTAATAGCCTTGGACTTCTGTTGTTATTAACATATCCTCTGTTCTGGAGCCTTCCCCTCCCCATGCCCATTTGGCCAGCATTTCATTTTCTGTTAGAATTCTTTACTTCAGGCCTATTCTCTCTTGAATGTAAAACACCACAAGAGCAGGGATCTTGTTTATCTTGTTCACATCATTGGTCCCAGTGCCTGCAACCATTCCTGACACATAGCAGATAATAAATATTGTTTGATTAAGCGAATGAATGAATGAATGAATGAATGAAGCAATGGAGAGAAGTGGAGATGGCAGAGTGTGAGAGAAAAGAAATTGGGGAGGATTTAGGTTTGGGGGACTTGTGGAGAGAGCAGCTGGAGGCACGAGAAAGGCAGGTAGCAGAGAAGAGGGAATTTTAAGAAGTGTTGCTGAGGATTATGTAATTGGATCCTTGTACTGTCATTTTTTAAAACACAAGTGATTTTTTAATTAAAAAAATACTTACGGTTACTGAGCTATGTTTCTTCTTTTGCTCTGTCCTTTAGAAACTTGTCCAAATGAGTTTCATCTCAATTAGTAAAACTCTTACCTGATTTATTATGGCTTATTCAGATGCCACTTAATTCATTTTGTTATTTACCATTTTTGGGGCACATATCATGTGTTAAGTGCTATATTTGGTTCTAAGGAAATAAACATGAAAAAATTATATTTCTGCACTTAAATAGGGCAATGATATCAGTGAACTAGTAGCATAGGTCAAGATGTATGTGAACAAAGATGGGCTTCAAGCTTGAGGGGGTGTGGAAGGGTCATGGATCAGCTTCTTAGAGGTAACTATCTTTGCAAAGTCATGGAGATATGAAGGAAGCGACTAACTTCAAAAAACTGCAAGCATTCAGTTATGGCTAGATGACCATGTGTATACATGAAAAGGGTGGGAAAAGAGGCTGAATCATTGTTAGATTTTTCAGTAAGGGAATACTAATATGTTCTCTGTATTGCACTCTGGCAGAAGAAAAGAGAATGGATCTGATAGTATAAAATATATATTTGACCTTTCTTCCCATTTCCTGGCATTAACTCCTAAAATCATAGACTCTCCAAAGTAATAGATGTAATCTATTAGTAATAATGTGTTTTTGTATGTGAATGAGTTGACTGATGGCTGGCAGCTCCTGGGTAGCTTCAGAATAGGGGTTGGTCAACAGAAAGACCAGGGCAGGATAAGAGGTGGGGTTGGGACTTTCAGCTCCCCCCACCCACCTTCCAGGGAGAGAAGAGTGGCTGAAGGCTAAGTTGATCAACAATGACCAATAATTTCATCAATCATGCTTATGTAATGAAGCCTCCATAAAAACCCCAAATGACAGGATTCTTGGAGCTTCCAAATAACTGAACACGTTCTGGTTCCTGGAGGGTGGTACCTCAGAGAGCGAATGGCAGCATGGTGCCCCTTCTCACATGCCTTGCCTTATGTGTCTTTCCATCTGTATCCTTGGTAACATTCTTTATAATAAACTGGGAAATATAAGTAAATTGTGTCCCTGAGTTCTGTTGTGAGTGGCTCTAGCAAGTTAATAGAACCTGAATAAGGGGTTGTGGGAAGCCTGATTTCTATAGCCAGTTGACCAGAAGCACAGGTAAAGCAACTTGGGGCTTGAGATTGGTATTGGAAATGGGGAACAGTCTTGTGAAAGTGAGCACTCAACCTGTGGGATCTAACACAGCCTCCAGGTAGATAGCATCAGAAGTAAACTGGAGGGCACCTGGCTTGTGTCTGCTGCAGAATTTTCCGATTGCTTGGTGTGTGGGGAAACACCCCCTTATGTCTGGTGTTAGAAATGTGTTGGTGAAGGCTGGGCTAGGCGCAGTGGCTGACATCTGTAATCCCTGCACTTTGGGAGGCCGAGGCGGGTGGATCACCTGAAGTCAGGAGTTTGAGACCAGCCTGGCGAACATGGTGAAACCCCATCTCTACTGAAATTCAAAAAATTAGCTGAGCATGGTGGTGGGGACCTGTAATCCCAGCTACTCAGGAGGCTGAGGCAGGAGAATGGCCTGAACCTGGGAGGCAGAGGTTGCAGTGAGCTGAGATTGCGCCACTGCATTCCAACCTGGGCAACAAGAGTGAAACTGTCTCAAAAAAAAAAAAAAAAAGAAAAAGAAAAAAAAAAGAAATGTGTTGCTGAGAGTGAAGTAGGAGAAAATAGGAGAAAATGAGTTTAATTTTTTCCTCAATATTCTCAGGATTAGAACAATGTTTCTTAAAGTGTAAGCATCGCCTGAGAATTTGTTCAGAATGCAAATTATCAGGCCCTGTATAAGATCTATTGAATCAGACACTCTGGGGAGTGGAGTCCAGTAGTCTGCATTTAACGAGCCCTGCAGGTGAATTGGATGCATGTTAAAGTCTGAGAGCCACTGAATTAGAACAAGGGAACTGATAGGAACTTACAGTATACCTTGTGAGAAATGCTAAGTTTATCAGCCAAAGTATTGGTTACAGTAATGGAGAAGCAGGCATAGACAGATTCAGATAAGTGTTTCAGTGGCCAGATAAGTCAGTGTGATAGGAACATCAAGGAATAAGTCATCATCGCTTCTGAGAGAGAGGTGGGGGTGGTGCTTGATAGACATATAACAGTGACCTGTGGCTTTGAGAATGGATCAGACAGAATGAGATGCTGGGAGGAGCAAGCGAAGCATAGTCCAGTAACCAGAACCACAAGGACGTCAGTGTCTCCTGCCCTGACTCCACATCATTGCTGGCCATGAAAAGTGAAATGTTACCTAAGAAAGGTATTCCCCAAATGATGTTCCTGACTCATCTCACAAGTCAACAGAAACCCAAAACTTTAGATTCATACTTATTTACAAACATACCTTTTAGTTATCTAAACAATGCTGAATCTAAACAATCATACATTAGCAAAATAATTTTGTTCTGGGCAGCATGTGCCCAGACCTCATGGTATGAATTGTGCTTGGATAAGTCAACCATAGCAACTCTGTTTCCCTTTGCCTTTGATGAGGATGAGCAGGTGACATATTTGTAGCCAATGAAGTGGAAAGGCAGGTGAATCAGCTGGGGGCCCCTGGGAAAGATCTTCTTCGTTGTCTAGAGGTAAAATACGCTTTTGCCATTTCTCTTCTTTATTATTTTGGATGATGTCATATGAGGGAGTGTTGCTTGAATGAAGGGACAAATGAGAATAGAAGGCAACAACATATAGAGGGTGGAAGAATAGAGAGATAAAAATAAACTTGTTCTGAGCCAAATTTGGGTTAGCCTCTATCTTGTCTTAAAACCACTCTTAGTTTTTTAGTTACTTACAGCCAAAAGCATCCCTGATAACCCACTTTTCCCTAGGAAACTACCAGAACTAACCTTAGCCTGCCTCTCGACCCTGTTTATTACCCCTGGCCTCTAGATTTTTCAGCCTTACTGGAAACCTGATACCCATTCTGCTTTGTACTTCGAATCTGGCCCTATCTCCTCCTATACTCTTATCTCTGTACCCACTGACATCCAACTTCTGTGAACTGCAGACTCCTTTGTACTCTCAAACTCCTCATCATCTTCTCCAACTGACACCTAGTTATCCCCAAAGCCTATTTCTTCTGTAGTATTTCAAGTAGTGTCTGGCACAATCCCTGTGGGGTAGGTGTCTTCTTCACCGTCTACTGTTTTTCCCATTAAAGGCTGTTTGTTTCCTAACAATCACAGCTCTTTGAGGTGTAGCACATGGCCTTAGACTTTACCACCCATCTCCACCCTGAGTTTCCATCTTCTATCAGATGCCACAATACTTCTCCACATACTTTTATAACTTTAGCTCTGGCTTACTCTTCTCTCCACCATTTTCCCTGTGGTTATTCTTGATGACTTCAATACATTATATCCATTCAACACTTGGGCCCGGTATTTCTTACTCTTCAAATCCAACAATGTTGTCCTCCATCCTACTGTAATGGGAGAGGAGGAGAATCAATGGGATGTGGCAAAAAGTGTCTTGTCTAGATTCCTAAATCCAGCTCTCCCTGGAACTATATACCATGATGTCTTCACAGTCCATCAATATTTATGGAGAAATCAACTGTAATATTAGTCTCTGTATTCACTAATGTCTGACTCTCGTAAAGATAACAGGATACAAGTTGGTTTTATTATTGGCTGAGGGGCAAGATACCCTGGTGAGGAGTATCACTGAAAAAAAATTGATAGCAGCCTTCGTAAATGTCATCATAAGATGCCATTCAAAACAAGTATAAAAAGTTAATGGCATCTTATTTTGAGTGCTTCAAGTTGTATTATCAGATCAAATAAAAGCTACAATGACAAGTTCTCTGTGAAAGAACAAAATAATTAGCCAAAGCTATTTAAGCATCAACTAAATATATGAAAAAAGATCCTATTAATCTATTAATCGAGCCAGAATGTGTTTTGTGTGGTCAAAGCACATACACATAAACCAGCACAGTGGGTCCTTTGCATACATGTGGGCATTCATTACAGTCATCAAAGTTGTCGGCAAGCATTTAAATCAGCAGAGGTCAAGAAGGGGCAGATGAGTGAGAAATTGTGGCAAAGTGCCTTTTTATAGAGACATTGACGGAAACCCAAGTTTTCCAAAGAATTAAGTGAATACCCAGAAGACAAGTTCAGATATGCCAAGGCATCTCAAGACAAAGGCTGAATACTGATCTTGGGTGTTGGTGTCTCTTTGGTAACTACGGTGAAGTTGTATAAGCTTAAACGCTATGTGTTGGAAATTCCTTGAGAATGAATCAGTGATGAATCCCTTGCCTTTGGTGAAATTGGGCTGAAATACTTCAAAGTCAAATTTGGAAATCTATGCTTGAAGACTTCAGTAATAGAAGTTTCAGCTAGTCAATGAAAAGAAAGAATAATCCCTAACTCATTTGCCGCCCCCCCCACCTCAAAAAAAAAAAAAAAAAAAAAAAGGAAGGAGGAAAGGGAGATATGTAGGTACCATGCAACAAATATGAAGGCTAGTATGTCTCAAGAGCAATCCAGATTTCCTAAGGGATTGGCCGTGTTAGTAGCAGATGGGTTCTGTTTCAGTTTATTCTCACTTAGCCATGTCTGGGAAAAGTTAAGTTGTACAACTTTGTGGACAATATGCTGTGGAAAATATATTTGTTGCCATTTAAGATAAAGATATGAGCAACCATAAAGCGATCTTTATAGACAGTAATGATACTTGTGATATTAGCTTCTAAAATTATATGCAGAATTAGATTACTTTAGATAAGGTGACACGTATCCAAGCTCCAAAAGTTACTTTTGCATGGTTGAAGGCATAGTGCAGAAGGAGTAAATTTGTATGCTTGGTATGCACATGTGCATGTGTGTGTGGTGGTGGGGAGTGGAGAGGTGGAATGTAAAGAGAAGTACTATTGGCCAAACAGGAGCTGGAAAAAAAAAAAAGTCAAGTTATTCTGGGTATGTATCAGAGAAAACTGCAACTCCCACTATGACAGAAATAATTGTAGACTGAGGGAGAAAGTATTATGGCCTGCTAACATTAGGAAGCATGAGTCTACCACTATTCCCCATTTGCTTTCTGTCTCACGATAAGTTTCCATGAAAAAATTCTTCTTTTAATATTTTTTACATATAAAGAAACCAGAGTTGAAACCCAAGTATAAAAGGCTTGTTAGATCCAACTGAATAGAAAATAAGCTCTCCCAAATTTTAATTAAAATTACTTTCCCTTTCTTTGAAAAAGAAAAAAACTCTTGCATGACCAAACTTAAAAGTCCTGATTTGAAAGTTTCATAAACCTTATCTTTTCTCCATAATGAAACATCTAGATTCTGTGCTGTCCTGTCAGAGGCAGACTTTTATTTTCGTTTGGGTAATTTTTATCCTTGGAGACATCGCCCCCTGCTGTAACACATGCTTAGTTGCAGAAGCATTTTTCACTCAAAAAAGGATATGAATAAAAAGATACAATGATTATTAAAGTGAAAGAAACTTTATTTTGAGTAATATACATATCATTCATTCCATTTAATTTTCATAGTGCATAGCTATGTGTAGAAGTACACAGGGAAGAATAAACATTAGAAATACCTAGCCATGAAAATATACAAGTGAAGACATTTGATATATCCATGGACAGGCTTGGAAGTATTATAAAACAGGATCCATTAGGAAAGAATAAAAACCATGCAAAAAAAATCTTATCTAAATCATGGCAGGCAAGTGCAATCAATATAAATCATAGTCTCTGGGTACAAAAACTATACATGTTCTTTGGATTAAAAGCAAATGGGTGGCTTGGCTTTTATGTCCAAGCCAAAAATCATCTATACAAGTAAAAAGTGTGTGGGTCAGGCATGGTGGCTCCCACACCTGTAATCCCAGCACTTTGGGAGGCCAAGGCAGGCGGATCATCTGAGGTCAGGAGTTTGAGACCAGCCTGGCTAACATGGTGAAAACCTGTCTCTACTAAAAATACAAAAATTAGCTGGGTGTGGTGGCATGCACCTGTAATCCCAGCTATTTGGGAGGCTGAGGCAGGAGAATTGCTCAAAATAAAAAAAAAAAAATAAAGAACTAAAAAGTGTGGATACTGTTATGCCACATGTGATAATAAAATATTCAAGGCCACAGATGCAAGTCACCAACTTACAAAGAGAATACTGAAGGTAGGGTACATTAAAAAAATAGAGAAATGCAATAAAGAAAATGCCACCTCTGCCTAAATCAGGAAAGAGTAAATGCATAGGCATTAAAACAGCAGCTCTGCATACTACACTGCATTTCTCTTTGTCAAAAAGAATTCACTGTGTATCATTACAAAGGTCAGTGAATAAGACGAGGCAATAAACGTAGCGCCTTGGTATTAGGGCAAATTTAGTTTTCTTTTCATTTTACACATGAGGGGGAAAAAAGAAGTGTAGAACTAGGAATGCTCATCTTTCCATTCAGTACACTAACTTTTAAGTGTGTGGCACAAATGGAATAGAGACATGAAGTTTAATGAGATCCAAGCTTCCAAAAATGATTTCACATTTGAAAAGCTATGGAAAGATACAATTATTTACTGTTTTACAAATCAAATGCTTAAACCAAGTTTAAAAGTTGAGACCGAAAAAAAATTGATGAAGAAAAAATGGCCAAAAAAATTAAACAAAATCTCTTGGTTTCCTTTACAGTTTCTTTTTTTGCGTTTTATTTTTTTCAAATTGCATTTTACAGTAGAAATGCAGACCACTTTGGATAGCTATGGCTCGATACTTCTGGGTGCCCTCCTCCTAAGACATCCTCTTCTTACATTCCACTGAACAGAAAACCATCCCTTCTACTGGCATGAACTTCTGCCCAATGAGGCATTTGCTGCAGCAAGAGCACAGAAAGCACTCTGTGGATGCATGCCAGCTGAAATTGTTATAGGTCACCCGCTGCACTTCTGGGTCGATGGCATTGTGGCATCCTTGACACACCTATTAAGAAATAATACAAGAGAAGAGGGTGAGAGATCAAGCTGTAATGGTAACATTTTCATCTTAGGACATATTTCTTTAGATGATAAATTAAAACTCATAATGACAACCTCAGAAATACACAATGGAGGGTGGCCTTCTAGCTAACCTTTTTGGCCAACTGTTAATGGAGGTCAATATTCTGAGCAGCCTGAGAAATAACGAGTGAAGGCCAAACAGGTGATTTGATGCATGTAAGATAACTTCATGGCATTCAAGGCAGAAAGTCTTGATGGGAAGTTCCAAAGCAGTGTGCTTAGTTCTGATGTATTTTATTAGATTGCACATTTGTAATTACACAGAAGTTTATGATTTTTCCTTGTTCATTAAAGCTTTGAAGTGGTAATTTTACCTGTCTTACCTATGACACATGAGATTATTAACACCACTAATTTCTAGACAGTAGTAAATTAAAATCATGTTCAAAGTAATTAAGGACTCAATTAAAAATACTGACAGTGTTTGAGAAAAATGAATTTGCACTAAAAATATAACTTGTAGTTAATTGGCTTCTATTCTGTCATAAGATCAGTCATAATTTATGTGTAATCTAATATTGTAGAACATTAATACTTACAATCCCTGTACCATTCAGTATGTGTTATGTATATATACATGACATACAAACATGTATATACATACACAAACATACATACATTTACACCACAAAATTTTCTTCTTATTCAAACATGCACATGAGGAAAATGAATAAATAACCTATGTTATAGCAGAAAACAGAAAACCAGTTCGGACCTCTGAAACACTGGATAGTCCATGCCTTATAGTTTATACATGTTCTGAATGAATATGGCTGTCTTAAAGTTTTTGTTTTAAATATTTCATAACAAGTGAAGAAGCCAGCAAGACTGTCTGGTATCACAGTGACTAATCTTAAGCACCCTTGGTCTCGTAATGTGATTGTCAGGAATTACTGAGGGATAAGGGGTGGGAACAGGTGAGTGGAGGTCATTCAGCTTGAGCCTCCTTACTTGAAAAGACTTCAAAATGTGGCTGCTACTCACTGGGTAATTGGTTTAGGCAGTGAAGTGAGGCCTGGTTATATATGTCCATTTCAGACCTGCATATTTTTGTTACATTGCTTCTGATTACAGAGATTATAGCTCTGTAATCTATAAGTTAGGTCAACCCAGTCTTCCCTGAGATACAATGAAAATTCTTTGATCAACACACTATTCCTGAATACTATAAAAATGAACGTTTCAATTACAAGCACATTTCTAATGTGCAGCTGCACCATGCAAGCAACTGCTTTTTGTATATATTTTTATAGCTTTATTATGCATTTAGAATGTCTTATTTTCTGCATTTCATATTAATCTTTCCATTTTAAAATTTATGATCAACACATAATTGTACATATTTATGGGTGTACTATGTGATGTTTCAATACATGTATACATAGTGTAGTGATCAAATCAGGGTAATTAGGATATCCCTCTCCTTAAACATTTATGATTTCCTTGTGATAAGAACAGTCTTTCAATATTTCTTGTTTATGTATTTTGAATGTGTTCTTGTAAAATACACCGTGTGTTTTATTCCCTTGCTTTCAGACCATGATCTATCTTCTTTTTCTCAGACCTGTGATTTTTTAAAATTACCCAAAACACACATTTTCAGTTGCAATTTACAAAAAAGAGATAACTAATGTTCAATTACACATGAAATTAAGAAAATTAAGCAAAAAGATAATTAGTACACATAAATGGTATAGAGAATTAAAGTCTGGGGTTTCATAAAATTTCATTTTACTAATAATTTGATTACCATTCATTCAAAATCTGACATGTAATCACAGGTCGAATCTACTGTTCCCTAATTCCTCAAAAATCTAAAATTGGCCCAGGCTGCGCCAAGGGCCTGGGGACTGCAGAACCCTTCAGGGAGATGATGTG
This sequence comes from Homo sapiens, assembly GCF_000001405.40. Taxonomy (NCBI): domain Eukaryota; kingdom Metazoa; phylum Chordata; class Mammalia; order Primates; family Hominidae; genus Homo; species Homo sapiens. The sequence continues at coordinate 116,255,338 of NC_000007.14, read as the reverse complement.
CTTCACCACTTCCTGCCTGCCATTTGATCTTCCCATGTTCCTAAACCTTTAATATTTCAAAGAATTCTTATTTCCTTCAATCCCTCTTCTTATTTGTACACAGGATGTAAAAGAGCTAATGACACCTGTTGTAATGAGCTCTCTGCAGGAGTGTCCTATGAATCTGACGGATGTGAATTCTGGGGGTAACTATGGAGTTCTAGTGACTACACAGAGACAAAGTAGGTGCATCTGCCATGTTTTTTCCTTCCAGGTACTTTTTTTTTTTTTTCTCAGAAATGTTGTTTGGAGTTGAGCACTTGATTTCAGGTCTAAAAATAATTTGTATTTTCTCTCTTTAAGATGAAAAGATCTAAGCAGATCAATGCCCTGAACTAGATAACCTTCTCCAAATTTTATATAATGTAGCATGCTGTGTGGGTAGCTCTCTTTGCTGTTAGCTGGAATCTGTTCTGGCAATGGATATGTATGCTCATTTTAATATTAGGCAAAGGCCAATGGTATATCCCACTGAGAAAGTAAACATAAAAGAAATGATGCTACACACACACACACACACACACACACACACACACACACATATATATATATTTTTTTTGAGACGGAGTGTCGCACTATCAATCACCTGGGCTTGGGGTGCAGTGGCAGGATCTCGGCTCATTGCAACCTCCACCTCCCAGGTTCAAGCAATTCTCCTGCCTCAGCCTCCCAAGTAGCTGGAATTACAGGCACCTGCCACCACGCCCAGCTAATTTTTTTGTATTTTTAATAGAGACGGGGTTTCACCATGTTGGCCAGGCTGGTCTCGAACTCCTGACCTCATGATTCGCCCACCTTGGCCTCCCAAAGTGCTGGGATTACAGGCGTGAGCCACCATGCCTGGCCAAAATGATGCTATGCTATAAAACTAAATAATTTGAAAATTCTTTTATTTAAACAAATCATATCTGTGGTTATACCCTGCCATTGATTAGAAACAATGTAATACAGAGAAGCTTGTAACAGCTAAAAAAAGAAAAAAAAGCAGTTTCATCTGTTTCAATAAATTTTTATTGAGCACCTATGTTGTCCTAGTGTTGGGAACAGAATAGAAAAGGCAGATAAAAAAATCCCTGCCCTGATGGAGTTACATTCTAGTCCTTGAGACTAAAGGTCAGACAGCAGCAAAAAAAAAGGTATACATTATAATACCTTTAGTCTGTAGAAAAACTGTTGCAACAATATTCATTGAAGCAGTTTTTAGCTAAATAATGTATCAGGTTACATGGTGATTTGACGTCTTGTTCCCTAGGTAAAGGAATGACCATGGTAACCCCAAAGCGAGAAATATTAAGAACACGAGTCAGTCACTCAAACATTTTCTAAGTGCTGACACTGAAGATATAGAAAGCAAGATATAAGGCAAGCTCTACCCTCCAGCTGCTTACAGTCTAGTGAAGGAGACAGATGAATGATATTCACACACACACACACCCCCACACACCCACCCACACACACACCATTGGGAACATGGAGAGTCTGGAGGAAATGGTGGAGTTTGGGCATAGTGAATCAGGAAAGGTGTTCCGAAAAAAAGTTAAACCTAAACTGAATCTAAAGGAATAAATGTGTAGGTACAGTCAGGTAAAACAGGGAAAAGTACGGTGTATTAGAAAAACTATTAGGAGTAAGCAAAAGACAACAGTGTGTAAACTAGAAAATGATGGTGAACGTGTGGAAATGTATGATTTGCGTTGGATAACTAGTAGAAGGGACAGGAGAGGCAAGAAGGGGCCAGATCTATCAAAAGTTTAATAATTTGCATTTTAGGAAGATAATTTTCCATCATTATGGTGGGTAGCTTTTGAGCAAGATGAATGAAAGTGGAGGAACGAAATTTGAGGCCACTGCAATAGTCAAAATAACAACAAAAAAAAAGGTCTAAAGTAGAATGGTTGTAATTATAAGAATGTGAAATATATTGGTGAGGCACAGTTGATAGAGAATGAATAACTGTATCTGGGGCAATGGGTGAACGCTGAAAATTGGCATTGACATAAAAACTTGTTACCTTATCTTCACAGTACCACACTCTTATAACTATATATAACTATATAAACCATATGTAATTTCATTCCTTAGCCAGGAGTCCCTTTTACTTGATAGCTCAGGGGACCATTAACACATATGTGTTTTGCTGCATATAAAGAAGTAAATGTCTATTTGGATACTCCTGGATTATACACTTTACCATCTATGGTCAACTTTTTACCCTTTATCTACATTACCATCACTTGGCCATTATACAACAGCAGCTCTGTGTAAGCAGAGTAAATGCAAGAAAAAATATACTTTCACATTGGAATGTTTGGCCCACACAAAAATCTAAATACGCAGGCCAAGTTTTGTTATGCTAAATCAATTCAATGAGGGTTTAAGAAATAGGTATCTTACAATCTCCAGGTAGCAAAAACAAAATTCCAGTGGGTGGTCCAATAACACAAACAGAAAGCATCATATTCAAATAGAGCTAAAGAATATCAATAGCCCCTAGACACCTTTATTGAAATGGAATCTGATTGCTAACCATGAAAATAAAACAATCTCATTCCCATTAAGAATTTTTTTAAGTGAGGATTTTATTATTAAGCAGTACCTATAATTGATATTGTAAATTTCACAAGTAGAAATCTTGAGGTGGCTCATAGTCAATGCATGTATTGTTTTTGAATTGCCTTGATTTTAACACCCTGTGGTAGGAATAATTTGCTTTCTACTTAGGAGGACTGCTTTCTGTTTCCCATTTGTAAGAGGCTTTAAGAAAAGCATAAACTCAAGTCCTAAAGCAGGCTGAGGCAACCATATCCTTAGAACACTTCTCACCACAGCGTGATTCTTCACATAGCAGGGCTTGCACACGGGCTTGTCATTGACCATCACGTATATCTCCCCAGCTAGAATGCTATCACAGTCAAAGCAGCAGAAGTGTTTCAGGTGCCAATTCTGGTTTTCTGCCTGGGTATACTCATTGCTGAATATCAGCTAGGAAGAAGATAAAAATAAAGATGGATTTTTATATAATAAGAGATTTATATCTGTAACAACATACTTTCTCAGGGTCTAAAGTTTGAAAATGATAACCTAAAGCTTGAACTTATGCTATCACTTAGTTTAGTCTAAATCAATCTTTTATATTTCTAGTCTTTCATTTGTCAACCCAATTAACACAGACAGAATGAATGATATCAGAAGTTTATTTTTTAAAACTTCTTTGGATGTAAACAGAGCAACTGCTGTTTGGTCAAGTCTTGTTGCCTTCTAGGTAAAGGGACCATATGAGGGTCTAAGAGGGCACCAGCATGCCGGTGGTCCCATAGAACATACCTCGTCACAGCCAGCACATCGGGGTTTCTCGCTGTCACAGTAATGTCTGCCACAGTATAGCTTCTCATTCTTCCAAAAATAAATCATGTCAACCAGGAGTTCATGGCAGGTGCTGCAGACAAAACAAGCTGGGTGCCACAGTTTATCATAGCCAGCCCTTTCGGCATAGATGGCTGGGTCACCTTCTTTCATACTCAGTTTGCAGCAATAGCAGGACTGAAAGGGAAGCCATCCAGAACAACCTAGTCATTAGAAGACTGCCATTTCTTTTCTTTCTTTCTTTTTTTTTTTTTGAGACTGAGTCTCACTCTGTCGCCCAGGCTGGAGTCCAGTGGTGCTATCTCGGCTCATTGCAAGCTCCGCCTCCTGGGTTCACGCCGTTCTCCTGCCTCAGCCTCCCGAGTAGCTGGGACTACAGGCGCCTGCCACCACGCCCGGCTAATTTTTTTGTATTTTTAGTAGAGACGGGGTTTCACCGTGTTAGCCAGGATGGTCTCAATCTCCTGACCTCGTGATTCACCCGCCTCAGCCTCCCAAAGTGCTGGGATTACAGGCGTGAGCCACTGTGCCCAGCTAAGACTGCCATTTCTTATCATTGACTTCAGTAGAAATTCAGAGAAACAACTTTGAAGAGACATAATTTCTACTGAAATTACAAATTTGTCGATGTAGATAATAACGTATTAATAATTCTGTGAAATGGAATCTCAGCTTTCTCCCGGCTATTCAAATCTACTTCATTCACCCTGTGTGTAACAGGCATTATTTCCTGAATTAAGGTCACTTATGGAAAAAGGAAAATAGTAATTTTCAGGTCAATTTTAAGTAGATTCTCTAAAACTATCACCTCAGGGCTTATTAGTGCTCTTTTTTCAGGACTAAGCCTTATTGGTTGGTGTGCTAACTGGAGCTATGAGGAATATATTACAGCAGGTTTAGTTCTTATGTCTGTTCATCTGTGTCATAATTGCCTCCTACCATCAAGTCATTAGCAAAATACTTCAATTTCTCCCTTTAGAAGAGACTTAAAAAAAAGCTTCACTATATATCCACAAAAATTAAATTTAAGTTTGAATTTTAGGCACGTTCTCACAAGCAAAACTGAATTAACCTAAGCATATATTCCTATTTATGGGCAGCAGAGATAAGCAATTAATACCAACATTATGATTAGAAACAGACTATAGAATAATAATGCTGTCTTTGATCAGCATGCCAATACCAACTACTGTCTGTACATAAAACTCACTATCCACAATTATCCTTGATAATAAATACATAGAAAATTTGGCTTTAGACAGAAGTTTCAAACACGATGACCCTCTGTGGGAAGTCTAAACTGAATCTAAATCCTATTTATTCCCCATACTTATTCCCTTTTGGAAACTCAGAGGAATAGTCCCCAAAAAAGTTCAAAGTAAGGGAAAAAAATTCTGTAAAGTATACAAATCAGGCTAACAGTGTGACCACTCTACTTACATATTGAGTTCTTTTGTGCTCAGCAGATTTGTCCTCCATGGCCCCCACTGCTGCTGGGGTGCTTCTATCCCCTCCAGGAATGTTCATTTGTTTGGGGCCTTGGGCATCCATCTCACAGGGAAGTTTGACATCTCCTACTCCCAGAGCTTCGCTCTTATATTTCTTCACAAACTGCTCCATCTCCTTCACCTCTCTGGGAGACAACTCATGGCACTTTGAAGGGTCCTGGTCATGTGCAGGGAGCTGCTTTGCCAGCTGCTTCTTCCGGTACTGTGCCCCCTCTGAGCCTGCTACTGGCTGCTTTTCCTTGGGTAGCATCTGCATGTACTGCCTGGCCTGAACCACAAGGAGGCCAATGTTAACTGGGATTGGCCATTAGGCAGTGTGATGTTTCATAACACACATCAGAAGCAAGTTACTTAAGAAAGAAGTGGGTTCTATCCAATAGCAGCAACTCACCCTCACAGTATATTAAGAAGTTAAAACTCAAAAACGGTACACTAAATAGATTTAGTTGGGTAAAAAGTAACACTTTCTCTCCATGAAATTATATATTTTTTCAGTTTGTAAGATCTGAGTTACTACTGTTTACTTAAGCTAAATAAACAAATGTACAATTGAAAGAAAACATAAACTTTTAGGCAGACATGTTTGGAATGGTCTGTAGGACCAGGAACATTTTTATTACATAAAAAATGATATCGCAAAATTCACTTTAATGATTTAACTAACCTTAAAAGACTTCCAAATGTTTCATTTGGTTGTTATAATAGTGGAAGGAGCTTGATATAAAACTGTGATCTTTTTGGTCTTATATAGTATTAATAAAGGAAATGAAAAAAACACAAAGATAATGTTGAATATTTTTTTCAGTTCTAAACTATGACAAAAATTCTCTTCTTTACCATCTTAAGATAAATCCTCTCAAGACTAAGCTAGAAGAGTTACTAGATTGATATAAAACATCTGATTTCCATCTAATTATTAAGAACGTTAGACCATTCCCTCAAAAAGGTAAACATATCTAGGGAGTTGGAAAAATTTTATGAAGTATCTAGTCTTACATTCAAAAGACTAGAACAGGAATCAGAAGTCAAAGTAATGAGAACCCCGGAAGAATAACAGATCTGGGATGTGTGAAGTTGATTAGGTCATCAAAGAAACTGCCCCAAATAAATACTCCAGGAACTTCAATAAAGAAACTCTCTGTTCCATATCATTTACCAATGCTTGATTCTGGACAGGAGGAGCCCACTCATAGGTAACTGTATTGATGGAGACATTCTTCTTGGCAGCAACTGGATTCGTCAATATCATAACATTGCGTTTATACATGGGAATTCCATCTGACTTTAGTTTTGCAATCAGAGTGGTATACTTGGTGTCTTCAAAAAGTTTTCCCACTTTTCGATCCTCTTCATTGCTCAAGAGGACATCATGCTCTTCTTGGCCACACTTGCAGTTACGACATATTTTTCTATAATTTTGAAAATAAGTAGAAAATGATTAATTGTACCTAATTGATATTTATGTTCATACATTTATAGTTCATAAAATACTTTTAGGCCTATTCTATATCATGGTATGCAAAGGCAAGTCCTTTTTTAGGAGGGAGAATAAGTATCCATATATTTAAGCAAGAAGGAAACAAAACACGACTTTGCTTGATAAGGCTTTTAAAAGCTAGGTTGTAAAAATTGAAAGAGGGACCCAATTAAACTGAAGAGCTTCTACAAAGCAAAAGAAACTGGCAACAGGACAAACAGACAACCTATAGAATGGAAGAAAATATTTGCAAATCCTGCAACTGACAAAGGTCTAATATTCAGAATCTATAAGGAACAATTCAACAAGCAAAAGACAACCCCATTAAAAAATGGGCAAAGGACATGAACAGATATTTCTCAAAAGAAGATATACATATGGCCAAAAAATATATGAAAACATGCTCAATATCACTAATCATTAAGGAATGCAAATCAAAACGATGATGAGATGCCATCTTCCATCAGTCGGAATAGCTATTACTAAAAAGTCAAAAAATAACAGATGTTGCGGAGAAAAGGGAATGCTTATACACTGTTGGTGAGAATGTAAATTAGTTCAGCCACTGTGGAAAGCAGTTTGGAGATTTCTCAAAGAACTTAGAACTATCATTCAACCCAGCAATCCCAAAGGAAAATGCATTGTTCCACCAAAAGGACAATGCACCCGTATGTTTATCACAGTAGTATTCACAATAGAAAAGACATGGTGGAATCAACCTAGACGCCCATCAATGGTAGACTGGATAAAGAAAATGTGGAACATATTCACCATAGAATACTATGCAGCCATAAAAAAAGAATGAAATCATGTCCTTTGAAGCAAAATGAATGCAGCTGGAAGTCATTATCTTAAGTGAATTAATACAGGAAAGGAAAACCAAATACCACATATTCTCACTTATAAGTGGGAGCTAAATATTGAGTACACATGGACACAAAGATGGAACTAACAGACACTAGGGAATATTAGAGTGGGGAGGGTGAGAGGGAGAAACGTTTGAAAAGCTAACTCTCAGGTACTATGGTCACTACCTGGGTGATGGGATCATTTATAACCCAAGCCTCAGTAACATGCAATTTACCCATGTAAAACACCTGCACTGCACAGGTACATTCTGAACCTAAAATGGAAGGTGAAAAAAAGAGGAAAGCAGCAGAATTATCAGTCACTAATAATGTATTTTTGGAAATTACTGAATTAAGTTTTGTGATTTAGATGGTACCATAACGTTTCAACTGAATTTTCTAAGTAAGTATTTTAACAAATTCAGTGTGTTTTGTCAACCAAACGTGCATCTGCATTTCTGATATGATAACGAGAAGCAATTATTCATTTGATTTTTATCAAAACCAACCAAGATTTTTTCAATGAATTCACTGAAAGAAGTGGTGATGGCCCCAATAATAGACATCTTCAATTGTACCATTAAAAAAAAAGACTGATTAAAAAGTGCACACTTAAAGGGACATGTCTGAGTGTAACCCCATCTGATATTCCTTATGCTGTCACCCAATAGTGAATAAAATAAATAATAAAAAGAAATGAATTAAATAAAACCACAAAAATTATATGTTTCCTTATTTAAGCAAGAGGCTTTGTACTTTATTGCATGTTAACATTTTATAGCTATTATCCAAGGTTTCTTGTTTGTTTGTTTTTTTAGTGAGAGACAGGGAAACTTTTCCCATCAAAGATTATAATCCTAGATTTAGGTTTACAGCCTTTCTCATTTTTTTCTCAATTTCTTTTGCCCTCCATTTCCTTCCCTTTGTTTTTCCTTTCTCTTTCCTTCCCTTATTTTATTTCTTCAAACACTTATTGCCACCTACCATGTGCTCTCTGCCATCATGGTGTTTCTTATAGTTCAAGGACAATGTTCTCTTCTTCACTCTGGTCTGGCACACAGACATTCATTCATTCATGCAACATACACGAGTGCCCATGTGCCAAGCAATGTACTTGACACTAGGACATAGTGCTTAAAAAAAAAAAAAAAAAAAAGGGGCCTAGTCTCTGATTTCTAGAACTTACTCTCTGGTGGGAGATAGACATTAAATAATCACACACACACACATACACAGAGAAAATTTCATTTGTGATAGGAAAGAAAGTATAGGGTCCCTTGAGAGGGTGTAATTTGGACTTCAAACTCGTGAAGAAGGGACCCCATAAGAAGATGATATTTAGGTTGAGATCTGGACGATGTATGAAACATAGGTGTAAACTGTGTATGTGGGTGTGTATCTGGGGAGGAGAAAAGGAAAGAAAAGTCTCTAGTATTGGGTATAAAGAGGAATACCTTCAGTGGTCCTGAATTAGGAAAGAAATTGTCCCCTTAGGTGTCATAACCAGGGGAGGTTGGTATGACTGTAGGAAGATGAGTCAATAGGAGGGTGATAAGACTGGAGAGGTAGGCATGAAGTCATGCAGGGGCTCATAGAACACATTAAGGAATTTGGGCTTCATCATAAGAGCAATCAGGAAGCAGCAAAGGCTTTTTGGTAATGGAATAAAATGATCAGATCTGTAATTTTAAATATCACAATATCTGCCATGTGGTAAATGGATTAGGGGTGAAACATAACTGGCAATAGGGAGACAAGCTAACATGTTAATTATGCATCCAGTTTGCAATGGCATGGTTCTAAATAACAGGATGCTGCCACTACTTCACAAATGGAATTTACATCTTGGAGGGTTATTGTTGTGGTCCAGGTAAAATATGCTATGGCTTGGATTAGAGTATTCAACAGTGGAGATGAAAAGAAAGGAAGAAATTTGAGGTCTCCTTGAACAAAAAACTGACTAAACTTAGTGGTTTATTTGGACATAGTGATGGCAAAGGGAAGGCTCAGTGATATGGTTTGGCTGTGACCCCACCCAAATTTCATCTTGAATCGTAGTTCCCATAATCCCCATGTGTTGTGGGAGAGATGTGGTAGGAGGTAATTGAATCATGAGGGCTGTTACCCTCATGCTATTCTCATGATAGTGATTGAGTTCTCTTGAGAGCTGATGGTTTTATAAGGGACTTTTTCCCCTTTTGCTCGGCACTTCTCCTTGCTGCCACAATGTAAAGAACATGTTTGCTTTGCGTTCCACCATGTTTGTAAGTTTCCTGAGGCCTCCTCAGCCATGCTGAACTGTAAGTCAATTAAATCTCTTTCCTTTATAAATAAATTACTCAGTCTCAGGTATGTCTTTATTAGCACCATGAGAATAGACTAATAAATACAGTAAACTGGTACTTTAAAGGGTGTGGTGCTGCCATAAGGATACCTGAAAATGTGGAAGTGATTTTGGAACTGGGTAATAGCTAGAGGTTAGAACAGTCTGGAGGGCTAAGAAGACAGGTTGATGTGAGAAAGTTTGGAAATTCCTAGAGACTTGGAGGGCTCAGAAGACAGGAAGATGTGGGAAAGTTTCGAACTTCCTAGAGACTTGTTGAATGAGTTTTACCAAAATGCTGATAGTGATATGGACAATGAAGTCCAGGCTGAGGTGGTCTCAGATAGAGATGAGGAACTTGTTGGGAGCTGATGTAAAGGCCACTCTGGCTATTCAAAGAGACTGGTGGCATTTTGCCCCTGCCCTAGAATCTGTAGGCAGGGGCAAAACTTTGAACTTGAGAGAGATGATTTAGGTTGTCTGGTGGAAGAAATTTTTAAGCAGCAAAGCATTCAAGAGGTGACGGAGGATAAAAGTTTGAAAAATTTGCAGCCTGACAATGCGATACAAAAGAAAAAGTTATTTTCTGGGGAGGGATTCAAGCCCGCTGCAGAAATTTGCATAAGTAACAAGGTGCCCGGATGTTAATCACCAAGACAATGGAGAAAATGTCTCCAGGGCATGTCAGAGAGCTTCACAGCAGCCCCTCCCATCACAGGCCTGGAGGCCTAGGAGGGAAAAATGCTGTCGTGGACCACGCCCAGGGATCCCTTGCTCTGTGCAGCCTTGGGACATGCTGCCCTGCATCCCAGCTTCTTCAGCTCCAGTGGTGGCTAAAAGGGGCCAAGGTATAGCTTGGCCCATTGCTTCAGAGGGTGCAAGCCCCAAGCCTTGGCAGCTTCCATACGGTGTTGGTCCTGCAGGTATGCAGAAGACAACAACTGATGTTTGGGAACCTCTGCCTAGATTTCAGAGGATGTATGAAAATGCCTGAATGTCCAAGCAGAAGTTTATTGCAGGGGCAGAGCCCTCATGGAGAACCACTGCTAGGGTAGTGTGGAAGGGAAATGTGGGGTTGGAGCCCCCACACAGAGTCCCCACAAGGGCACTGCCTAGTGGAGCTGTGAGAAGAGGGCCACCATCCTCCAGACCCCAGAATGGGAGATCCAAGGACAGCTGCAGGCACTCAATGCCAGCCAATGAAAGCAGCTGGGAGTGGGACTGTACCTTGCAAAGCCACAGGGGCGGAGTTGCCCAAGGCCATGGGAACCCACCTTTTTTGCATTAGCACACCCTGGATGTGAGACATGAAGTCAAAGGACATTTTGGAATTTTAACGTTTAATGACTGCCCTATTGGATTTTGATCTCCCATAGGGCCTGTAGCCCCTTTCTTTTGGCCAATTTCTCCCATTTGGAATGGCTGTATTTACCCAATGCCTGTACCCTCATTGTATCTAGGAAGTAACTAACTTGCTTTTAATTTTACTGGCTCACAGGCAGAAGGGACTTGCCTGGTCTCAGATGAGACTTTGGACTTGGACTTTTGAGTTAATGCTGGAGTGAGTTAAGACTTTGGGGGACTGTTGGAAGGGCATAATTGTGTTTTGAAATGTGAGGACATGAGATTTGGGAGGGGCTGGGGCAGAATGATATGGTTTGGCTGTGTCCCCACCCAAATCTCATCTTGAATTGTATTTCCCATAATCCCCACGTGTTGTGGGAGGGACATGGTGGGAGGTAACTGAATCATGGGGCCTGTTACCCTCATGCTGTTCTCGTGATGGTGAGTGAGTTCTCATGAGAGCTAATGGTTTTATAAGGGGCTTTTCTCCCTTTTGCTAGGCACTTCTTGCTGCCACCATGTGAAGAAGGATGTGTTTGCTTCCTCTTTTGCCACAATTGTAAGTTTCCTGAGGACTTCCCAGCCATGCTGAACTGTGAGTCAATTAAAGCTCTTTCCTTTATAAATTACCCAGTCTTGGGTATGTCTTGACTAACTGAGAGCAGACTAATACACTCAGTCTCTTGAAAAATAAAACCAAGTTTCTGGGATGAGTAAATTAGTAGAATGAATATAATTTATTAAGATAGTATATTCAAAAGATGAACAGTTTTGCAGTATGGAGTGGGGAAGGTTGATGGAAGTCTCCAAAATGAAACCACTGATAAATTTGATATGCCTGTGAGACAAGGTAAAGATATCACAGAGTGTAGGATCTATAACTCTCATGTTAAAAACTGTAGCCTGGTAGGAAATATAAATTTGGTGGTCAGGGAACAATATATAATGAATATGAGTTAAAGAGATCATCTGTGCCTGTTGGCAAAAATGTAGAGGGAAAAAGTAAGGACTCAAGAAAGAGTCTAGTAGAGGAAAAGAAGCTGGAAAAGGTGACAGAGAAAAACAGAGGAGTAGGGAGTGGTGTTAAAAATTTAAGCTGGAAGCAATATACATGGCAACGACAACATAACAATAAGAGTGGCGATCTGAGTGTTGTAAAACACATTCTAAAGATACTTACATTGTTCAGTCTATATAAACATGGATTAACATTAGATACAATTAGGCTAAGAATGCATGTTGAAGTAACTAGATAACTAAATAATTTATAGTTTAAAACACTCAAATTAGAAAAAAGGAAAAAATAAAGTACTAAGTGTTCAACTCAGGAAGTTAGGAAAAAGGCATAATAAGCCTGAAGTAAAAGGAAGGAAAATAAAGAGAATAGCAGAAACTAGTAAAAGGAAATAGAAACTATTCTAGAAAGAGTTCCTAGAGGATGAGGCATGGGGGGAACAAACCCAGACACTCAGCATAGATCATACTTACTGCATTAGTTTTAAGATGTGAAGCAAGAAAGCAACCTTGCTATCACCAATTCTAATCATATGGTTCTGAAGGTACTAATCAGAGCAGTGTGAAAAGTTACAAGAATTCATCAGAAAGAAAAAAACTAAACTGTTGCTATTCACAGATGCTATGACCACAGAGAAATGCAATGTATTAATTAGCATTAAGAAGAATTTACTAAGTTTTCTAAATTTAAAATTAATATAAATCATGGAATTTATCTACATCAGAAACAGAAAAAACAACTAAAAACCCAAATGTATCTCATTGCCAAATAATACATTATTAATTATAGATTTTAGTTTGTTGTATTCTGAATTTTCTTAAAATACTTTTCAGTATGCAAACTGAAAATATTAGATTTGACTTGTATATTCCGAGACAGAGACAGAGAGAGAGAGAGAGAGAGAGAGAGAGAGATAGGTGGTGAAGAGGCAAATTGCTTTCCTTGTGCACACTAGTCAGAAATCTTTATTTGGTAAGAATTTGTTGAAGAATTTGCATATGCTAGTTCAGCTATAAAATAATCTTTCTAACATCTGGTTATCTCATACTCCCATCTAGTGGAAAGCAGCAAGTTATCCTACTACAGCATGTTCTTTACTTTTACTCTTTGGTTAACAAAAACAATGTAATTATTTATAAAACTATCACACTGCTTTTGGTTCAAGTTTAAAATTATACCTTCCTGAGGGGGGAAGAAGGTGGAGTGGGAATTTAGTTCTTAATATAGCTAAATAGATCCTTATATGGCTGTGAGCTACAGCATGCATCCCAATAATTAGCAAAGTGGTATCTTAAAGGATCGAGGCCGTATAATAAACACTGGACTTTGGAAATTTTTACAATCTATGTTCTACACCAGTACAACATGAATACCACAAAATAAGGGTCAGATTTTAGAATCTGAAAGATAAATAATAAAAGATACAAGTGAAATAAAGCCTGATGATTTCTGAAGCATGAATAAACTATGGTGAGCTGTGGCTTGGTTAAAAAAGTTATATTTACTGTGAAAGTGTTAAATATAAAGAGTTAAATTTACTAATTATAGAAGAACCAGCTCTGTATTTTTTTAAATTATTATTTGTCTTGACAATTAGAAGAATTCACAATCTCAGGAAGCCTCTGCTTTTCTATCAATGCCTTTAACCACCCAACATACCTTTGTTAATAAGTGAGTAAAATCAGGTTAAAACAACATACCAATAACGCTAGTGGTAAGAAAAAAGAAATACCTAAGAAGTCATACTATGCCATATAATTTTCAGTTTCCTAAGTAGAGAAAACCTATGATTGATTTGTTATAATTTTAAAAATCATGACTATATTAAAAGCCTCATCTGCATCCTCCAATGTGGTGAATTGTGGTGACAGAGTCCTTGGTAAGAATGTGACCCAAGAAGGGTGGGATGGCTCTTCAACTAGAGCTGTCATCATTAAAACAGTTGGGATGACCACATCCCTTCCAGAAGCCTTACACTGGAGCTCCATTTCTACAAGGAGAAGAGCCAGCTACAAACTACTCTGCAAGAAAACATACTATAAAATCAGCACCAGGTGCCAGGAGCTATCTATTGTGGAAATCTGTGCTATTACCACTTACCTAGTTTTAGGTTTTAAAAATATTTTTCTTAGAGTTCTAATCTACAGTGTTTTATATTTGAGTCTCCCACATTTAAACTAAAACATTTTACTTTTAGAAATACCTATAAAAACTTTCAAAGTCATTTGGAAGCAATCCAATACATTTATTAAAAGAAAAACCTTGTTGTGGAATTGGAGAAGAAAAGGATGCCACTGTGATCTTGTTATCCAAGAGCGGCCTGAGAATAAGTGGGACGTTTATCACATATTCAATTTCAGCCTAAACTAACCCAGATTCTACCCTTAAGAAAATGAAGAACTTTAAAAACGTGGTTTTATACAAACCTAAAACAAAAACACAAACAGAGTATGGGTGAGCACAATACCCATGTGCAAGGGGCTGTTTGCACGGTGTGTGGATTATCTTTCATCAGATGATCCATAAGTAACTTCTGATGATATATATAGATTTAAACAGCTTGTTTATTTATTTGTGCTATACTGAGTTGATAGTTTTAAGAGAGTATATAAATCAGTTCCCATATTTAACACAGTTTTCAAACCTCTAAATTTTCTAAACTGTCCTATTGAGCAGTTCTCTCTCCAGATTCTCCATAGGATGTTAAGAAAAGTTCTATGGGGAAAAAAAGGGAAGGGGATTCAGAATTAAGTTAGTTTAAAAGTCTTTTTCATGATTCTTTTAAAAAGGTGCAAAGGTGGATTGGCAGATTGGGAAGCTCTAAGGTGTGGGGATGGAGGAGGGTTATTTGTATAAAAAGTTGTTTGTACAAAAAGAATTTAGCACCATTAACACATATATATGCAAACATTAATATGTATGGAGGAAAGGGAGGAGCGAGGGGGAGGGAAGGAGTGAGAGAGAGAGAAAGAGCGAGCCTGGGAGAGCGAATGCAAGAACAAAACTACCAAAAGTATTGCCTCAGACAAATAAACATATTTACATTTTCAAGCTGAAAAAAATCAAGAAACTATCCTTTATTCTCCCAAAAGAAATTTTTTTGTATCACTATTTGTAAAACTTACTATTTTTCCAAGGCAAGCAGTAGAAACTAGAGTGCTTTGACATGCTGCCAGCATTCACAGTGATTTAAAAGCACGGCCATGGCATTGCTACAAACCATAATTTAAAAGGGTTGGAAGCTGCCCTTTTGTAACAGGGATATACATATATGGATTTAAGTGTGGGCCTCTGTGACAGAATTCAACACAAGTATTAATCCATTTATGGTAGGGAATTTTTAGTTTTCACCCAGCTCTAAATCAATCAGAAATTCTGAACAGATGTATGTTATAATCAAGTAACGCATTTTTAATAAAATGCAACTGTTTTATTAGGAGACTTTAACAAAGGTAAAGCAAAACAATAATTCTGTTACTTAATATGATAAATGACATGGTTGCAATTATATTAATTATACCTTCAATGTGAAATAACTGGCTATAAACTCCTGGAAACCTTGGGTCTGTGTCATACATTTCAATAAACACTCTTTATCTCTATATATTACTTGAAAGCATTCCCAGCAGATAGTGTTTCTTATTGGGTCATTATTAGGCTTCCTGAACCTTTTATTTTCCTCTACTGTTGTAATCATGGGCACACTGAAAAAGGAGAGAGCTCACAGTAAAAGTACACCTTTGTCCACAAGGATGTCTGTGTCACAACAATCACACTTCAGAGGCGACAGCCTGGTGCAGTTCAAAGTTCACTGGCCCTGAGAGTGAAAAATGTGCATTCTAATATCTACTCTGCCATGGAGAAAGGTTTTGGAAAACTCTGAGTTCAAATTCAGCTCTGCCATCTATAAGCCATAACTTTAGTAAGTTATTTAACTTTCCTACGTCTTTGATTTCTCATACATAATAAAATAAATATTAGGAGGATTAGGTACAATCAGGTACATACAGTGCTGTGGTAAGCAGAATGTTAACATGGCCCCTATGACTTCTGTCCCCTGGTGTTACTTTCATGATTATGTTACTTTTATATGGCAAATGGGAGATTTTCCAGGCGTGCCTACTCTAATCATGTGAGCCCTTAAAAAGCAATGAATTTTCTCTGGCTCGCAGCAGAAGAGGAAGTTGGAGGCATGTGAGGTGCAGGAAGGATTCTAAGCAGTGGTGCTGGCTTTGAAGATGGAAGGCATTGTACCTCAATGAATGTGACTGGTTTCTAGAAGCTGAGAGTAGCCAGCCCCCAGCTGACAGCCAACAAGGAAACAGGGACCTTGGTTCTCCAACCACAGAAAATAGATTCTACCAACAAGAATGAGCTTGAAAGCAGATTCTTCCCTCGCACTTAAAGGTGAGTACTTTTAGCCTGGCCAACACCTTCATTTCAGCTTTTTGAGGTGCTAAGCATAGACAGCTAAGCCAGCTCCCCTATCCCAGACTTCTAACCTGAAAAATAATGGATGTTGGCTGGGCACAGTGGCTCATGTCTGTAATCCCAGCACTTTGGGAGGCTGAGGCTGGTGGATCTGCTGAGGTCAGGGGTTTGAGACCAGCCTGGCCAACATGGTGAAACCCCGTCTCTACTAAAAATAGAAAAAATTAGCTGGGCGTGGTGGCGGGCGCCTGTAATCCCAGATACTCGGGAGGCAGGCAGGAGAATCACTTGAACCTAGGAGGCAGAGGTTGCAGTGAGCCGAGATCGCACCATTGCACTCCAGCCTGGGCAACAAGGGTGAAACCCCATCTCAAAAATAATAATAATAATAATAATAATAATAATGATGGATGTTGAGTTAACAGTTGTTGCTTTAACTTGCAAAGTTTGTAGTAATTTGTTATGCAGCAGTAGAAAATTATTACAAGTGCTTACTGGTGTGTGACACATAGAAATCATTCACAAATTATATTATTAATAACTCATGGGCTCAAACAAGTCATTTTAACTTCCTTTGGTTTAGGTCTTTGATCTGTAAAATGAGGTTAGACTAGTTAAGTTACAAGTTCACTCTAAATTCCTAATAATTAATTTTTAGTCTCCTGCAACTATGGTGATACACCTTGATCCGGCATCTT
This sequence comes from Homo sapiens, assembly GCF_000001405.40. NCBI lineage: Eukaryota > Metazoa > Chordata > Mammalia > Primates > Hominidae > Homo > Homo sapiens. Next base: position 116,238,292 of record NC_000007.14, on the reverse strand, counting down.
CCATTCACCTCTCCAGATTCATTCTCCATGCCTCAGTACTCTGTGCTATTTCCCAGAAGGCTGATCCTTAAGGACTACACCTGTGGGATCCCTTGTCACTGGCAATGGGACAATGGGAGGTGCCAGCAGAAAATCAGAGTGATGAAGAATGAGGTCTGGGTATTTATCTCCTGGCTTTCTGTAAGTATACAAGGTGATAAAAAGGAAAATGATTCCTAACAACTTGGGGGTATGTGGAAGCAGGGGAAGGGGGTGCTGTGGGCTGAACTGTGTTTCCTCAAAGTCATATGCTGAAGCTCAAACTCCTAATGTGACTGTATTTGGAGCAGGGGCTTTTAAGAAGTAAAGTTAAAAGATGTCACAAGGTGAACGTCACAATCCATTGGAATAGGTGACCTTATAAGAAAAGGGAGAGAGATCTCTTCCTCTCCAGACACACACACACACACCCACACACACCAAGGAAAGGCCATGTGAGCACGTGGTGAGAAGGCAGCCGTCTGTAAGCCAGGAAGAGAGACCTCACCAGAACTCAACCATGTTGGCACCTGATCTCGAACTTTCCAGCCTCTAGAACTGGAAGAAAGTACATTTCTGTTTAAACTACCAGGTATGTGATATTTTGTTATGGCAGCCTGAAAAGACATACATGGGCAGGGAAGACTTCTCAGAGGTATTTCTTGAGCTGAGACTTTTTGTTTCCTAGTGGTGGGAGGTAGGGTTTTCCAGGCAGAGAACACCATGCAATAAGGCACAAAATTTCAGGGAATAGTATGTATCAAGCACTTGGATCATAGAGTGCTTGGAAGGGAAGTGGAAGAGGCTGGAAAAGCAAGCAGAGGCCAGATGTTAGGGTTTAATGTCAAAGGCCAAGAAATTTGCCTAAAAGAAGTCCAGTGGGAAACTACTGAGGGTTCTTAAGTCATCTGAAGTATGTAATAGTATCCATGTTCAAAAGACCATTCTTGTGATTGTGTGAGAGGCCAGACTAATAAAGAGGTAGAGAATAATTTAACTCTGATTTTTGAAATGTGCCCGATGGAGCCCTCAGGGTCCTAAGTCAAGGATCACCATGAAGCTGGAGGAGGAGGCTAAGTGGGCAGGGTCATGGGATCCCATGTCTACTTCACCCACATAAGTTCTGTGGCCCTAGACTAGACCTGGAATCTTTGTTACACTCAGGACAACTAGTCTAGAATATTTTACTTCAAAGACTGTACTGAAAGAGGCTACATAGGGAGGTCAAAGGCACCTGCTTCAGCTCTTTTAGCTATGGTGAAAAAGTCAGGGAATTATCAAGAATTCTGAGAGAAATGTGACTGGACCCATGCCAGGAAGATGTCAGAACTACTAAGAAATACCAATGGGGTGGACTGTTATCAACCCCAGCTGAATGACAGGCCATATGCAAAGTCCTAGACTATTATGGCTCTTAGATTTTCAGACTACACCCAGTTGATTAAATGAGTCTGTGTGATAAATTGAAATGTAAAAGGTTATTTTCATGCCATGGAGATCTGCTCTTGTCGGATATATTTTCATCTGAAAATATCGATTAAAATGATTAATATAGACATAACAAAAATGACTAACTTGCTTTAGAGAAAAGATGATATCTCTTAGGAATGAGCTTTAAAATCTCACGAGCGGTTTTTGGCAACTGCATAGCAGAACTAAAAAGAATGCAGGTTAAGTATCTCTTACCCAAAATGTTTCACAAGTAAAATAAAACAGAAGTGTATCAGATTTCAAATTTTTTTTAAATTTTGGAATATCTGCATAAACAATGAGATATCTTGGGGATAGGGCCCAAGTTTAAACATAAAATTAATTTCTGTTTCATATACAGCTTATGTACATAAGCTGATGGTAATTTTATACATATTTTAAATAATTTTGTACAAGACACAAAGGTTTGAATGCATTTTTGAATGCAACCTGTCACACGGTCAGGTATGTGAAATTTTCCACTTGTGGCATCGTGTTGACACTCAAGAAGTTTTGGTTTTGGAGCATTTTGGATTTTGGATTTTATGTATTATAAGATTGTAAGGTAAAAACTATGCCCAGGAGAGGGCAGTGCAGCCTTCTGTAAAGTTAACTAATAGGCCCAATAGAAAATAGTGTGAGCATTAAGAGCAGAGATGTTCTAATTCATGAAAACTATTTTGTGTTAAGTCACTTTACCTTTTTAAAACATGAGAGACATACTGCCACTTCTATGTCCCTTGAAGAGACAGCACAAGGGAGAGCTGCTTAAGTCTTGTAAAAAAAAATTCTGGAAAACTTTAGCTCCCTAAAACTGAAGAATTGTATCAAAACTGAAGAACTGTATCAGTTCTAGCAGGTTTCTACTGACTTTCCTATTTTAAACAATTATCTTTGTTTCTGAAAACTGATTCAATAAACTAGTTTTTAAAAGAGATTAATGTCTAAAATTTTATTTGTTTATATTCTCCTTTAATTTACACTGTACACATCTCCAAGAGCTGATGAAAGTATTCTAAACGGTTTCCTGTGGAAATCTGTAGTACAGAAGTGTTTCTCAAATGAGAGTCATCCTAACAAGGTAGCTGCCATCCTAAAACTGTATAGTTATCTTTATTTTTTTTTCCTGCTAATTCTAACTTTGAGCAGACTTGTGAATTACCACTATGGACTTGACAGTCATTCATAAGCACAGGTTTCAAATACTGATTTTAGATTTATATGATATGCAGTAGTACTTTCAAAACAACCTAAAGATAAGATCTATAGAAAATTCACATTTTTGACTCACTAACATTGTCTTGTGTATATATGCACTTCATTCAAACCAAGACACTACAATTAATTTTTTTCTTAAAAAAATTCAAGTGTTTCAATGGTTTTTCACTAGTAACTTTACAGCTAAAAATTTTAAAGAGATCTAAATTCAACTTCATTTCCTGATAACTAACATATACATGCTTGATTCAGTATTCATATTTGTTTACGGAAAATGTAGACATGAGATGTAAAGTTACCAATTTTTAAGAAGAGAATAATTAAATTATTAAACAGGGCCAGGCATGGTGGCTCACGCCTGTAATCCCAGCACTTTGGGAGGTTGAGGTGGGCTGATCACTTGAGGTCAGGAGTTTGAGACCAGCCTTGCCAACATGGCGAAACCCCATCTCTACTAAGAATACAAAAAAGAAAAATTAGCCAGGTGTCGTGGCACAAGCCTGTAATCTCAGCTATTCAGGAGGCTAAGGCAAGAGAATCGCTTGAACCAGGAAGCGGAGGTTGCAGTGAGCTGAGATCACACCACTGCACTCCAGTCTAGGTGACAGAATGAGACTTCGTCTCAAAAAAAAAGTAACAAATAAATTATTAAACAGTCCTGGAGGATTACCACAAACTTATTTACCACCAGAAAGATGATATATTCAGTATTTCAGGCTCGAAGGAAATCTTAAAGACAGCAAGCAAATCCAACAACTCTAAATAGTTATTATGGTCCAATTCACTAAGTCAAACTTAATGACAGTAAGACAGAACACTTTTTATGTTGTATTCATTTCTCAGAAAAGACAGTAACAGGTCTGCAACTTAGCAACCATGCTGGAGAACTCGAAGATATCTCCACTGTCTGAGGAAGTATTGCAAAAAGTATAAATTACTAATGTGGTTGCAGTTTTCAAAACAATACCTCCAGAAGTGCAGTTCGAATCCTTCACATTTTTCTTTGCATTTTAAACAAGGGGCTCCAAATCCTTGCTCGTGACCTAAGCCCATCTGTTAAAAAGAAAACATCATGAATCTGTTATTAGATTCTTTACAAATCTAAAAATTCAATAAATTGCACTTTTAATTCCACTTACCACTTGTGTTGAGATAACTTTCAAACAAATCTTATATTTAGTCAATGATGATACCCAGGTATGTACATGGCAGTTCCAAGTACATACATAACATATTTTATATTCTGATTGCTTTTTATCATGAAAAGAAAAGCATCAGAATATAACTGTATAGAAAACTACAAATATTGCAAATAACAAAAACTCATGAATTTATGTCTTTGGCCACTACTTGCCCCATAGTACAGCCCCATAGCACAATAGGTACAACACTCAGAAAACTATACCTTAAAAAGCAAGTCTCATCCTGAATAACATATTTTACATCAAACAAGGAATTAAAGATTTTAGGAATTACAACTGAAATATTATTTTTATTATGATAAATATTATTATAATAGCTACAATATACACTTATTGAATGCCAGTGCTATGGCTTTAATGTCCGTGCTCCTCCAAAATTCATGTTGCAACTTAATCCCCAATGTACCAATATTAAGAAGCTGGGCCTTTATGAAATGATTAGGCAGTTAGCAATGAGGGCTCCACCCTCATTGATGGGATTAGCCCCTGAGGGAGTGAGTTCCTCTCTTCCATCTCTTCTGAACCTTCCTCCATGTGAAGATGCAGCAACAAGGTGCCATCTTGGAAGCAGAAAGCAAGCCCACACTAGACACTGAGTCTGCCAGTGCCTTGATTTTGAACTTCCCAGCCTCCAGAACTTGACAAATAAATTTCTATTATTTATAAATTACCCAGTCTAAGGTATTTTGTTATGGCAGCAGGAATAGACTAAGACACAAGGAATAGAGGTAAGTACTTTACTTATATCTCATTAAAATCTTACAGAACTATATAAAATGCTTACAAAGTAGGCAATATGATTTGCCATTTTTGAAATGTTTTTGCTGAAACTCAGAGACTATGAAACTTGCTTAAGATCAAAATGTTAATAAATGGTAGAGATTTGAGTTCAAGTCTTTCTGACTCCAAGGCCTGTGCTCTTCTGCCTGAAGTTGTAGGGAGGCAAGGAGTGGAGAGCTGTATTATCACCCTTGCTATAGCAAACCCTTTTCTTCTTTACCATATTAAACAATAGTCTTTGAGAACTTGCTGAGACATGGCCTAATAAGTGGAAGGAGTGGGGTGCAGATGGCAGAAGGACACAAGGTTGTAATTAAGCTCTTTTACCCAACGACTGATATTGGAAAAAAAAGAGTAGCCAGCCTTACATCAGTACAGTGGCAAACCACCAGTAATCAGATTACTCTGTGTTTTAAATATCACATCAGTGACCATGAGGAATTAGTTACTGGTTAGTGCCTAGAGTAGCAGTTCAAGCTGGACAAGTAATAGGTATTTTTCAATGGCCCTCTTTTGTAACTTTACCAAGCTGTGTTTGTCACTATGCAATCAAAACCACATTGTAACTGGTTCCTTGAAAGATCAGTCTGACATGTCCTGAAGTTTAAGTGAAGCCTTTCCTTTTGTCCTAAAGAAAATGACCACATCCTTTTTCCATAATTAAGGCCATATTCAAACCCAACTGGTCCACACAGTTGCTTAGGAAAACCCACAATACTTTTAAGTTAGACCATATAAAGTATACTCTCTAAAGAATAAACAACTGTCCAGCATTAGCTAAGCTTTATCATCTTTGCCATGTCCATATTACCAATTTTCAAAAGAAATGAAAGTCTTTAAATTGTATATTTAGTGTCAACACTAAGCTTTTTTTTAAAGCAATTAAATTGTTTCCTTGTCACTGATGATCACAGTTCACACAGTATGGAAATAATGTAGGTTAAACAAAAGACAGAGGGAAACTTTTCTGGTCTTGTGTAATAAGCATAGTTACATGTTTTCTCCATTACAATATCCATAGTAAAATGAAAAGCAAATCCAAAAAAGTTTTCTTTTTCAGGCCCTTTCTAATTTTCCATTACAGAAGAGTTAGTTCTGAATGTGCCTGGAGTATGGATATGATTCATACTATGTTCATGCATCTCCTGCTAAATAAACTCTAATCCCAAATGAAAATTTTGATTACATTATTAAGGCTTAATCACATAGCTTAGCTTAAATCAGAGGCTTTTAAACTCTCTTTTATATAATTCACAACATGGAATAAATTTTACCTCATGACAAAGAACTTGCACATACACATACAAACTTACATGTGTGTATAAAATCCTGATATTTGTGGACAGATAATATCTAGAAATATGCTTCTGCCTCTAAATTAAATGGCCACTTAAATTCTTGCATGCCTTCAGATTGGAATTGCCTGGTCTGAACAACACTGGGCTTATAAAAGACTGCAAACATCCTGGAACAATACCATCTCATTCACTATTTCTGAATCCAACTTGAAAGTTCAGCAAATGTAACTAGAACCTCCATGAGTCAGCAGTTTTTACACTAAGGCTTTGGAGTAGCTCGCTACTGACTTACAAAGTCAACTTTGCAAAGGGGCAAGTTGTTTTCTCCTACCAACTTTTTATCTTTGTAAATCAAAAATAAAATTATAAACCCATGAAGCATCTGAATGGACCCCACCTCTTGGCCAAGGTCATTCCAAAGTGAGCCTGAAAAACTAGTTCAGGCCATGATAGGAAATGGGGAGCTGGGGGTGGGTGGGCGCTGCTTCACAGCTGACCAGCATTAGCAGAAACACAGAGACCTAAGACTGACAGAACAGACTCTGATAAGAAACATTGACAATCTATTCTCTCTGACACCTGCTACCAGGAGGCTTCATCTACATGATAAAACCTTGGTCCTTACAAGCCCCCTTATCATAACCCAGACATTCCTTTTTTTGGATTTCAGGTCTTTAGATAATAAGGCTTTCAACTAATCACCAATCAGAAAATCTGTGAATCTGCCCATGACCTGGAAGGACCGCCCCCCACCTCCAGTGGTCCTGTCTTTCCAGACTGAAGCAATGTACATCTTTCATGTATTGACGGATGTCTGTAATATGTATAAAACCAAGTTGTAGCCTGACCACCTTGGGCACATGTTCTCAGAGTCTCCTCAGGGCTGTGTCATAGGCCATTGATCACTCATATTTGGCTCAGAATAAGATCTTCAAATACTTTTACAGAGTTTGACACTTTTCATCAATATATTCTTAAAATAGCTATCATTTTATTTATTAGAATTACTAGAGCTGGTGGTATTTCATGAACTGCTGCTCTTTTAAAGTCTCCCACATATTCTTATTCTGGACAGGACTAGGCATCTCCCTCATGTAAGAGATCAGGAAAATAGAATCCAGAGAGGAGGGATAATTTGCTCCTGGTTGCACAGCTACTCAATAGCAAACCAGACCTAAAACTCAGCATCTGGCTCCTGCTCTACTGTTCTTTTGGGGCAGAGGACTAGCGTGTCAAATGGGAGCTCTTGTCTTCCAAAGAGTCACTAGCTAATTTCTGCCCCAAAGAAAAGAACTTTCTTTTCCAGAAACACTCTTGCACCATCTCTAAGTGTAGATGACTTTCTGAGAGCTTTAAAAAGGAAGACAAGATAAATAAGGAAGGCTGGGGAAGCTTCGCTGAAGGAGAGGTGCATGAATTACAATGGAAAGGCTGAGCAGTATCTAATTTGGCTCAGAGAAGTGCATTCAGGGCAGAGGAAACACCATACACAAGGCCTGTGGCAGAAGAGGGCAAAGGAAGAGCCAAAAAATTGTAAAGCACTTTCAGAGTGACAGGGCTGGCCTTGTAGCAGGCGGAGTACTTTGTTTTGTTTTCCTTTTCATTTTCCCAAGGAAGAAACTAAACCTCTTGAAGCATTCAATGCCATGTCTTAGGCTACCAGCTTAACAGAGGATGACATCCTCAGAGACAGGAGAGACTGGTAAAGAGGAAAGCCACAGGGCAACAGGGGAGGGTGAGGAGCAAGAGCACCTCTCAAGCTCTGCTAGCAGAAGCTCAGGAAGCCCTCACAGGGACCAGGAGACCAGGCCTTGGGAAAAGCAGTAACTTGAGAAATTGGCTCTGTAGGCCGCTCTGGAAAACCCAGAAAGTATTGTTCCAGGGTTCTTTTGCCCTTGGGACCTGCCTGGAAGGCCAACTTAATCTCTTTATGGACTCTTTCCAGTTAGATTTGTGACTGCCTGGAAAAAGTGCCCCTCTACCTTTCCAAACACAAACACTTTCATTTTCCCCACATGCTCAGACCTAAGTGTGAGGGAACTTTTAAACATCACAGACAGAGAGCAAGTAAGTGAAAGAGAGTGGAATGGGTCACGGCAATATGATACACTTTCTCCTACTATAACCCAATGGAAGCAGTCCTAATTAAAAACAAACACACACACCAAACACAAACAAAAATGACACCAAGTTTTCAAAATCACTTTTAGCAGCTAGAGAAATTAGAGTTTCAGACTGGCAATAAACTTGTTTTCCTGAGAACATTTCAGTAAGAAATTTATTTTATAGCTATAAGTATATAGCTACAAAACTTAAATCTCATTGATACCAGCACTGAAGATCTCTGACTTATGCCACATTATTGGGTGAGAACTTTTTCCATATTTTTATCCTCTTTATCAACCCTCTGTTAGGAAACAAAAACAATGCCTTTCCAAGAAAGAAGATACGTGATTCACACTCTAGCATTTTCCTTGTTTAGGATGTGCCTAGTTTCAGATTGAATTATAATTTAGAATGCAGTTGTTAAATCCAATTTATATTATAAAATTACACAGTAGCAGACATACCTCTACCAGTGTGAGGCAAATTTCTTCCAACTGAGGCATCTAATCATCTGCTATTCTCCCCTTCATAAGTCAAATGCATATCAGATGAAGGGAAGCATATGGACTCTAATCTGTGGTAAAAGGAGTTTCACAGCCAGAACTGCCCCAAGTACAGTTTCTTAGGGCCTATTTTGGGCAGAGTGTCACAAGAACTGAGGTTCCTCAACTCCTCTTGGTTTCAGTTCAAGGATTTGGAACCCCATCTACTCTAAGGGCTTCTCTAATTTCTCTCCATTATTCACTTTGTATTCAGGATTCCCTGAAGTCCAGGACCCAGAATTCTTCTCATCTCTTCTCTTTACCCTCAGCATAGACCACACCTTCTCCTTAGTGTTCTTCTCCTTTCCTGAAGAGCCAAGGCTATGACTATTCTTGGACATCCAAATCTTGTAGGTTAGTTTCTGCCTACAAGATGTCTACAGATGTCTGGGCTGGAGAACTCTTGGTGAGGGATATAAATAGGGAAGGTGTTATTTAATGATGCCCAGGGTGCGAGAGAGAGTGGCAGGGAGGAAGGTGAGCCCAGAGAGGCTTAGCTCCTCAGCTAAGGCGAACTAGCTGTTTAGAAAGTGAAATCTAGACCCTTGGACAAATATAACCAAGATAGGTGTACCTGTATGTCATATCTATGTTGTGAGAATTACCAAATATTAAGGAAATGATTATATATATATATATATATATATATATATATATATAGTTATAGATACTAGAGAGCTAACGGGGAACTTTGAAAATGTAGAAAGATCCCTGGAGGAGAGTCAGGAAACCTGTGTTCTGGTCACAGAGTGTCACTGGCGTGTTCAGGGATTTTGAAAGTGATCTTTCTTCTTTAGGCTTCATCTAGATAATGAGGAAATTAAACTAGATTGGCTCCAAGATACCTTTTAATTTTATTGCAAATCATGTGTCAGATTAACTGTGTCTTAGTTTGGTTATTATTCAGCATGGTCATCTGCTCAAAGTTTAATCACTAAATAGAAAATAATTATTTGAAAAAGCTAATATATTAATGACTCTCAGAAGTCAGAATCACTTGTAACTCTGGTGGAGTAGTTTTATAAAGTATGCATAGGAAACAAAAGACTTAAGCTGTGAATGATAAAACTCAGTCCTGTTGCACGTAATTATTTTAACATAATTTCAACAGTAAATGTGATACGGTATTCCCTGCAGACTCAACACTTAGTGCCTAAAAACACATGTTTTTCATAAGCGCACAAGTCTCAAAGCTGTCTACTTCATATAATTTTAGTAACACATTCTGGCCAGCATCAATAAAAGGATATGACAGAATAATTTTTCTTCTTCAGCGTCCAAGAAAACAGGTCCTTTGGATTGACTATATTGGGAGAAATTACAGTCAGGCTTTGGGACTATCTATCAAGGTCCTAAGAAAAAAATAAAAGTGACTACATAATTTTACTGTGAAACACGAATCATAGACAAATAGGTCTTAAGTATCTTTAACTGCAGGCTCCATAAACTGAATTTACATTCCCATGATCTGTGCCTCCAAACACCCTTTTATCCCCTGCTTATTTTAGAATAAGAAATGGGAATGGAATCAATGTATCCATATTCATAATTTTCAGCAGTCGAATAGGTTGGCAACATTTCAGGTGACCCTTCTGACCCAGAAAAAGGTACTGCATGTCAGATACTTAAAAAAAAACAAAAAAAAAAAAACAAAAAAAAGACTATGGAACATCTGGTATTTCAAACATGGTCTGAGTTGATCTGGAGACAATTTGGGTCTGGAAGATATTATGCAGTATTCAGGGTGAGATCATCTGATTCATGCTGTTTTCATAACCAAATTTCCCTCTGGAGTAAAGAATCCTATGTGGTTACTAAACAAGCATTACTAAGACTTCTTTAATAATATTGGAATGAAGGTAGATCATATGAAATATACATCTCTCTCTCCCACTCCCGCTTTCTCAGTGTGTGTGTGCATGCATGTTTATCCACCTATCATATATACACACACATATGCATGTATATATACACACACATATATTCATATTACACTCCTAAAGAAGCATTTTAGATTTTGTTCATCCAGATAAATATTCTGGACAAAGGAACTACATATCTAAATAATTCCTCTTAGCAAATGGCTCTCTTAGAAATCCAGTGTGATCTGTGAAGTCCCCCACCCAATCAATATATTTTTATTAAGATCTGACACAAGATTTAAAATTTGAACGTTTTAGTTCATTGCCTGTTTCCAAATCTCTAACAAGATTTGCATTACCAAAAAAGTGTAGGTTGGCCAGACACGGTGGCTCATGCCTGTAATCCCAGCAATTTGGGAGGCTGAGGCGGGTGGATCATGAGGTCAAGAGTTCAAGACCAGCCTGGCCAAGATGGTGAAACCCCGTTTCTACTAAAAAAAAAAAATACAAAAAATAGCCGGGCGCGGTGATAGATGCCTGTAATCCCAGCTACTCGGGAGGCTGAGGCAGGAGAATCGCTTGAACTCAGGGGACAGAGGTTGCAGTGAGCTGAGATCACGCCATGCACTCCAGCCTGGGTGACAGAGTGAGACTCCATCTCCAATAAATAAATAAATAAATAAATAAATAAATAAATAAATAAATAAAATAAAAAGTGTAGGTTACACAGAAAACCAAACTTAAATATAAAAATAGTTGCACATTTTATTAGTTTGCCAACTTTCTTAGGTAAGAATACAAAGAACTAGTGTGATTAAGAGCTACAATTAGTCATTCTTAATAAATCTGCTACATTTCTCTTTCTTTGCTAATAAAAACAAAAACTTCCCATCTCTCACTTACTCAAGGCTGAAATACATGAGAAGAAGACTGAAGACAAAGTTGTCACCACCCACTTGGTCACCCAACCTGGGGCCCAGAGGCCTCCTTGTCCTTGTCTAGCCATGCTTACGATGCTCCAAATTCTAGTGTCTCTTTTCTAAAAACCACACAGTCTGCTCCCTCATCTGCACTCGAGTGTTCATGTTCAAACTCACATCATATCATCCTGAGACCACACTCTCCTAACTGATCATTTTGTATGACGTTGTATTGCTATTCTCAAAATTATTTTAATAAACCTAAAGATAATCATAACACTCCCCTTGCTAGATGGTTTTAATAAGTTCAATGAATTTCACTTTTCTTAGCATGCAAAGAAGATCCTTTAAAGCCTGGCGCCACCTGCCTTCCTCACACCACTCCCCTCCAGCCGCTCTCTGTTTTAAGCGGAGCTTTTCACTTTGCTTGAACCTCTGCTCCTCTTCTTCTCCATCTGCCAAAGTCGTTGTCTCTACTGGGCCCACAGACTCAATTCTAATGTCAGTAACTCTGTGATACCTTTCTTTAACTATCCCCTTGGCACAAATTGTGTTATTAAGTCCTTCCTTACTATATTATGATTGTGTGCACATCAATTTACCCCCATTAGATTGTGAGCTTCTTGTTCATATTTGAACTCCTAGTACCTGCCAGTGTCTGAGATTTACAATAGTGCTAGAAAGTTTTATTTATTTAATTGTTTTAATTATCAAACAATCTTTATCATAACATATCTTTATCCCAAGGAACTTCCACTGCCTTTTTACACACACACAAAAAGACACTGGAAGGGGTGGTGATAATAAAAGCAGCAGCTGATTTTTATTGAGCACTTACACTGCCATGCAGGGTTCTAAGTATTTTACATGGATTATCTCATTTTAACCTCATAACAATCTTATGAGAGTCTGAGATACTATTACTACCCACATTTTTATCCACATGAAGAAACTGGGACAGAGCTGTGACTGCTCCTAACCAATAAATAGTGCCTCAAGATAGGTCATAAAATGGAACGCCCTGATAAAGAAGCCCTATTTCCTAAATCAGTTTTAAAAATAGAATGTAATGGAATTTTTAACTGAAGACCAAATATTATAGCTCAAGAATAGAATAATCAGTTAAGGGTCTTTAGTTGTCAACATGGCTCATCCATAAGGAAACAGGAATAAAACTATTTACTGCAGATTCTAGGATTCATTTCCACATCCCCTCACCTTTTCAGCTTAGATGTATAAAGCCAGAAGCCCTGTATGCATCTCTATCACAAAATCCACTGTAAGCCAAATGGTCAGAAATCTTTTTTGTTCACAGACAGCAGTAAATAATCACATAGACTATTATGTTAGGAATGAAAAGGAAACAAGTGTTCTTTCTGCCTAAATATTTTGTAATAAAATATATTCTGGAGGTAGTACGTCAAGTTTTCTGGGACTTTAACAAATTAAAGTGGATGATTCCTACTCAATCTATCCCTACATTTCTTAAGGCAGTAACAGTATTAAGTTAATGACAAAGGTATTGTCATCAAGACAATTTCTCTACTTGAGTTTGAGATGTAATCAAGTTGTAGCTGATTACTCAAAACATCTATACCTCAATACATACAGTAACATATTTGAAGAAGAGCAGAAATAGATCCTGCTACATTCTAGGAAACAATAATAAATTTTAGTTTTGGCAGGATATGTTGAAGTGTTTTTAACTATACTTTAAAAAATGAGCACTGAGGGTTGTGATGGTGGAAGTGTTAGTAAAAACACCTCAACCACCGTTTGTTAAAATGTTACTACCTGCCAGCTAAAATACATATAACCATCACATTTAATCCCCAACAACCTATTGGAAAAGTATTATCATCCCTATTTCATAAAAAGGAAATTGAGACTTGGAGAAATTAACTTGCCTAAGACTACCCAACTAGCAAGTGGCAGAAGTGAGATTTGCATCTTGGCATTTCTCACTCAAACTCTATGCACTCACTACAAAGTCACTGTTTTTTTTTCCCTCCAAACTGAAACTAAAAAGGTAAATAGTAATGTAAAGGGTAATATTCCTCTTCTGTAACTTCTCTAGAGTAATCAATTTTGATCTTAAAGACTGCTCATTGTTTGCTAGGCAGGAATTCCTCCATCCTAGGCAAAACCTGGGACTTATTATGAGGAAGCTGAATGTCTGCACATCAGCTACACTAACATGGAAGTCCCCGAGGTGATAAATTCACACACAAGGGGATCCTCAGAAGAATGAGGTGTGAGTCAACAAAAATCTCCAGGGTCCTGACGCAAAATAGGTCTCTTTCAATGTTACAGCAAGAGAAAAAAAAAATTAAAAGAATGAGCAAGAAATACAAATGAACAAATTATATTTCAAAATTGAAAGGTGTTTACTCAAAACATGTAGACACGACTAGTACTAAAAATTATCTGCTATATTATATGTAAGATTACATACATTATGCAGTACTCAGGGCAATGAAGCAAAATATCATTCTTTTCAAATTTTTCAAATCACTGAATTTCTAGATTCATAATGGAACACCTCTGTATTCGCTGCAAACTACCCCAAAACTTAGGGTTTGAAAATACGATTTATCATGTCATAGTTTGTGTGTGTCAGGAATTTGGAAGTGGCTTAGGTAGATGGGCAGGTTTACGGTCTCTTACAAGTTTGCAATCGGGGTCAGCTGGGCTGCAAGGATCGACTAGGGAGAGACCCACTTCTAAGATTTCTCACATGGGCCTGCCCACATGGGTACCTCAGGACATGGTAGCTGGTTCTCCCCAGGGCAAGTGATCCCAGAGAGAGCAAGAGAACCACAAGATAGAAGCTGTAATCCCTAATCTCGGAAGTGATGCCATTGCTTCTGCCACATTTCATTTTTTGGCAACTGATCAGGCTAGCCTGCATTCAATGGCAGGGCAATATGTAAGGGTGTGACTACTAGTAGGTGGGAGTAATTGGGAACCATCTTAGATGCTGCCTACTATATCCTCTTTTCTGTTTTGATTTTAAATCCAAAGACTAAGTGATTTGTGACGAGACAGACATATTATAAAGGGGAACAGGGGTATATGGGGTACTTATCTACCACTTCTCTTTATTTTGCCCATTTCAAATATTTAAATTCTCTTCACCCAATGGGCATCTAAAGCAGAACTTTGTTCCTTCCTCATTAATACTTATTCCCTTCAATTTGTTAGTTGTTCACTCAGTAAGAACCAGGAAATGATCTTTCAGAAGACAGGGTAGAATATGATTTTTAGCCTCTAAGTCTCATTTTCTTTCTCAATATATAGTTACACACACTTGGGTACACACACATACACACACACTTGTGTTACAGAAGACAGCTGCAAACCAGATTATTAAAATACCAAATATACTTGGGAGAAAATTTTCGCAATGTTTATATTATGCCACAGTCATCCTTAAAGAACACAGAATAAAAATTGGAAAAGATTTACATAAACTTTTAAATTCCATTATATAAATCCACCTGGAGATGGAATTAAGTAAAAGAAAATAAATTTCAGTACCTCCATGTGACATCAGGAGCCAAAATTACTTGATTCAAATTAGGTAGTATTTACAGTTAGCAGTTCCTTCCCTCACAGTACTACTTATCTATTTGAAACTTAATATGTAACCTTACAATATTATTAGGAGCGAAATTTAGGCCCCCCTTTTAAAAAATAAAAAAGGTTTGTACTTATTTCAGGTAAGCGACTGATGAAAATATATTCCATCTGATCAGTTTAAGCTGGTTCCTTATAAACATTTTTCAAACGGACTGCTATCAAATTATTTTTATACTACTGTATGAAGGAAGTCATTTGAAATGCTTACCAATAGAATACCTCTTCTGTGGACTCTACTCAGAAAAGGACTCCTCCTGAATCCGTTACTTTGAGAAAGACAATGTAGGGCTATAAAAATGTCACAATTATTATAATAAGCAATGACTGCAGCTGAAATTGCTTCTTAATTAGGATTGGCTGAGCTCTGGCTCCGCTGAAAGACACTGTAATGGAATGCGCTCATAAACAGCCCTCAAAACCTCCTATTTATTTGCTATAAAAGGGACTTTAAAAACCTGATTCCAAAACGCATCTGTAGGAGTTCCATAAAAGAATCTGGATCATGGCAACCATTCCTAATTTGGTCTTGTGTCACTATCTCCACAGCTGCTTCTAAAGGGTGGATCCCACAGAGAGCTGCTTTGAGAGGTCTTAATTAAGGCTCTTTATCCCCAAACTTGAATACTGCGATCATTCTTGCGATGCCTAAAGGCTATGGTATTATTTCTTCAGGGGTAACCCATCATAATACATGGGTGAGGGGATGAGTAGATTGACTGTACAATTAAGTGATTTATTGCCACTAATTCTTTAACTATCTAACTGGAGCACATGCAGAAAAAGACGGCAGTACAGATGTGTTTTCACAGACTGGAGAATGAAAGAAAAGGCTCATGGCATTGGCTGAGGGCTTCACTGAAGGAGGCTGCCCAGAGGAGCAGGAGGATCCAAGGAAACCTAGAGAGTAATGCCCAACAGAGACAGCAAAGAAAACAGAAAAGGGGGTGCAAAAAGACAGTCTTCTCGTTTTTCTCTTTTGCCCCAAATTAGCATTCACAGGCATTTAGAACAAAAACAAAGTCTTATAGCAAGGAGAGGGGTCTTGGAAACCAGGAAAGGAAGGGAGAGATGTAAGAACCCTACTGCCAGGTCCTCATGCTTGCTTATTTATTTATTGCATACCCTTTTCACACCATCCCTTATTCTGGAAAAAAAAGAATTCTGTTTATTGATATGTTGTGCTGCATAAATCAAAGAGCCTTAACTAATTTTTGACCCATGTTTTAACTTTTGATGTATCAGAGAAGTGGTTTGGATTACCATACTTTTTGCTCTATATTTAGACTATACCACTAAAGAAGGTGCACAGACATCATTTAAAATTTGTCTAGTGATTCAAGGAAATCAGACAATTTTCAAAATATGCATATACCACCTATTTACAACTAAGATAAAATTGCAGTTGCATGTTAATTTAATTTTCCTTCACTTTAATGGAACAACAAGCACAAAAATCAAAATCAGATTCGTCTAGAGCAGAAAGTGGGCTCAATCTTAAGCCACCAATGAAATTAGAGCAGTTTCAGTACATTGATTCTTGATTCTTTCAGATGTACAGAGGAATATGAGAGTAATTCAGAGTGGGGACAGTCTTCTGTAAGACTCCTTCCACAGCTTTCACTGTGGGAAGCTGTGAAGACTTAAATCCCAGCAACAGAGCAATAGAAGCAAGCAAGGTCTCTTGAGGTCCAAGCTTAGGATTCACACACCACTTCTACCACATTCTACTGATCCAAGTAAGTCAGAAAGCAGTCCAGATTCAAAGGGAAGGAAAACAGACTCCACTTTTTAATGGGAGGTGCTGCAAAGAATAGTAACCATTTCTGTAATTTACCTCAGAAACTCTGAGGAAGATTCCAATCAGGGAAACATACCAATTCCCTATACGGGACCACAATACGTTGCAGTGTTCAATCAAGTGCTTTCTCAGGGAACCTAATATACCCAGCTTTGAATCCTTTGCATAGCGATTGGCACATGGTAGGTACTCAAGTTCCAGAAATATTTATAAATTTTAATTTCATTATAAAAATATAAATCAGAATAATTTTTAAATTAGCAAAAGGATACATTAAATATATTAAATTTTTAAATTAGCAAAAGGATATATTAAATCCAGTAATTTAATATATCCCCCAGTTATCGAACTTTAAATGGATATTTGTGTCCAACAAAGTACCAAGTGGCAATAATTTACTGAGAGCATGCCATCATAAAATTCTTGACAATATATTCAGGTGTCTGTTAAATAGCATGAAGATCTATGCAGGATTTTCTTCCCTCTAGATTGAATTTCTTGAAGAGGATTACCACACATTTGTTTATTGTCTATGTGTAGGCACCATACTTTGTGCTTTAAGATATTCATCTCGATTATCCTTACAACCCTGTGAGGTAGACAGTTGAAACCCATTTTCAGATGAGGATACTAAGGTTTACAGGGCTAAGTAGCTTTCCCAAATTCACACAGCTAATAAACGCCAGGGCCAAAAACTGAACCCAGGGTTCTAAAGCTGATACCCAACTTTAATGCAGTTCTGGTTCTCAAAATGTTTACTTATTGGTACTAAGGTCTAACTAACTAAACAAAACTGATCAGAGAACATTAATAACACTGACCAGGTACTTGCTATATGTCAGGCACTGTTCTAAACATTTACATGTACTACTTTATTTAATTTCACAATAATCCAATAAAGAAGTACTATCCATGTTTTGCAGATTAGATCTCTGAAACCAAGGAGCAACTGTTGCCAAATTACTGAGTAAATATCAAAGGTGGGATCCAAATCTATGTCTGGAAAAGTCAAAGTCTGCGCTGCTTCCTTTAAATTCCCTAACTGTTAGAGAAAAGTGGGCAACAGTGGTCCACAGGATGATCCTACCCTCTGGCTTAATTTTATCTGGTCCATGAGAAAGTAACAATGAATAACATCACTACTGGTTTACCTGGGACATCTTAAAAGAGCTGTGGAGTTAGGCCACTGAAATCTGTCTTGCCTCTTTTTACCTTTAAATTCTGCCAATTATCTTGGGATAACCTTCTATTCCATTACCAAAGATAGAGTCTAACACATATTATTGGAATGTTCACAGAATATATTTTCCATTTGTTGCAGTATATAAAAGGTAATATTTTGTAATTCCCCTTCAAAACCTTAGGCAACTTGCCATTTCCCAAAGAAATGAGTTTTACATGTCTTCGTTTAACACGGAAGTCACATGACCCGGCTGGAATGAATTTGGAGAGGCCTATGTTTCAAAGCTAACAGAAGAGTGACCAGATTAAAAAAAGGAAACCCTAAATATCAAGTAAGGGATACTGCAAAGTTAACTTTCCTCTACAGTTTTTCAGAATGACCAAAAACTACTCTGCTTTGAAACGTGTAGTCTGATACCATACAGAATATCATCTCAGAATACTCTTGATACATGAAAGATCTTCAGAAAAGTATCCTCAAGCCCCTACATTCAACTGTCCCTCTATAGCACACGTGGTAGACTGAAGTAATGGTCCCAATCCTTCATTCCCACGTAATAGTATTCAACATCATATCCCTGCCCTAGCCTCATAGTTGCTAGACTGGACTTCTCTCCTTGACTTCAGAACTGGACATGTGACTGCTTTGGCATAAGAAGAGGCTTAAAAGGTGCTCCTGCAGTTGGGCATGACCTTTACTGTTGGCTTCACTGATCTAAGAAGGATGAAAACCTGGCAACATTGTGGTCCCAGTCCACAGCTCAGAGTCCAGACCAGCCTAAATGAGCTAGACTCTACTGTGAAATTTCCTCCTCTCTCTCAATAGATGACACAATGTATTAAATAATCATCACAGTTAAGGGAGATCAGAAACTCTTCAGCTGTGGGCTAGGGTCTTATACTAGCTCAGTGACATACCTCTTTAATTCAAACCTGTACTGTGGAAAAATTACAAATTACTGCAGCTCATCTACTTTAGCTTTATTTTAGAAGAGACAAAACTGAAAATGTCAAGGGTGGTTTTACTGACTTTTCACAGCCAGGTACCTTTGGTTCATGCTATTTCCTCTTTATGGAATGCTTTCTTTGCCTAATGAAAGCTTCTTTATTCTATAGGAGGTGTTTCCTTGATAAAATAATCGCAACCCACACAATTAAAGTTAGTTACTTCTGCTTCTAAGACTTCATAACAGTTGTTTGTATTTCTATTATTGCTGTGCTACTCAAAGTGGCAGTTCACAAAGTGTAAGTCACTAGTCTGTGATGAGATAGGCAGAGAAACTGACAGTAGGCAATTAGGAACTACTATATACTTAAAGTAATTTTGTGTCTCTTGCATTTAATAATTTTTTTAATTGGCCCTGTATTTGTCTTTTAAGTAATAAATTTTTATTGTGTTTTTAAAAATATCAACCAATGATTAATTTTTGTTTATAAAAAGGTTCCTCATCCCAGATAAGAAATTGTATTATAGCACTTATGTCATTCTATCCAGCACTGTAGTTAACTTACACATCTGTTTTGCTCACTCATCTTCCTTCCTTTTTTAAAAAAAAATCTATCAAAGGTGACATCGGTATTTTGCTCAAGAGGTGATACTGATAGATATGGAGTTTAGAGTCTGTAGTTTTAAATCTAAACTGCACTTTTAATATTCTCTACGAAAAACAAAGGGTAATTTTTTTAACCCCCAGTTATTTTTATTGTAGGCCAGTATCTCATAAAGGAAAAATCAGATCCTTGATCCTTACTTTGTGACTCATTCTGTTAAGACTGTCACGTTGTGGTCATATAAAAACAAAAATCCACCTAACATCTACATGGTCATTTTTCAATGAAACATGATATCACTTTATCATCAAACAAAGCAAGGGAAAAGTTCATTGTGGCTAGAGATGCATTAATGGACTCCTTATCAAGGCATTTCTGCTGGGCTGAATGCCATCTTTTCTGCTGGGCTCGCTGCTCAGATAAGCTATGCAATGAACACCCTGAAACTCCTGTTTACAGCTTTTCACAGTGGCCAGAATGTCACAATGATAAACACAAGCTGAATCACTCATGGTTTGAGGATAATTCAGCATTTCAGATTAAGTATATTTACAGAGTAGTAACTTTGCTGTCATTCAGCAGATGAGATCTCAGCAATCCCCACTAGGCTGGCTTCTAATAACGCTCTCCCACTTTAAGCCATGCTCAAATCTGAGCCGACTCCCCACCATTCTAACAGACTAAGGAACAGAGAAATTGGCAATTCTAAACTATGCTTTTTTACTTTTTTGAATTTGACCAAAATAAATACAGTGATACTTAGAAAATTATAGTCATGCATATCCTTATCGCTCTAATTCCCCATTATCTAACTAGAATGTTAGGTAGACAGGGCACTTAGAACTGAAAATTGACAAAACCATGCTAAATGGCAGCTCTTTTGTAGGAGAGTCAAAGATTGTAGTTGGGCAGTTGAAAAGCATAACCTCTAAATTTAATCCTCTAATAGTGCTTGAGGCAAATTTTAAACATGGATATTTACTCAAAGAACAGTAGTGAAGTTATCAATTACCAAATTATTTTTCTTTAAAATCCTGAAAATCTGCAGTTTTGCAATGTTTTTGATTAGTCTTTTGTTTCCTTATCTTCCTCTCCTAGAAAAAGTTGATTTCATAATTAATAATATAATTTCTCTGGATACCACCACCTTGTAAAAAGTAAAATAATTTCCTGTATATTAATGATTTAATAAACAATTCTTTTAAAATCATAATTTTGGTTACCATGGCAGTAGTTACCAAACAAAAATTAGCTATGACTGCAAACAGGAAATCCAAGAATGACTCTTTTGTAAGGCATTTGTAGGCAGGGAGAAGACTTATAGTTTGTGTATATTATAGGTGTAAGTCTATTTGTATAGCTTTATGCATTCATAATCTTTTTCACATTCTAATACATAAAAGCTGCTTTCTCATTTTCCCATCTTTTACATTTGCTATTACTTAAGACAAATGAAATAAGAATCCCTAATTACAAAGTTTGCAAAACCAAGAATCAAGCCCAGGGATCACCATCAAAATTGCTCACTGTCTGTGTTAGAAACATAGCGTACTGCTAACCTATCAAGAGTTCACTGACGGGTATAATTCCAGTTGTGCTTACTTTCAATATTTACATTGCTCTATCAACACTTGCAATAGCATAATTCTATGATACAAGCTTAAGTTCAGTGTCATTCTTGTTCACAACTATAACCCCAGAGTCTAGAACAGTGCATGGTACGTAAAAAAGCACTCATATAGTTTTTTTTTAATCTTTTAAAATTATTTTAACAGCCTTATTTTGAGAGAGATAACTTTTAAAGAAAATAAATGTTCCATTATTTTTCATTTTCCCATAATTAAATACCAAGGTAAGTAATACATCACTCCTAGACTTATGGGACCCACACTATTACAGCCTTCAGAGCCTTATACTACAGATTTAAATTAATTAAACTTAACCTAATATCTTCAAATACCTCCACAAATATTATGAAAATTAAGTACAAACAAGTTGAAAATAGCTAAGATTTGTGGAAAAAAATTATTTGGTTCAATCTATAGGTTCTTCATGGAATTCACTAACATTTAAACTATGCCATCTCCTTTATGTATATATTTATACATATATGTTCTTCATTTGTGTGATTTTAAAGCACTGTGGAACATTACACATGGTAGACTACTGATATTATTTCCCACGATCAAAGAGTCACAGGACTTGGAGAAACCTCAGAAATCATCTGGTTCCCCTACTGATTTTTATATAAATAGAAATTGATAGCCAAAGTGGTTAATATCACAAAAAATAGTGGACTCGGATCTACCAACTCTCAGCTTAGGGCAATTTTAAATATATTATACTGATAAATGGAAGTGAGAAAACGGATACACTATGGAAGACCTTTCCATACACTATAGATGTTTATATATACTGGAGACTTACTGACCTTTCCTAATTTCTAAACACACTAGTGATTGGTATGTAAAAAAGGTATATACACATTAGCATGGGGCCAACTTGTATTCCTTCTTCTAGTTCTCAGAAAAAGAACACAGGAAGTAGCTTCCATGTTACCAATTTATCACTCTCTTTCCACTAAGAAAGCCCCTCTTGGTAACTCGTGTTGCACACTGATGGTCTATGATGTTGATCGCATGCTAACAATGCTGGATGTCACTCTGGAGCTCCATGAGAGCCTCATGAAATATCTGATCATTTTGGTGTTTCCCACAGCTTCTCAGCTTCATAAGAAATGTTTTTGCATGAAGAATGGGAAATTAAAACAAAAAAATAGTTCTCCCAATATTAAGAGGTTTTTTGTTTGTTTTTTGTTTCTTTTTAGCTGCTCCATTCTTAGCTGTCTGGTCTGCCACTCCAGAGGCACTCTGAACACTTTGCTACAAGGGAAAAGAGGTTTAGCCTACTCATGCTATGTGTAAGGCTTTCTCTCAACTGCAGAGCTCAACACGAGAAAAGACCACGAGCATCCCTTTATAGTTCCAGATGCCATTGGTTAAACTTAACAAAACAAAGAGCCAAATACAGGGTCACTGTTACCTAGGGCCATTTTACATAGTTAGGAGACAGCATTACCATTGGCTCACACCAAAAGTCAGGAAGTTGGGAGAATCTTAGAAGATAAGGTACAGAATATTATTGGAGTTTATGCTATTTCTTTGACTGTAGAAGTTTCCCAGAAACTCCTTTTCACAATACTTTTACTTTTCGTATACTTTGCCTCTGCCCAAAGAATGTCAATGGCAACTTACACTAAAGGGAATACATACAACATGGACAAAGTAGAAACAAAATATAGAAAACTAGCAGGATGGTGATTTTATTGGAATATAAACCACTTCCTCAAATATAATTCCTTTAAAAAATGAGTGAAAGTGTTGAAATGTACCTTATTTTATTTCTCTTTTTATAACAGTTATCATTCCACATATATTTAGTGAGCAAGATGAAGAATATAAGACTCGGCCTAGTTGGCATGATGGAAGCAGCATGGATTCTTCAAATTATGGTTCAAGTTCATAGTAAAGTTCTCTATAGTAAGGTTTCAGATTACGCTATCTAAACTTTTAGTTTCTTCATCCTGAAAATGGGGCTAAGGCCTACTTCCTAAGGTTGCTTTGAACAGCAAACAAAATAACCACGTAAGTGTAACAGGATATGGATTCATCTCTCAAGAAGTTTGTAAGCAAGGTAAGAAGGTGAAACATACAACAGATAAGTATAATCCAGAGGTGGAGAGTGATTAGTGTCCTAAGTGTTACCAATAACATGTTTTGGGAATTCAGGAGAAAAGGAGAAAATATTTTTCATCTAGGTGGCAGCATGGAGAAAGATTTCCTAGAGGAGTGTGCAGTGTGAAGGGTTGGTCCTTGAAGGATGGAAAAAATTTAGAACTGTAGATGGAGTATGGGCATGCACAAGCAAAGTCATAGGGTGAGTTGATGGGACATAGGTAATAGCCAGTAGCAATATAAATTCCTATTTCTACTTCATAGGACAGCATAAAGGAACAGAATCAATAGAAAACCTACTATAGTTTTTTTCTCCAACCAATATTCAGGACAATTAAGAGAAAGGGACTTTTCATATTCTACCAATGTAATGAATCACACCATGGGTTAGAATAGTTTTATAAAAGCCTGGCCGAGGACCACTCATTTTCTTCTGCACTTGTTCAGAGAGGCAGAACACCTCTAAAGCAAAGCCCTGGATGTGCCTTGCCCTACCTTTACCCTTAGTCTTGCCAATGGTTCTTGCAGCAAGAATGGCTTCAAGCCTGGAATGCAATTGTAGATTTGAGCATCCAGGTCACCATATATTGCCTTTTCCACTTCAACCAGGGGCTACCTAAGGCAAATAACTCATTCTAATTTCCAATGGAAATAATCTTTGTAGTTTAGTCCTTTTTCCAATAGTATTCATTTGGTTTCACTATGCTTTTTTGGCTAATGACAAAGGTTTTGAAAACAAGTTTGGATACAGAGAAAGGGGATTTTTAGTAACATGTAATCTTTAAAATGCATCATATTTTTAAAAAGTAAAATTAAAGAAATAAGAGTCTTAAGAAAAGTATGCAAAATATTAGGATTAATCAAAATAAAGGGGTTAGAGGAGAGAAAAAATGAACACGGTAAAATGAAAAAGCCCTGCAGCAATTCCAGGCAGTAAAAGGGAAATTATTGTAGTTCTCTTTCTCTGTTGGTATGTTCTTAATTGAAAAAAAATATTTCTCATGGGAGAGTAACACAGAAAGGAAAGAGGAAAACAGCTGGCTGTTGGCCATGATTTACCATTCACCGCAAAATGAGACTGTTTCTGCTTCTCAAAGTCCACTGTTTTTCCCAAGCAGACATGGACCATACTGACACAAAGCCAATTAAGATGAGACTTAAAAAATAAGAAAGAGGTCTAGATGTGTAACTCAGAAGACAGGGCAAGGACATAGAATCAATTCTGTTCTAAAGTATTATTAAAACAAAAACTTTGTATAACCAAACTAGCTCCCACATCCTAGCAACAGCTCGCTTTCTTCAAACAAAACAAAATATAGCAAAATCTAATTATAAAAACCCCTTGTCTTTGTGATGGTGGGTTTTAACTGGTAATTAATCCCAATTTGTACAACTGATGTGGACGAGCTTTCCTTTTACAAACCAAGAATTTTATAATAGTATCATCTATCTCAATCACTGTTTAATAAAGACAGTCCTCCTTAATTCTTTTTACATGAAATGTTAATGTGGAACAATGATGCTTTTCATCTGTCTGGAAGAAATTCCTCATGAAATCAACAATGTAAAAGTTTTAGAAGGAAAAAATGTCATACATCTTAAAACAGAAGTCATATTAGTTGTATTTAAATGGTTGTATCTTTGTTCCAACTTTTAATCTTCCTTTTCTCAAGGTACATTCAAACTATAAATTTTCTTGAATAACTGAGTCAAAAAGAAAGGAGACTTGAAAACTAGGTACCAAAATAGGGTGAGGACTCTGCTGGTAAATCAGATAGTCTTGTAATATTTCCTTCTTTGGACGTGTTAGAAAACAATTGCTAAAAGGAACATAAATTTCTTTTTGAGAGTATGGCTAAGATTGTGAAATACATTCCTGAGATTTCCAAATTTTGTACTGGGAAACTTTTTGTTAGACTATCAAGCCTATTAAGGGACTCACAAATTGGAGTCATACGGGACATCTCTGCGGTTTTTTAATAGCTTCCAATTTACCAGTTGAGGATTCTAAGAATCATCAGTGAAGACAACGTAGTGAAACAGGGATTTGTTATATCATGGGATTCTCTCTAAAACCTTTAATTTATGGAATTCTTTCTGGGGTGGTAGAGGCGGAGAAGAGGAGGATTAGAGAAAGTTAAGATTCTTGGTTGAAAATATAACTTTTAAAAGTAAAGTGGGGGATAAACGAGGAAAATTACACCATATGTCAAGGGCATTATTTATCATAATCCACATTTTCAAACTCTAAGGAAATTGTTTATAAACAACGTCTGGATTTTTCCTTTGCAAGCATATACAATTTTTAAGTTTGAACTTCTTCCCTCAGAATTACTCCTTGTCTCAAAAAGTTTCAAAAATGTCTTTGATTTTTCTCCCCCTATTAAACAGACTTTATTTTTAAAGCATTTTTTAGCTTCACAGCAAAATTGAGCAGAAAATTCGAAGTTCCCATGTACCTCCCCCATGCCTTCCTGTCTCCAGCAGCCTCCCGGACTACCAACAACCCGTATCAGTGCAGTACATTTGTTACAAGTGATGAAACACATTGACACATCATTATCCCCAACATACATAGTTTACATTAGGGTTTACTCTTGGTGTTCTACATTCTATGGATTTTGATTAATGTATAATTACATGTATCAGCCATTTTATAGTATCATACAGAATAGTGTCATTACCCTAAAAATCCTGTGCTTCACCTGTTCATCCTCGGCAGCCCAAAATATGTTTACTTTTGCAAAGTTGTCTTCAAATAAATACTTAAAAGCAAGGACAAGACCCCCCAAGTTTTAGACAAGTACTAAATTAAGTAGCTCTTACCTACTTGAAAACTAAATGAGAGTAGTATTCATCAACAGAAAGCTAAGCGGGCAAAATGCTTTCCCCGCTTTTCCCCCATGACAAGCAAGATTAACCAAAAATATTACAGTTATTTAAAAGAAAAAAAGAAAGAAACCAAATGGGAAGAGAATAGAATGCAATCACGCTACCATTAACAATTTATGTTTTTCTGTTCTTGGATACCTTTTTGAGTGCCTGAGAATTTTAGTCGCAAGGAATGAAAAAAACTGTTTTCTCATTTCGAGTTTTTATTGGTCAATAGCTTCCTAACCGAAAACTCTGCAGTCCTAACACAATATTTTGTATCCATTTTCAAAAATCCAGTTCTGGGCATAAAATAGAATTAATGCTCAAGTCAAAAACTTTGTGTTTAGAAGATAAAATATTAGGAACCATGAGTATGAGAAAAACAAAAACTGTTTTCTGTATTTTTCCCTTCCTCTCTCTGCAAAACTTCTCTATTTGATAAGGGACAGCTAGCTTAAATTTACCACAAAGTAAAACATGAGCAAATCCCCTGGAACGAGGAGAACTTTCGCACAGGGCAATTCACTCGAATGTGACATCAGCATTCCTTCTGAGTCATAGTCTGGTCCCCACCCTTTTCTCCCAGGCGACACCAGGCTCCGCATAACCCGGGAGTGGCTCAGGTAGGGCCGTCGGTTCCAGTGCCTGCGAGGCAGCAGCCAAGCTGAAAATGTCTCCCTGCGCTGAGACGCTGGTGACAACCGCCCTTTGGGACTACCTGCCAAACAAGGAGAATGCGCTCTTTGACAGATAATTCCCTAAGAGGGAGGCACTGCCTCGGTCGGTAGACAAGTAATGAATGACCGAAAAAAAAATCACATTAGAAGTTATCACCAGCACGGGTGCGAAGGCAGTGCATTAAATCAACACTCATTTTAGAGCGCCCCAGACAGCCCAGCCGGAAGGGAGGAGATCAGAGCTGTCAAAGCACAGCAGAGCCCCAAACCACAAAGGCTTAATGAAATTCAACTTCCTGAGCCAGGAAGTGTCACGGTCTCGCCCGCACTCGCCCTAAGCTCGTCCTTTCCTTTTGAGGAGGCACAGGCAGAGCTGAAACATCTTAAGTAAAGTTTCCAACACCTACAACCACTGGGATTCCGTGAGACTGGAGAGAAGAGTCCCGCGCCCGCCCTCGCTCGCGCTTCCAATTCTGTCGCTCCCGAGTGTGGGGAGCTGGCGGGGCCGCCGAGCACCTCCTCTACCCAGGGGGCCAGGTCCCTGGGCCCGGGGCACCGCAGACCCAGAGCCGGGCTCACACCGGGGGGCCCGCGAGCCCCACCCACCTCGGCACCTCCGGCCGCCGCGCGCCGCGCGACCCGCGCAGGTGAAGCAGCCGCCGCCCGCCACGAGCGCCCCCCTACCTTCTTCACTTTGTTTTCCAGGTCCATGTTAACGCGTCCTATGGGTCCCCTCCTCCTCCTATCCGGGATCCCACGGCCGGGTTCAGCTGGCCTCCGGCTCCGCTGCGAACACGGGAAACCTGCGGAACTCCCGCGGCGCCGCTCAACAGCCACTCGCCCGGCGCCGTCGAACTTCCGCCGCCCAGTCCGCCGCAGCGGGCCTGCGGCCCGGACCCGGGAACAAAGGGGGCCGGGCAGCCAATGGCAGCCGGGCAGCTCCGGGCCGCCGCCAATCACCGAGCGCCGCACGCACCTTCGCGGCCCGAGCGCGGCGCTGGCAAGGTGAGAGGCGGGGCGGCGTCCGAGGCGGCGCCCTGCTGGGCAAGCTCAGTGACCCTGACCTGGTCTCCGAAGGGATTCTCTGGGCGTCCACGGGCCGGCTTCTAAAGAGCTGGGATCCCCAGCCTCCCTCTAGCTGAAGATGGAGAAGAACTTTTTCCATTTGGCAATTTGTACCTGTGTTTGCCCAGGACTTTTTATTTGGGTCAAGGGGAATAGTTATCCCAATACTAACTTCTCAGTTTATTTTCAGGGTAAAGAGAGAAAAAAAAGAGAGAGAGAGAGATTGTAGGGATCGTTAGGGATTCCTGTGATGGACCTTGGGCACTAAATTCAATATTGCGTTGTGGAGATGCCCTTTCCTCAATTGCTTTTTTCCACAATCCCAAATACTGTCAAGAAACCGTATCTTACATCCCTAAAGTCAGCGAAGATTCTTAGATTGTTTTCTGAGCATTGGGTTGTTCAAAAGTAAAGATGATGTGAATCACTTCAGAAACAGGTTGTGTCATTCCTTTGGAAGCAGAGGGTTGCCCTTTGTCTCTGTGTGAGATGGTGCTAGGCCTATCGCGTGCTCAGGCTTTGATGAAGCAGAGTCATCACATTGGTGCACCAAAGCTGAATTCATTTCATGCCCTAATTCAGGAGCAATTGCATCTAATACCATCAGATTGGTCGGTCTGGAAGGGAGCCTAACGATTACTTAGTCTAGCTTCCTCACTTTGCAGGGAACTGAGGACTCCAGAGGTGCAGGGACCTGCCTAATGTCTTAGCCTGTTGGGGACAGAGGCATTGCTCATGAATCTAAACAACTTCTCAAAGATGTTTGGGGCTGGAAGCACAGCATGTTGACTAAGGAAAAAGAGCAGTCAATTTTCTTCAATTTGTGGTTATGGCAAAAAATAACATTGCCCAGACAGCAGGTGACCTAATTTGGCACCTACTTTTAAAAATAACAAAACAATATAAAACAAACAAACAAAAATTCCCTAATAATGCAGATATTCAGGTCCAGATGTATGTCTGCCTTGCCTCGAGAAATTTGGTAGCTAAAAATATCCAAAATTCATTTTAGCCAATACTTGCAACTCTGCTTACTTGATTATTTGTTAACACAGAGCATTGATTTATAATGTGCATGTTTCCTTTATCCTATTAAGAATTAAAACTGAAATTACCAAAATGAGTTATGCATTTTTCTTTTCAGCTGATGTAAAACTTTTCTGTGTCATTTTCCCAAACCACCTTGAAAGGTGTGGGCCCCTGCAAAGTCTGCCCGTTGTAAGTGTATAGGATCATGAGGTCTAGCTATGACAAGGCAATTTTGTTTCTTTCAGAGAGCTTAACAGATGGAAAATGTCCAGTAAAGCAATTTAAATAAGGCATCAAACAAATGTTGTAACATAAATTTTGGACCCTTATTTGATGAGGTTGCAGAGATGACACTAAGAAAACCATCTGGAAACTTTTTTTTTTTAACTGTCAACTTCTGCCTTTCTCCCATTCTTCCTTCCCAACCCTCTCAGCATTACATTGTGTGTGTGTATCATTGGCAAGGATGGAAATAGAAATTCAGTGAGTTTTATCTGGAATTATCACTGTGCCAATTATATAAAAATAATTATAGATTATGTATAAATTATAAAAATAAAATTGAGGTAGATAAGTGTTAAGAGAGTTAAATTGTAAGTTTTTGTTCAGTTATTCAGGTGTTAAGCTACAGTTATTAAGGAGGTAGAACTGGCATGGTTTGATGAGTACATGTAGTTGATGACAGTGGAATGAATAGAAGATGGCACACATTTCTATCTTGATCACCTCTATGGATAGCTCAGAAAGAGAGAAAATATAGGATGATGGTCAGGGTTTTGTTCAGTTGTGCATTCTTTGGGGCTGGTGGTGGACATAAAGGATACAACTTTTAATATATTGAGTTTGAGACTGAGACATTGAAATGAGTATCCAAATATACATCTTGAATGCTGATTTAGGAGTTCACATCCTACATAAATAAATAATTAAAGGCCAAGAAGTGAGATGAGCCTCGGAGACAGTAAAATAAAAGAGAAGAATATCAAAGACACCAAGTGAGCAAGGCTGAGCAAGAGAAACACATAAAAGAGATAAGGGCTAGATTAAGGGTAAGAAAAAAATTAGGAGTCAAATCCCTAAAAGCAAGAAAGGAAATTGAAGAAGAAATTAGTTAACAATGTCAAATTGTAGAAAAGGGTCAAATGCCCTTCGGATTTAACAAAAAGGAGATCATTGGTGACTTTGGAAAGTGCATTTTTGGTGCAGTTGTGGGGAAAGATATTACTTTATAATTTTATCTCCCTTTGTTTCTACCAGAGTGCTTTAGTCAATGTTGGACTTGACTTTTCCACAAAACTTATGGACACATCAGCCAAATAAATGCCCAACTCTGCTGTTTCAATCAAGTAGAGAGGAAATCAATATACTATACTGGATAATACTAAGGAATGGTCTTAAGATCTTTATCTTTAGAGAAGTAAATGAAAATACTAGATTTTACACATGTGTGCAGGCACACACAGAGAGAGAGAGACAGACAGAGACAGAGACAGAGGAGAGAGAGAGAGAGAGACTGAAGTTCTCTGTATAGGCCAAACAAAATATTTATTCAGGTTAAATTCAGTTTCTATGCTATCAAATTACAATATCCGATGAGGGAAATGTGTTAAACTTTTATGTACCCTTCATCACTGGAGAGATGTAAAAATACATAAGACATTCCCTTTGTTCTTAAGCAGTTTACAGATTAGTATGGGAGTAGCAGGTGTGTAAGAGTAATGAAATGTTACAGGTAGAGGGAAGCACACGTGAGAGTCAGGGAGAAGGTGGTATTGGGATTTGTAAAATCTTTAGAAAAGAGTAACCTTGGCTTAGTCTTGGAAGATGAATAAGTGTCTTAGTTAAAACTCTTGATTGCAAGTTATATTAGGCCGTTCTTGCACTACTATAAAGAAATACCTGAGACTGGGTAATTTATAAAGAAAAGAGGTTTAATTAGCTCACAGTTCTACAGGCTGTACAGGAAGCATACCTTCTGCATTGGCTTCTGGGGAGGCCTCAGGAAGCTTACAATCATGGCAGAAGGCAAAGTGGGAGAAAGCACTTCACATGGTAAAAGCAGGAGCAAGAGAGACAGAATGTGTTGGTGGGGGAGGATGAGGTGTGCCACACAATTTTAAATGACCAGCTCCCCTGTGAACTCAGAGAGAATGCTCATTTATTGCCAAAGGGATGGCCCAAGCCACTCATGATCCAAACACCTCCCATTGGGCCCTACCTCCAGCATTACGGATTACAATTCAACATGAGATTTGGGTGGGGACAAATATACAAACCATATCACAAGTAATAGTAACCCTCGAGCTAGTTTACTTTTAAAAAGATGGCATTTTATTTTAAGGATACAGAGGCTTGTTGCAAAACTCAAGGGCCAGATGCATCTGCGACTAGACCAGGCACTTGCCAACATCTGGAACAAGGAATCTACTCCTTCACTGGGGTTATGTGGTCTCTCATCTTGCTGCTTGGCCTCCATCAGCTTTAGTTCTTTCTCTTTGAAGACTCTGTTTTCCTGCACACATGGGCAACCAATAAAGGCAGTCTCAGCTCGTTAATTGACATCACCCTAGTTCAAGCAAAATACCCAGTTTGGGATTTCAACCCCTCTAACAAAAAGACTTTAAATAGCCCAGCTTGGATAAGCTTAAACTTCTGATTCAATTAGCTGAAGCTGGTGCCAGTTGAGAGACACAAAGGACAACACATAGACTAAAGCCCAAACTTATAGGTAGGACAAATCTCACAGAGAGGGAGTAATAAGAGTTTTCCAAATGCCTCCAAAGATATCTATCTCTGTTTCAGATGTTACAAGGAAATTAGCAAAGGAAGAGGCTTAGTAAGTACAAGCAGAAGATTTTTCTTTCTGTCGATATTGGAGAACTTTTTCCCTTGACTTTTATTATAGGTTTGGGAGTACATCTGCAGGTTTGTTACATGATTAAATTGCATGTTGCTGGGGTTTGGTTTACAAATGATTTCATCAGCCAGGTAGTGAGCATAGTACACAACTGGTACCTTTTTGAACCTCACCCTCCTCCCACCCTCTACCCTCAAGTAGGTACCATTGTCTATTGTTCCCCTCTGTGTGTTCTGGTGTACTCAATGTTTCTGAACATTTCAAAAACTATTTAAATTACAGAAACCCCACTTGGGCAAAAAGTTGTAGATGTTTATTTTATTGCTAGGAATGGGGGTAGATAATGAATAGGACAAGTCTAAAGAATGGAAGATTAATCAGGAGATTCTAGCTATAGCCCACAAGAAATATGATGAGGGCCAAAGTAAAGCAGTAGCAATGACTGTGGAGAGTTAGAAGGATTTATCAATGATATTAAACAGGTAGAAAATATTGGACTTGACTGATTCTTGAAAAGAGAGAGGATAAGGAATCCATTAGGATTCTATTTTCTATCTCTTAGGAATCTATTTTGGGTGACCAGTTTGGTGGATATAACACACACCTTAAGGCAGGAAACAAAAGTGGAGAAGAAAATTTGATTGAGAAAGATAATGGGTTTTGTTTTGTGTGTATTGATTTGGCAAGGCCAATAGGATATGAGTCTGGTGGACAAAAGAAACATCAGGGCTGAAGATACAGATGATGCTACATACACAAGTACACATACATAAACATATATACATATACACACATAAATACACATACGGAGTAAACACTACATATGCCAGGGAAAATAATTATTGAAAACTTTTCTATACTAGATGAGGTAAACATTTCAAGATGAAAATGATACACCTGTCTCATCAATTATTAATGTGGTCCCAGGAGGCCTCTTTAGAGATGTTAATCATTTATTAACACCTGTCATAGGAACTCCTTTGTGAGCCTGACACAGCTATTATTCCTCATTAGCAGGTTGTATAAGATTACAGGTTGTTCTCTAGGGATATTTTTTAAAGAAAATAGGTGCCAATGTAGCTTAGAGCAAACTAATATCCCATAACTTTTTTAATTGACCAAAAATTGGGGATTGACTAAGTAAATAATGGATGAGCCACATGACAGATTTAGCATAGTTACTGATCAATGATACTTAGGAATGTTTGTAATGGAAAACAATTATAATGTTATAAGAACAGAATATAATATGGAATTGTATATACAGTATGCTCACAGCTATACAAAAATACCATGAATAGAAAAAGAACATGAGGGAAATACACTAAAATGTCACCCGCAGTTTGCCTTTGATTGGTGGGTCCATGGGGATTTCTTTCCTCCTTTTAAAAATATTCCATGATTAGTATGACTATTTTAAATGGAAAAACCTTATTTAAAAATACATTATTTCAAGCATTTTAGGGGGACAGAGGAGTGTCTGTGTAATTTTCAATCTCTACAAAAATCTACATTAAGAAATAAACAAACAAACAAAAACCAGATCCACTAATTAGCAAAACCAAATGCCCAGGGATAAACTTTACAATAAAACTTGGTAATAAGGTACCTTCATAAACCCCAGAACACAAGAGGTGAGGGCAAACCACCGAAAGCCACAAGACATATATGCATAAAAGATTATGTTTTGAGGAGGGAAGAAAATAATGGAATGGTGTCTGATGGATGGAAGAACTAGAATGCTCTCCTCCAGTTATTTATTGTAAAGCGTTTCAGGCCAATTTTATAATAGCAGCTGGAAAAGTAAAAAGGATCAAAGGGAGGGAATGAAGCCATCTAGCCCT
Organism: Homo sapiens; assembly: GCF_000001405.40. NCBI lineage: Eukaryota > Metazoa > Chordata > Mammalia > Primates > Hominidae > Homo > Homo sapiens. Next base: position 116,204,623 of record NC_000007.14, on the reverse strand, counting down.
TGTGCTATGTCAAAGCTGACCCTCCAGGACTCTCTTCTAGGACAAGTTTCCACAATCAGAAGTTGCTTAGAGAGAAATCAAAGTTGAGCAGGATGGGGCAGTAGAGGCAATGGAAATAAGTCTAGAAGGGCACCATCCAATTTGGTAGCCACTAACTGCACGTGGTTATTTCAATTTTAATTAATTTTATTTAAGTTTTAATTAGTTAAAATTAATTAAAATTTAAAATTTGGCTTCTCAGTCACACTGGCCATGCTTCAAATGTTCAACAGCCAGAGAGGGGAGCAGTATCAGGAAATCTCAAAAGTACTGCTGTATTTTTTATTTATTTTTATTTTTAGCACTTTATAAAAACAAGGAGGCCAGGTGTGGTGGCTCACGCCTGTAATCCGAACACTTTGGGAGGCCGAGGCGGGAGGATAACCTGAGGTCAGGAGTTCAAGACCAGCCTGACCAACGCGGTGAAACCCTGTCTCTACTCAAAATACAAAATTAGCCAGGCGTGGTGGTGCATGCCTGTAATCCCAGCTACTCAAAAGGCTGAGACAGGAGAATCGTTTGAACCCAGGAGGCAGAGATTGCAGTGAGCCAAAATCACACCATTATACTCCAGCCCGAACAACAAGAGCAAAACTCCGTCTCAAAAAAATTAAATAAATAAATAAATAAATAAAATAAAAACAAAGAAAGATGGAGCTAAGTTGGGCAAGATTTTCTGAACCTTGCATTATTATAAAAGTTCAGGAAAACTAATACCACATGAAAATGAGCAACAGCAAATTATCAAGATCAAATTCCATAAAAGTTGTCATAACAAAAAAAGAGAAAAAAGGAGCAGCATAACATCACTACAGATAGTGAAAGAGCATCAGAAAAATGTGTCCACAAAACAAAACTATAGGCTATTATTTTAGAACAAGCTAAAAGGCATTAACAAGATAATATATGTAAAGGATCACACAAATCAGAATTAGAAAAACTAAGAAGTGAGTTGAGAGAACTTAGGAAAAAATTAGAAATGAAGAAAACAATATTAACAAAATGAAGACTAAAGTAAAAGAATAAAAGAGCAAAAAACTGATAATGGCTAAGACCAATACAAGGCAAAACAGAAGAAGAATATTTAAAAAAGATACAGTCTAGAGAAAGTAACAAGTATTGAAAATAGACTAAAAAGATGAAACACAAGGATGATAGGAATCCCTGAAGAAGAAAACCAAACCAAAGGAAAAAAACAAATACTAAGAGCTATAATTAAAGAAGTATTTCTTGAATTAAAAAAAGATTTAAAACTAGATATTGAAAGATTGCTCTACATACCTGACACTATCAACTCAGAAAAATCAACACCAAAGCATAATCTAGTAAAATTACTGGACTTTGAAGAATGGGGGGAAAAATCCTTTGGGTATTTAGATTTTTTAAAGTGTATATAACTTAGAAAGAAAATTATATTATCATCTGACATAGTAATCCCTTTAGGTCAGAAAAAAATGGACAAACAAGATATTTAGGAAAGATACTGTGAGCCAAGGATTTTATTTGAAGTGACTTTCAAGTGTAAAGGACACAGACAAACTTTTATCAACATACGAGAACTCAAGAAATATTGGTCCCATCAGCCCTTTATGAGGAATCTATAGAGAATGAGCTTCAGACAACCAAAGTTACTGGAGAGATATTGGAATAAGGAGGTGAGTGTTAACTATATAGACAACTCTTATAGAACAAAAACTAAATGAGGAACAAGGAGAGAGTGTAATGTATATTAACCATATGATCTGACAATGTAGATATAATAAAAATAAAATGAGAGGAAAGCATATACAAATTTTAACAGACTTTCAATATTCATATTGGTGGTAATATTAGCATTAGTAATCTGCTGCTATGCATATAATAGGAAGTAAGACAAATGAGTAATCAGGGGATAGTCTAATTTTATCATCCCCTGTCATCTTGACAACCAGGATTTGAGGTGTAGAAGAAAGAAGTTAATCTAAATTCCTAAAACTATAATAGTTTTGAATTTGACTTTCTCTCTCTTTACTAGCTCTTTCCACAGAGAAGGGCTACAATGACTAACTTAGTAGCAAAGAGTATCTCTAGAACCCAGATTGTGATCTTGAAATAAAATTTATCACTAAAAGGAACCTAGAACTTCATGGAAAAATTACTGATTCCAGCTCTAAAGCAGAAAATGTGTAAGTTAAGCCTGAAACATGTTGTCATAGAAGAGAGCAAGGAGGGTATGAAAAACTACTGGGTTCATGTCAAAAGAAGTTAGAAGCCAGCTTGAAGAGTCTCTTGCTGGCCAAAAATTGGTCAACTTGAGCTTCAATAATAATAACAATTACAGTAAACTAAAACCCATCAAATATCTATAAATTCATAATAATATTTTTAAAACGAGCCATCTTTGGAGAATAATAGGGAAGCATTTAACAATCTAAAGAATTAGTAAGTAAAGAGAAAGAATCAAGGATTTATTGTATCTTTTCAATATGAACTGTACCACTGGATAACCAAATATTAGAATGTGTCTCTTTATAGAAGTATTCCAACTAATACATTAAAAATGATAGAATTAGAATATCACCATTTCAAAACAATGAGTAAAATCAGTATCGCTGACTGCTGCCATCATAAAACGAGACACAATCTGACATTACGTGTCAAACACCTCCCATAGGGCTACCAAAGGGGTAACACCTGAATCTGGTCCAATCTTTGTATCCAGCTGCCAATTGGCAGGAAATGCCATGGACAGAAGAACATATTGAACTACTCCAAGAACACCAAATCAGCAAAATCCAGACTGCAGGAAACTCTACAGATCAAATGATCTTGGTTCTTCAATATAAAATTCTAAGGAAAAGAAAGGGATGAAAGGAGTACCTATAGATTAGGAGACTTAAAAAGACATATCAATTATTTAAAAATAGGCGAGGATAAAATTAAACCATAGTGTCTAGGGATACGAGTTTGAATAATGAAATTCTTTAAAAATGCAGGAAGTAATTGGCATTTAAAAAATAAGGAAAATGGTTACTAATGGGGACAGGAGGGGCTTATGATTGAGATGGAGCAAATAGACAAGGTTTCTTGTGTACTCACCAAACTTCACAGAATAAGGAATCCCAGAAAGCTAATGGGGCATCTCTGTTCTAAACAGAAAATAATAATTCCCAGTTACATCTATTCCTTGTGTTCTTGATACACCAACATGCCTTTTTTTCATTCATACCCCCCCAGCTTTGCCAAAATACATCTGTTTCATGTATAAACACAAATTTAACTCTTCCCAGCTCAAATATAACAATTGCATCTAACTCTAAATCTAGGATATCTGGATGATACAAATTAGTCTCAATCAGGTCTATACGTGGTTTATCATGATTCTGTTCAAATGAGCTAAATGATAAACATAACCAACAGCCAACTTAAACAATGTAAAGTGGGTGTATCAAGTTACAAGGGCTGCCATAACAAATTACTACAAACTGGATGGCTTAAAATAACAGAAATTTATTATCTCATGGCTCAGGAAGCTGGAAGTCTGAAATCAAGGTATCAGAAGGGCCATGCTCCCTCTGAGGGTTCTAGGAAAGAATTCTCTTTGCCTCTTCCTAGCTTCTAGTGTTTGCTGGCAATCCTTGGCATTCCTTGGCTTGCCTTTCCTGATTGGACATTTTCTTTTGAAACCCAGTCACCCACTTTCCTGCTTGGACATTTTCTTTTGAAACCCAGTCTAGAAGCCTAGCTAGAGAGGAACTGATGCCCCAGCTGACAGCCCGCACCAACTTGCCAAGGAAGTGCCCCAGCTGGGCCATTTCAGCTGATGTATGCAGCAGAGGCAAGGTATCCTTGCTGTCTTTCCTGCCTAAACTGCAGATTTACGAGCAAAATTAATAGTTTGGGTTGTTTAAATCTACTAAGTTTTGAGGTATTTTGTTATACAACAACAGACAATCCATTTCTGGCATCATGCAAAGCAGTGGTTCTCAACTAGGGTAGCTGCAATACTCCAATTTTGCCTTGTTCTTCACATGACCATCTTCTCTTTATGTTTGTCTGTGTCTGAATCTCCCTCTCCTTTCTCTTATAAAAATGCTAGTCATTGGATTTAGGGCTCACCCTAGTTCAATATGACCTCTTAACTAATTATATCTGCAAAGATCCTATTTGCAAATAAAGTCGCATTCTGAAGTTCTGGGCATATATGAATTTTGGGGGAACATTATTTAACCCACTACAAATAAACATTATTTAACCCACTTCTGTTTGGGGAAACGAAAGCAAGGTAGCAACAGTAAAACTTCTTGGTAAAAAACAAAAGCAATCTGTTCTGTTCCAAACTGTTTCATAGCAAATATTATATCATGCAGAACTGAGAACATAAGAGCTAACTTTCCTAAGGGTGGAGTTAGGTTCTTGGTCTTCCATTGTGTATGCACTGAATTCTTACTACCGAGATGCCCTTCCTTATCCATTGTCCCCTGTGATGACCTTCCAGAGAGGCATTGTTTGAAATTTTTGTTCTGGAGAGTAGTCCTATCCCAACAACTGTCCTATCCTGTCCTGTCCTTTGGGTATTTGGGATTTGGGGGATGCCATAATACAACGAGATATAGGCTACTTTTGCCAGGCTTGGGATTTACTTAACATTTGACTGTCATTTTTATTTCAAGGGAACCTTTAAATAAGTATTCCTCAGCCATGATACTAATGATAATTTGGATCAGATAATCTTTGTTGTAGGGAGCTCTCCTGTGTATTGCAGAATGTATAATAGCATTCTGGGCCTCGACTCACTAAAGGCCACTAGCATCCCACTCCAGTTATGACAACCAAAAATACCTCCAGACATTGCCAAATGTCTTCTGGAGAGCAAACCCATCCTCAGTTGAGAACCACTGCTATACATGATACCAGAAATGGATCATCTGTTGTTGTGTTAAAAAAAAATACCTCAAAAGTTAGTTGATTAAAAAAAAAACCCTAATCATTAATTTTGCTCAAAAATCTGCAGTTTGGGCAGGAAAGGTAAGGATATCTTTTCTCTGCTGAATACAACATCAGCTGAGATAGCCCAAATGGGACAATTCATTGGCAAGTTAGTGCTGGCTGTCACCTGGGGCATCAGTTCCTCTCCAGCTAGGCTTCTATGAGTTGCTTTGGTGTCTTTATGAACGGTGACTGGGTTTCAAAAGAAAATGTTCCAAAAGAGTAAAGTGGAGTCCATGAAATTTTTATGAACTGGCTTTCAAAGTCATGTAGTATTTGTTATTTAAGAAGAGTATGTGGAATGGGAGGTATACTTGCAATCTTCAGAAAATATAATGTTTTGCCATTTGCCCTGTGGACATGAAAGCTCACATTCTTTCCATCTGCCTAATAGAATGATTTCATCCTTTAAGATCTTCAAGTCTCCACAGCTTAGTCTGGTACTTGTCATCTGAATCAAGTCTAGGTGTGGACGATGCTCCTCAGGTGTGGTTAATTAGTATAGCTGCTTGAGTACTATTCCTCTTGATCTGAAAAGCTCTGAACTAAAGGGACAAGTTATCTGTTCTTCACACACGCTCAGCATATATTGAGATAGTCCTAGAATATCTGCTATACAAAATCCCTTCAGATACTGGTAAAACAGGAAGCACGTAACAGTCACTGTTCCACAGCAGTTCCGAAATCCAGCCAGGGATGTGTTGTCACTTTCTTGACTAGGGCTTATTCTTGCTCTTTAAAGATTGTTTTTCATGGATCTTGCTTTCACCTTCTGGGCTATTCATTCCGGTTTCCAAGTCAATCATCTTCTTTTTCCACCAAAAATACTCCATGTTTGCACCTAAGTCATTCTTTTAACCAGCTTCCAGCTTGCAAACTTGGGAATTCAAAGGAACTGCCTGTTCGATGGAGCTGTACTGACTCTGTCTGTTGAGTCTGTGCTGTTACAATTACTTAAAGAAATCTTGTGAGTTTCTTATGTATCAACATATAATACATTCTATTAGGTCAAAGCTACACCTACAAATATCTTTGAGATTATTCTTTCCCTATCTTGAGCTCAAACTGTGAAACTTTCATTGGATAACACATTTATTATTCTTATAAATCTTTTCTTTTTAATGTGTAATATCTATGTGGTGCACTCTAAGATACCTAGGGGGCCTTCTGTCTCTCTGAAAGGTTATATATCAGTCACTATGTTATGTGTTTCTGAAGTCTTCACAAAGACTCTTAATCACCATCCTGGACTTGATCTTTGCCCAGAAGTCATTTCTTAATTTAAAAAAATTATTTTCCATATGGAAATCCTGGGTATGAGACACAGGTTTACTTTAGAACCCAGGAATTGACAGTCTTTTTTGTCTAATATTGCATTCTTTAGTTCTTCTCTCCTCTCACATTTTATCATAGGTGCCCTTTTAATATTCTGCAATCATCAAATTTTAGGTACATTTTCTATTTTCTACGTTATCGCAGAAAACAATCTTGGCAAACTTTCTGCCAGTACATAGCAATTGCTTCCCTTCCTCCAGTTCCTAGTAACATTCACCATACCTTTCTGTTAAACCCTCATTGACAGCCTCCTTCAGGCCTTTTAGCTTTAGCTAACTGTCGCTTAGAAACAATTTAAGAGGCAGGGGTGACCAATCTTTTGGCTTCCCTGGGCCACTTAGGAAGAAGAAGAATCGTCTTGGGCCACACATAAAACACACTAACACTAATGATAGTTGAAGAGCCAAAACTTAAAAAAAAAAAGCAAAAAAAAAGTCATAATGTTTTAAGAAAGTTTACAAATTTGTGTTGGGCTGCATTCAAAGCTGTCCTGGGCTGCATGTGGCCCACGGGCTGTGGGTTGGACAAGCTTGATAAACTTTCAAATAGTATCGCAAGGCACTTTGAGTTTCTGCTCTCTTCTGCCTATAACCAATGCCACATGCTTCAGATTTTCTTTTTGGCAGCACTCCACTACTAGTACCCAAAAGCTGTTGTAGTATTTATTGCTTTGTGACAAACCATTCCAATGTTAGTGGCGTAACACAGCCATTTTAGTAGGCTTAGAAATTGTATGGGCCAGGAATTAGAACAGAGCACAGTAAGACCGCCTTTTTCCATGGTGTATGGGGCTTCAGCTGGAAGTGTTGAAGGCTGGTGATGACTCAGTCATCTAGCTGGGGGCCAGAATCATCTAGAGTTGTCTTTATATATCTGGTTGATACTGGCTGTTGACTAGGACTATCAGTGAGAGTCTCTCTACATGGCCTCAGCATGTGTTTTTTCTATATGGGCCAGTTGCTCACAGTCTGATAGCTGGGTTCCAGGACTGCATATTCCAGGAGAGCAGGCTGGAAGTATATGGCATTTTTCTGAACTAGCCTCATAAGTCCTGTGGTATTGCTTTCACTAAACTCTCTTGGTTGAGGCAGTCATAAAGGTCCATTCAGGATTCAGGGGACATAGACCATATTATGCAATAGTTAGAGTATCCGTATTACATAGTAAGAATATGGTATGGAAAATATTTTTGTGTCTAACTTTAGAAGACACAATCTGCTACACTTACCGAGTAAAATATTTGTATCTAGCCTGTAACCCTAGTTTTAAATCTCTCAGCAACAGGTTTAAGTCTCCGTCTATTTCTTCTATCCTCAATTTAAAGGCCTGTTTAAATTGAGGTCACTGTCTTAGATAGTCAGAGATAATAGAAAGTTTTATCTTGTATGGGGATTGATTCCAGGTTTCTGTGCTTTGAAATCAGAGTTTTAGAGGATTTAGGCAGGAAGTGCATAGAAGACACATTCATGCACCAAATGATGATGTTTCAGTCAATGACCGCACATAAGGTGGTGGTCCCGTAAGACTGTAATGGAACTAAAAATTCGTACAGCCAGGTGACACTGTAGCCATTAGAATGTTATAGTACAACACATAATTCATGTGTTTGTAGTTATGCTGCCAAAACACACCCATTGTGTGGCCAGTTATATAAAATTATAGCAATATAATTATGCACAGTATATAATACTTGACAATGATAATAACTATGTTACTGGTTTAGGTATTTATAATACTAACAATTTATTATTTTGGTGTGTACTCCTACTTATGGAAAAAGTTAACTGTAAAACAACCTCAGGCAGGTGCTTCAGGAGGTATTCCAGAGGAAGGCATTGCTATCACAGGAGATAGAACTCCATGCATGTTATTGCCTCTGAAAACCTTCCAGTGGGACAAGATGTGGAGAAGGAAGATGGTGATATTGATGAAATTGACCCTGTGAATGCCTAGGCTAATGTGTGTGTTTGCATCTTAGATTTTAATTAAAAAGGGTCAAAAAGTAAAAAAAAAAAGAAGAAATCCAAAAAGCTTATAGAATCAAGATATAAGAAAGAAAATATTTTTGTACAGCTGCACAATGTATTTGCGTTTTAAGCTAAGTGCTATTACGAAAGAGTTAAAAAGTATCTTTAAAAGTTTAAAAAATGTATGAAGTAAAAAAGTCACAGTAAGCCAAGGCTAATTTATTATTGAAGAAATAAAGCTACTTTAAATTTATTGTAGCCTAAGTGTACAGTGTTTATAAAGTCTACAGTGGTGTGCAGTATTGTCCTAGGCCCTCATCTTCATTCACTACTCACTCACTCACTCACTCACCCAGAGCAACTTCCAGTCCTGCAAGCTCCATTCATAGTAAGTGCCCTACACAGACATACCATTTTAAATCTTTTATATATATATTTTACTGTACCTTTTCTATGTTGAGATATGTTTAGATACACAAATACCATCATGTCACAATTGCCTACAGTATTCATTACAGTAACATGCTGTACTGGTTAGTAGCCTAGGAACAATAGGCTCTGCCATATTGCCTAGGCGTGCAGTGGCTATCTCATTTGGGTTTGTGTAAGTACACTCTATGATGTTCACACAAAGATGAAATCACCTAACAATACATTTCTCAAAATATCCCTGTTGTTAAGAGATGCATGACTGTAACTTGATGAATCATGGGAGATTAAACCTCCCCCATTACTCTGACTCCTGAAAAACACTACTCCAAGCTAATACACTCTGGTTGATATAGGACAACATGTTCAGTTTTTGTACCTCAGTAGGACCCATGATTTTTTGACTTTTGCTAACTTGTATTTCTGGCCACAGCCAGAGTTTCTCTTAAAAAATTGCTGATCCATACTAATGGACTTTTTATTCTGTCTGATAAATCAGAAAAAAGATCCTAGCTTGTTTCTTTCCTGTAATTTATTGAAGGTGGCAAGAATTCGCCAACACCCTCCAATACCCTGACATTTGCTATGAAATCCTCTTAAGTAACAGCTTTTGTGTATATGGCCTATGTCCTAACAGAAAACTGGAAACAGATTTAACCAACTCCCTTGATATCATTTTCAAAGGATTGCTATCTCCTCATGGTCTCCCACCTCAAACAGAACTACATTTTATGGTCTTTACTTTGTAAAACCCCACTTTTAGGTATAATGCCTAAATGTCTTGCTGTTATCTAGTTGCATATGACAGGCACATAATTCGAACTAGTTTAAGCCAGTTGGGGTTTTATTGGCTTTATGTAACAGTGAGAGAAGGGTGGTTGGAACTACCTTTAAGGATCACTAAAAAGAGATTTGAACACCATTAGAATACTCTCTTTCTCTGTTTCTTGCAGCACTCCAGATTCATTCTCTTAGAAGAGTTTTTCCATGTCATGGGGAACATAGCTACAGAGAGTTCCAGGTCACATCTTCCATAACCAGACAAAAGAGGCCTCGTCTTTACAAATTGAGTTTTGAAAAACCCTGGGAATGATCTGTGATCAACTGAGTTTTCTCTTCTCATTAAACTAAAGAGTCATGAGGTATCATTATCCGCTGCTGCCCTTTATAATCTTAAGGCAAATACTGGTACAAAATACTCATTTTCTACTCTAGAAATATTTTTTTTGATTGAAAAAAACTCCATACTATTCCACCAAATTACAGTAAGATTTATTTTAAGCAGAAATCCAAAGCGGAGAATAATCCCTTTTAAATTGTTGAATAAATTTAGAAATGATGTAAAAAGCAGAAAGGAAAGATATAGATTGTTTTTCTCATGAGTGAATGTTAAGTATTAACAATAATGTTAGACATATGCCTACTCTTTTCCTCAGCAAACCCAGAAAATGTGAATAAAAGATGGGATTGTAAAATAGAAATGTGAGGCATCATAGCATTGGAGTTTATTGAGGTAATTGGCTAGGAATTCCTATGTGTCTCAGAATGGAGAATTTCACATCATTTTTAAAACAAATAATTCCTTGTGGGCAAACACAGTGAGTACCGAGTGGTATTTGTGGAATGATTCTCTATGGCAGCACGCTCCCTAGGTAGAATGATTAGAATGATACCTTTTAGGAATAAGCAGTAAGGGCTTTTCAAAGTGTTACACAGTAATCAAAATAGCAGGGGAAATGTTCTGTGATCAAAGCACCATGCAAATTTAAACAAATTCTGTATAAATTACAACACAATATGTTGTCTTAATGGGTTATTACTACTAAGTAATTTTACTTAATAATAAAAAATTCTTCTATTAAATTATCATTTAATACATTTTCTTACTCCAAACATTTACACAAGATCTCATTTTTAAAACTGCTTTCCCTTGGGTATACCATTTCCTGAGAGCTCAGTGTGTTATGGTTAATGGAAATGTTGTCATTGTCAGATTGCCTCTTAACTGTAATATAAATATGAGTCTCTGGTAAGCCTCAGTGTGAACAAAAGCTACTCATTTATTTTTCATAAGTTGAATCATCCCTAAAAAGGGATAGCACAAGTCTATTGGTGACTATTTTAGTATAGCACTTGCTGTGATAGCCGGGTAAGGAGGAAAATCAATTATAGTTCTGAAAGACATGTAGATTTTGTTCACTTAAAACTCAGGCTTTTAATCCCTGGATAAAAACCTAGCCTGGAATGCATTCTGAAAGACATAACATTTGCTTCTACCGTAAGAGGATGTAGTAACTTCAAGACGCCTATCATTTGAACAAATAGATTAGTCAAAATAACGATGTGAAAAATATGCCAAATAAGGGCAACATGTTCTTTTTGGATCGGTGAAAAGTAAATTGTGCAACAAATTTTCCACCATATTTCATCTGCTTTTGATAGATCACAGAAACTGCATCAGTGTTCCTATGCACATGAGAAATTATAGGTATCAAAGGCAGATGAATTAATTAATTGGTTTCTTTGGTACTGGTTAAGATTTAATCTCTCTGTAATCTTAAAAAATAATATGGTCAAAATATGTGCACAATTTACTTCATCCCATTTTTTCTGGTTTTGGTGAATTATTAGGAAATAGTTAATTTTATATTACATTTCTCTGCCCACAGCAGGCTACTAATTCTATTCAAGTTAATTCACCTCAATTCAATTCATTTCCCACTGAGAGCTTATTCCTCTCCTAGTCAATATGGCACATAGTCCAAAGATGTAAGATGACCTTTCATTAAATTCTAGTAAAAAAAAGAATGAGTAAATGGTAGGAAACAGTTAAATAGCAATTCAGTTATTCAATTAATGTGAGGTATAAGTGATAGACAGTAAGTGCTGTAGACTTAAAAAATAAGACATGTATAAGTATGTTTACAGCAGATCTATTCATAATAGCAAAACACTGGAAGCAATCGAAATGCTCATTATCAGTGGAGAAGATAAAGACATTATTTATATTCGCACTTTGGAATTCAACATTTAAAATGAATTAACTACAGTTATATGCATTGACATTGAACCTTATATACAATATTGGTTTGGGGCAATCAGGCAACTCCACTTAGAAAAGACACAGATGTATTTATTATACCATAAAGCAATATAAACTCAAAGGTTTAAATGAAATTATTAAGTACCAGAAAAGAGAACAGAAGAGAACTTCTTTATAAAATTATGTTAGGAGAGTCCTTTCTAACTTTGATTCAAAATGCAGAAGCTGTTTTAAAACTGACAAAACTGATTACATTAAACAATCTTTTTTGTGACAAAACCATCTGCCATTTGTCAGAAGACAAATGGCAAACCAGAGGGGAAAATAATATTCAGAATTAATATGCTGGGAATTTATTTTTTAAAGTATCAATAATCTAAGAGAAAAATGTGCAAAGGACAGAAAAACCAGTTCACAGAAAAGTCAAATAAATTATTATAAACATAAGAAAAAAATACCCAACTTCTTTCATAATAAGAGAATTTAAATTAAACCACAATCAGATGCATTTTTTCAGTTATTAAATTAGCAAAAATTAAGTTTAGTGATGCTGAAGGGAAAGAGGCACCCATATATCATTGGTATGAGTACAAATAGTATATTCTTTATGAAGTATAATTTGGCAATATCTATCACATTACAAATGTATCTCACCTTTGACCCAGGAGTCCCACTCACAGGGATTTATCCTACAGAAATACATGCACACATAAGAGATGACATATGTTATGATCTGCACATTGTATTAGTAAAATGTTAGAGAATAGTCATGTCCATTAATAGAGGACTGGTATAGAAACCATAGTAGATGTACATTATGGAATATTATGTAGTTATAAAAAAGAATGAGAAAATGCTTTGTGTTAAGGATGTGGAAAGATCTATATGTGATAAGATGTTTGTTTTTTTTTTTTTTGAGACAGAGTTCGCTGTGTCGCCCAGGCTGGAGTGCAATGGCGTGATCTCGGCTTACTGCAACCTCTGTTTCCTGGGTTCAAGTGATTCTCCTGCCTCAGCCTCCTGAGTAGCTGGAATTACAGGTGCTCGCCACCACACACAGCTAATTTTTGCATTTTTAGTAGAGACGGGGTTTCATTGTGTTGGCCAGGCTGGTCTCAAACTCCTGACTTCATAATCTGCCCACCTCGGCCTCTCAAAGTGCTGGGATTACAAGCGTAAGCCACCGCGCCCAGCCAAGATGTTTATTTTTAAAAATCAAAAATCTAGAAACATAAAAATATAATTGTATTTGCTCATATTGGAAAGATTCAAAATAAATTAATGAGTGATTATCTATGGGGAGAAGATGGAGGGGTCCATAGAGTGGCAGCAATAGGGGAGGAAGCAGGGATTTTTAGTCTATTGTGTATTGTTTTGTATTGTTTTGATTTTTTTGCAGCATGTGTATAATACCTACTGAAATTAACTAACAGACCCCTGGTGAAAAGAAGAAAGAAAAAAGTACAGAAGCATGAATATGTTATGACTGCTTTTATGTGAAGTTAAAAAACAGGCAAAATAAAACAGTTTATAATAAATACTGTGACAAAAACAAGAAATGATTAACACAAAATTCAGAATGGTTGAAGGAAGATAAGCAGGCAGAAAACATAGAAAAGAAAAAGTCAATCACTGAAGGCTATAGGGGTTTAGTAAGTTTTCCTGGAAGGAGGGGGACAAAAACTAGTTCTTGCAGGGTGTGGATTCCAGTAAATATAGTTCATATTTATATATTATTTTATAGTTTATAAAACATTACATGCATATGATATCATATTGTTTTGATAACAGAGATAAATGAGAGCAGGCACTCAAAATGAAAAAATAAAAAATAATAAAAAAAAGAAAAGCATAGCCAAGGCACAGAGGATGGGAAGGCACATTCTGCATTATGAGACTTTGAGGGATCCGCCCGGCTGGGCAGTTGAGTTAGGTAGTAATGAGTAATGGACCAATAGATTCAGAGGTTGGATTATAATGGGATTGAGACCTTATTTGGGACACCATTAAAGGTTTGTTTGTTTGTTTACAAAAACAGATCTAAGAAATATTTGAAAATTGAACACAGCAGCATTTCCTAGGCCCTGCCTAACACTGGCTCTAGCCTTCAGGCTCATCACTGATAATCATCGACATGACTAGCACTGACCAATCCCATGCGTACCAGGTGGAACCCTTGATTACTTAGGGATGTGTTGTAAAATTTCCACATATTTTAATTTTTCAATTTTCCCTGTATTATCAGTTTCTAATTTCATTTCATTGTAGTTGGAGAACACATTTTGTGTGATTTCAATCCTTTTACATTTATTGAGACTGTTGTATGGCTTAATGTATGGTCTATGCTAGAGAATGTTCCATGCACACTTGAAAATAACGTGTATTTTGTTGTTGGGGTGAGTGTGCTATAGATGTCTGCTACATCTGGTTGGTTCATAATGTTCAAGTTTTCCATTTCCTTGTGAATCTTCTGTCTAGTTATATCCAATATTGAAAACAGAAGACTGAAACATCCAACAATTACCAGTGAATTGTCTGTTTCTCCCTTCAATTGTGTCATTTTAAATTTTGTGTATTCTTGGGCTCTGTTGTTAGGTGAATATGTTTTAATTGTTATATCTTCTCGATAAATCAATCCTTTTAACATTGTAAAATGTCCTTTTTGTCCCTAGTAAAAAGTTTTATCTTATATCTTAAAGTATCTTTTGTCTGATATTAGTCTAGCCACTCCAAGTCTCTTTTGGTGACGGTTGGTATAGTGTATTTTGGCATCCTTTTACCTCCAATCTACTTACATTTTTTAATCTAAAGTGTCTCTTGTAGCCAGCATATAGTTGGATCATGTTATTTTAAAAACGCATTCTGCCAATCTCTACCTTTTATTTGGAGTGTTAAATCCATTTGTATTTAATATAATTACTGATAAGGTGGGCTTTATGTCTTCCATTTTTTGATGTTTTTATATGCCTTAGACCTTTTTTGTTGTTCTATTCCTCCATTGCTGCCTTCTTTTGTATTAAATAGACATTTACAAGTGTACCATTTTAAATTCCATTGTTATTTCTTTTACTATATGGTTTTTAACTACTTTCTTAGCCCAGGGATTATAATTAACATCTTAATTTAGGACAGTCTAGCTTGGATTAATACCAACTGAATTACAACAGGATATATTAATAAAAACTTTGCTTCTATAGAGCTCAATTTCCTCTCTTTTCCTTGGTACTATTATCTTACAAATTATATGTTTGTGTATTTTGTATCTATCAACAAAGGTAGCAATTATTGCTTTATATCAGACAGAAGAAAAAAGTTACATTAAAAAAATTTATACCAGCTTTTATATTTGTGTGTTTTCCTTACTAGTCCTCTTTATTTCTTCATGTGGATTCAAATTACTATATATGTCCTTCCATTTGAGCCTGAAGGACTTCCTTTAGTATTTATTTTAGGCTAGGTCTGCTAGCAGCAAGTTATCCTAGTTTTTCTTTATTTTGGAATATTTGAATTACTCCTTCATTTTTGAAAGACAGTTTTACAAGATATACAGTTCTTCACTAATAGTTTTTCTCTCAGCACGTTAAGTATATCATCACACTGCCTCCTGGCTTCTACAGTTTCCAATGAGAAATCAGCTCTATCTTGTTGAGGATGCCTGTGTATGATGAATTGCTTTCCTATTTTGTTGCTTTCAAGAGTCTCTCTGTCTTTCTAGCTTACAATGGGTTAATTATAATCTGTTTAGGTGTGGCTTTCTTTGAGATTATCCTACTTGGAGTTCATTAGTCTCTATGAAAGTGTAAATTTATGTTTTTCTTAAAGTTTGGATAGTTTTTATTCATTCCTTCTTCAAATATTCTTTCTGCCCCATTTTTTTCTCTCCTCTCCTGGGATATTATGTGTATGCTTCATGCATGATGTTATCCTAGAGGTCACTGCAGCTCTATTTATATTTCTTCATTCTTTTTTTTTTTGAGATGGAGTCTGGCTCTGTTGCCCAGGCTGGAGTACAGTGGTGCACTCCTGGCTCACTGCAACCTCTGCCTCCCAGATTCAAGTGATTCTCCTGCTTCAGCCTCCTGAGTAGCTGGGATTAGCTGGGATTACAGGTGCATGCCACCATGCCTGGCTAATTTTTTTGTATTTTTAGTAGAGACGGGGTTTCACCATGTTAGTCAGGCTGGTCTCGAACTCCTGACCTGATGATCCACCTGCCTTGGCCTCCCAAAGTGCTGGGATTACAGGTGTAGCCACCACGCCTGGCCTCTTCATTCTTTTTTCTTTCTGTTTTTCAGACTGGGTAATTTCAATTTTTTTACATTCAAATTACCTGACTCTTCTACCTCCTCAAGTCTGCTCTTCAACCCCTCTAGTAAATTTTGTATTTTAGTCATTGTACTTGTCAACTCCAAGTCTCTCTTTGTCTCTTTCTGTTTTTTTTTAATCATTTCTATATCCTTATTGATATTTTCTATTTGGTGAGACACTGTCTCCATGTTTTCTTTTACTTCTTAAAACATAGTATTCCTTAGTTCTTTTACATATTTAAAATATATTATTTAAAGAGATTCCCCAGTAAGCTGAACATCTGAACTTCCTTAAGGCAATTTTTATAAACTGCTTTTTCTCCCCTGTGGATGGGCTATTCCCCCTTATTGCTTTATATGTCTCATAATTTTTGGTTGAAAACTAGATTTTAAATAATATAATGTGACCAATCTGAAAATCAGATATCTCCCTCCCCCAAAACATTTTGTTGTTGCTGTTTGTTTTCATTGTTTGTTTAGTGACTTTTCTGAACTAATTCTGTAAATACTGTACTCTTTATTATGTGTGAACACTGAAGACTCTGCTTGGTTATCTTAGGGGTCAGCTAGTGATTGGACAAATACTTCCTTAAATTCTTGAAACCAATAAGTCTCCCAGTCTTTGTTGAGGAATTCTGTGTGTGGTGGGGCATGCCTTCACCACTCAGTCAGGCACTTACCAACTCTGCAATAGCTTTCATTACCTACTTGCACAGAGCCTCATGTTAGCCAGTAGTAAATCTTAGGGCCTTCTCAGGTTGGCCCTGGGCAGACACATAGCACTATGCATATATGTGGCCTTCTACATTCCCAGTGACATGGCAGAGCTTTTCAAAGCCAACTATGGATATCTAATTTCCAAGCTTCTCCTTTTAAGTTTACAGGTTAGCCTATCATTTGCCCCAACTGTTTTCTATCACTGTGGACAACCAGCATGTTCAGCAATTGTCTCTGATTGTTTTCAACAAATGTCCTAGGGGAAAGGCTGTTTCCAGTGATTAGGCTGGGTAAGATCAAACAAAGACAGCCTTGTGAGTGAGTCTTCCAGAGAACCACCAGAGAGGTCAAATAATAACAACTTTTTGCATCATGTCTTTGAAGAGGTCCATCTCCATTTACTTTTTCAAGAGTCGACACACTGCAGATTTTCACTGTAATTATGAGCTGTTGATTTTTAAGGCTACTGTGGAGCTGGGAGAAGGCTGAGAATAGGACAAGTTAAAATGCCACAAATCTTGCTGTTCATAACAAAATTAAAGTTTTTCTTAAATAAATTATCCCTTTAGTGCCTCAAGCATTTGGTTAATTTTCAGAGTTCTAAAAAAGTTGGTTTTGATAATTTTTGCCAATATTCTTATTGCTTTTACCAAGGAGGTAATTTTTAAAGATGTTTACTCCAATATTTTTACTGATATAAGCATAGGCTACTTGGAGAAAGTAAAGAGAGGGGGCAAGAAGAATAATAGCAAGCAGTGAGGCTACAGTTTAGGAAGAAATTGTAAATAAAAATATTGTTGGAAATTTATTATCTAGAAATGGCTACATTTCTGCAAAGATGTAACAAACTTACATAGTATTAGCAAGATGATAACAACAGCTTTAAATAGGATACTAACCATGGAGTGACCACTGGGAAGACACTGGCTGCAGTGGCGGAGGCACAGTGGGGCTGCATGCTGCATGGAGCCAGTGGGGGCCAGAACAGGTGGCAGCCCTGGCCTCTACTGAGTCAGCTGGGCAGGAGCCCCATGCTCCTACAGCTGCAGCCACCCAGCTGGGCATCCCTGTGCTCTTGGGGGCCCAGAAAGCTCCTTGCTCCCACAGGCTGGCAAGTGCCTGCTCCCATTGCCTATTCTCTCCCAACTCCCAGCACCCACTCCAGGGTGCAGCACAGTTGTGGCTGAGCCTGGGTGTTGTTGCAACCCAGCCAGGTGTGCATGCACTTGGGGTGGCACTGACAGGCCAGCCCCCTGCTGCCTGGGCCTCCTCTGGACTTTGGGTGCCAACGAGCATGGGAGGGAGGCCAATAGGGGCTGAGGGCAGCTCAGCACAGGCCTTCAGGTGCTCTTCAGTAGGAACTGCCTGGGTGCCATGGATGACATGTTGATGGTGGCAGGAGGCAGACAGGCTCCTGGGCAGAAAGGGGCAGGTCCCTAGTGAAGCCCCACCTTCAAGCCATGGATGGCCTGAAAACCGGGGGCTGGACTGTCAGTTTCAGGTGGAGTCCACAGCCTGGAGTGAGAACTTATGGTGCTTTTTGCAGGCCCGTCCATGGCTGCCCATGGACCAATCAGCATACATTTCCTCCCTTCTGAGACCACAAAAAACCCAGCCAGACTCACACAGACATCAGGATTACCAGCTGTGGAAAGGAGTTACACACTACGAGTCACCACATGTTCCGACGACCTGCCTGCGAAAAGGAGCTGCCCACTGTGGATCTCTTCTCTGCTGAGAGCTGGACACACATCAGGATGACCTGCCTGTGGAAAGGAGCTACCTATTTCAGGTCCCCTGAGAGCTGTTCTGTTGCTCAATGAAGCTCCTCTCTGCCTTGCTCACCCTCCAGTTGTCTATGTACCTCATTCTTTCTGGACGCAGGACGGGAATTCTGGACCCACTGAATGGCGGAACTGAAAGAGCTGTAACACAAACAGGGCTGAAACACACCCCCATGCTCACCATGTTGTGGGTGATGAGGACAGAAGAGCTGCAGACCTTCGGGGAGCCCAGACTTAGGGGCTCCCTGAGCCAGGGCTGTGACACCCTCTTTTGGGCTCTGTGGTTCCTGGCATCTCCAAATTTTCAGGTGCCACTGCGTTTCCCTCATCCAGTTGTGGGTGCCCACAGCAGAAGCTGCGTGCAGTGCATCTGGTCCAGCCATAGCTTTGCGTGGAGCTAGCACCTGTGCCGGCACCTGGAGCTGCCAGCGTGCCTGGCTGTGTGCAGTGGCTGGACCCTGCACTCACTCACACACCCTTCACTGGTCCATGCCTGGCTCACCCTTGGCAGGTGTGAAATCTGGGCTGGTAGTGTGAGCCAAGTGCAGCTAGCCAGGCTGAGTGGGCAGAATGAGCCCAGCAGGTGTGAGCAATACTCAGGTAGAAGGCACCACTGGCCACAGAGGTTTCTGGCTGGTGAAGAGACACCCCAAGGATCCCATGACAATACCATGGTTTGGTTACAGTGGCCTTAAAGTTTGAAGTTGAGTAGTGTGATGCCTCCACCTTTGTTCTTTTTGCTTAGGATTGCTTTGGCTATGTGAAAAAGCCCATCATTTTTCTACTAGGAAAAAGTACGGGACAGAAAGGTGTAATCTGACATTTATAAAGATTCCAAAGCTGTCTAGACAATGCTGAAAAATTTCCATATAAGCAACATTCTTATCTGAGAGTGATAATACTTTCCAGAAATCAGTACTTTCTCGGATACTCTATGTTGCTGTTTTCATACAGTAAAGCCATAAGTTTGATAGACAACACAGAGTGCTTGAAAAACCAGAAAACTCCCATTCTGTGACATAAAAATTAGAAAAAGATAATTCCATAGTATAACTATTTAGATGTTGACAGGGCATGGATTTTATTTATAGTTCAATAGAAGCCAAATACCTGGTTTGGAATATGAATGATGTACAACACACATACACACACATGCTCATACACTTAATCCTTGATAAATAAATAACTTATGTAGATATATTAGTTTTCTATTGCTGCTATAACAGATCAGTGCAAGTTTGGTGGCTTATAAAAGACAAATGTGTTACATTACATTTTGGTAGGTCAGCAGTTCTTCACAGAAATAGAAAAAACAATCCTAAAATTTATAGGAAACCATAAAAGGCCCTGAATAACCAAAGCAATCTTGAGCAAAAATACCAAATCTTGAGGCATCGTATGATTTGATTTCAAACTATACTACAAAATGATAGTAACCAAAACAGCATGGTACTGGCATAAAAATAGACACACACAAACCAGTGGGACAGAATAGAGAAGAATAAATAAATCTATGCACTTACAGCTAACTGATTTTCAACAAAAGTGTCAAGAATACACAATGGAGAAAAGTCAGTCTCTTCAATAAATTGTACTGAAAAAATTGGATATCCACATGCAGGAGAATAAAGCGAGATCCTTATCTTTCACTATATATTAAAAAAATCAATTCAGAATGGATTAAAGACTTAAGTAGGGGACCAAAAGTGATCAAACTACTAGGAGAAAACATGGGGAAACATAAGGCAAGGAATTTTGGGGTAAGACCACAGAAGCATAGGCAACAAAAACCAAAATAGACAAATGGGATTACATAAAACTAAAAGGCTTTTGCACAGCAAAGGAAAAAAAAGATTGAAAAGACAATCAACAAAATGAGATGAAATATGTGCAAACTATGCATCTGACAAAAGGTTAATATCAATATAGAAGGAACTCAAAAAACTCAACAGCAAAACAAAACAATAAAAAAATCCAATTAAGAAATGGGCAAAATACCTGAATAGATATTTCTCACAAGAAGACATACAAAGGCCAACACGTATATGAAAAAAATGATTAACATTAGTAATCATCAGGGAAAAGCACATCAAAACCACAATGAGGTACCACCTCACTCCTATTAGAATAGCTATTATCAAAAAGACAAAAAGTAACAAATGCTGTTGTGGATGTGGTGAAAGGGTGACTCCTACACATTGTTGGGAACAGTGCATCCACTGCAGAAAACAGTATGAAGATTTCTTTAAAAATTAAAAATAGAACTACCATATGATCCAGCAATCCCACTACATGGTGTATATTCAAAGGAAATGAAATCAACATGTCAAAGAGATTACCTACATTCCCATGTATATTGCAGTACTATTCTCAACAGCGAAGATATGGAATCAACCTAAATGTCCATGAATGGATGAATGGATGAAGAAATTGTGGTGTGTACACACACACACACACACACACACACACTGAAATACTATTCAGCCACAAAAAAAGAATGGCATTCTGTCATTTGTGGCAACATGGAAGAACCTGGAGGACATTAAATGAAATAAGCCAGGCACAAAAACAGAAATACCGTATCATCTTACTCATATGTAGAATCTAAAGAAGTTGGTCTTGTAGAAGTGGAGACTAGAATGGTGATTAACAGAGGCTAGGAGGGAAGGGGACAAGAGCACAGGGAGAGATTGGTCAATGAGTATAAAATTACAGTTAGGAGTAATAAGTTCTGTTCTATTGCACAGTAGGGTGACTATGGTTAACAAATACTGTATATTTAAACGTAGCTGAAAGACAGAATTTTGAATGTTTTAACCACACAGAAATGATAAATGAATGAGGCTATGTATATGCCAAATACCCTGATTTGATTTTTACACAATGTATGCATGTATCAAAATGTCACCCTGTACCCCATAGATAGGCACAATTATTATTTGTCAATAAAAACAAGAAATTAAAAAAAACAGAAAAAAAGAAGTCCTACAGGGATTTCACTAATAATGGGATATCAAACATTATATGCCTTCTAATGTGATACACAATATTGTACACAGCATCACCCATGGAATATTCTTGTTCAAAATGCTTAATTGGAATTTAATTCAGCCTACAGTTTTAACCTCCAATTTATAGGAAATAATGGTGATACAGGATCAATTTAAAGGATACCACAAAGAACAGACAAATCAAGACTATGTAAAATTCTGCAAGACAATTTGGTCTCATTGCTAAGCCTGTATCATGGAGGAAAAAAGGAAAGGGAATGGAAATTGCTTTAGATGAAAAGATAACATAACAGTCAAAGACAATGCATGGTATTTGACTAAATCTTGGTTTAAAAACTTATTTTAAAAAGCCTATAATACATTTTGTGGAGGGAAGTGGCAATATTTAAATGTGGCCTGGTAAATATATAACATTAAGAAGTTCTCTAAATTTGTCAGATGTTATAACAGCACTGCTAATAGGTAAGAGAACACTTATTTTCTGGAAATGTATGCTAAAGGGATTAGTTTGAAGTATAATGTTTGTAATTTATTTTATAATGGCTCAGTAAGAGGTGACAGCATGCTAGCAGCCCTCGCTTGCTCTCGGCGCCTCCTCCGCCTTGGCGCCCACTCTGGCCGCGCTTGAGGAGCCCTTCAGCCCGCTGCTGCACTGTGAGAACCCCTTTCTGGGCTGGCCAAGGCCGGAGCCGGCTCCCTCAGCTTGCGGGGAGGTGTGGAGGGAGAGGCGCGGTTGGAACCGGGGCTGCGCACGGCGCTTGCGGGCCAGCGCTAGTTCCGGGTGGGCGTGGGCTTGGCGGGCCCCGCAGGCCCGGGGCAGTGAGGGACTTAGCACCTGGGCCAGCAGCTGCTGCGCTCGATTTCTCACTGGCCTTAGCTGCCTCTCTGCAGGGCAGGGCTTGGGACCTGCAGCCGGCCATGCCTGACCCTCCCTGCCTCCCCCCACCCCCGTGGGCTCCTGCGCGGCCGCAGCCTCCCCGAGGAGCGCCGCCCCCTGCTCCAGGGCGCCCGGTCCCATCAACCGCCCAAGGGCAGAGCAGTGCGGGCACACGACGCAGGACTGGCAGGCAGCTCCGCCTGCAGCCCCAGTGCGGGATCCACTGGGTGAAGCCAGCTGGGCTCCTGAGTCTGGTGGGGACTTGGAGAATCTTTATGTCTAGCTAAGGGATTGTAAATACACCAATCAGCACTCTGTATCTAGCTCAAGGTTTGTAAACACACCAATCAGCACCCTGTGTCTAGCTCAGGGTTTGTGAATGCACCAATCCACACTCTGTATCTAGTTAATCTGGTGGGGACATGGAGAACTTTTGTGTCTAGCTCAGGGATTGTAAATGCACCAATCAGCACCCTGTCGAAACAGACCAGTCAGCTCTCTGTAAAACAGACCAATCAGCTCTCTGTAAAATGGACCAATCAGCAGGATGTGGTTGAGGCCAGATAAGAGAATAAAAACAGGCTGCCCCAGCCAGCAGTGGAAACTAGGTGGGGTCCGGCTTCCACACTGTGGAAGCTTTGTTTTTTTGCTCTTTGCAATAAATCTTGCTGCTGTTGACTCTTTTGAGTCCACACTGCCTTTACGGGCCTGTAACACTCACGGCAAAGGTCTGCAGCTTCGCTCCTGAAGCCAGTGAGACCAAGAACCCACTGGAAGAAACGAACAACTCCAGACGCACCGCCTTGAGAGCTGTAACGCTGACCGCGAAGGTGTGCAGCTTCGCTTCTGAGCCAGCGACACCACGAACAAACCAGAAGGAAGAAACTCCGAACACATCTGAACAACAGAAAGAACAAACTCCGGATACTCCGCCTTTAAGAAGTGTAACACTCACCGCGAGGGTCCACGGCTTCATTCTTGAAGGCAGTGAGACCAAGAACCCACCAATTCCGGACACATCGAGACAAAACATATATGGAAGAAACAAATATGCAAAATGTTAATGAGGTAGGAGGTCTATGAGTAATATTGTTCAATCTTTACTTTTCTGTACTAAACGTTTCCATGTTAGTGAAAATTCTAAACATTTAATATGAAAGTACATATATATATAAAAGTTAATTGCAGTTGTCTGCAGGAATAATTAGAAAAAGGAAAAAGTTTAAGAAATAAATGTCAGCTTTATTCAGCCTAATCTTATTTTTCTTTATTCTAGGAGATAGACTTAAAACATTTTTTTCTCATCTTTTTTTTTTTGAAGATAGATAATTTCTAGAATCAAAATAATAGAGTCCCTATTACATGATTTAATTTTTTTCTTCAGAACATCCAGTTCTTTTCAGTCTGCTCTGGGTGCTCATCAAACCTTATGCAATCTATGTATTGGGCTTCATTGTGTCGTAGGTGAACAACCAGTCTCAATTCTTGATAGGGAGAGTATGTCTCAGTGATTCATTGTGTGACAAAGTTGCCAGTACAAGAGACTACCTGGTGGTCAGTAAGCTGCAGACCAAGAGTAACTTAAAGGACTCCTCCGGACTTCAGCTCAGTCAAGGATATCTAACACTGTTTTGAGGCACCTACCTGGTCTTCTTTCTCAAGGAATGTTATTGTTGCCAAAGCCCTTGTAAAGACAGCTATAAGATACTTTGAGTTCTGTCAGGCATTGCAGAAGTTGTTGGAGACCCCTGGTGGCAATATAAAGGATAAACAGCTCACTGCAAAGTTTGATGCTAGTATGGAAAATAGTATCAATGGGAAGAGAAACTATTCTCTCTTAGCCTCCTTTTGCTTCTCTGACATTTCTATTCTTTCTCCTGCTGTTTCAAAAATTTGTTATTCTTTAAAGATTTTTCCATGCTATTCTCATTTATACATGTTCCCTGAGTGATCATACCCATTCACCAAATCATACTTTCAGCATGGTTTTCTCCGTTGAGTTTCATGCCTGTATTTCCACTTCCTTGCTACTTATTTCTATATATAGATATCTCTTAAACTCAACATTACAAAAAGGCACTAATTGTCTATGTTTTCTAATTCTATATTTCCTATCCAATGAAATACTATCACAATACAGCCAGGCTAGAGGGCTTATACTTCAAGGTACAAAGAGTATGGCACACTTACCAGGTGTGAGGCACAGGGGTAGGTGCTGGGATAAGGAAAAGAAAGTCACATCTTAGAGCAGAGTGAGAAAACATATCCTTTAATGTGATAGAGGAATACAGGTAGTGCTTTGGAAGTTCTGAGGAAGGAGACCTAACTCAGACTGAGATGGAAAGATTCAAGATGAAGAACTCTTAGAAGAAATTACTATAAAGCTGTATTGTAGACAGTAAGAATTTGTCTGTTATAATCTGAATTTTACTCTCCCCCCAAATTCATATATTGAAGTCATAGCATTCAGTAACCTTGAATGTGTCTGTATTCTGAGATATTGTCTTTAAAGAGATAAGTTAAAGTGAGGTGAGTAGGGTAGGCCCTAATTTCATATGAATGGTGTCCTTATGAGAAGAAGAAATTTGGACACAGACATGGACAGAGGAAATATGTGAAAACACAGGAAAACAGCCATTTACAAGCCAATGAGAGACCCCATAGAAGAAATCAACTGTGCTGACTTGTTTATGTTGGACTTCTAGCCTCCAGAACTCTGAGAAAATTTATGTTAAGTTACCCAGTCTGTGGTACTTCATTATGGTGGCCCTCGCAAACTAATATAGTCTGATTTCTTTTTCGAGGTAATGGTAAGACTGTTCTAAGCAGAGGGAAGAAAATATGCAAAACAAATGGCCATCAAAGATGATAGCTTACTTGAGAAACTAAAAGTAGTTTGGCACTACCGGATCACTGGTCATATAGTGGGTAAGGGCCGTCGAAAATTTGGGGTAGTGAGATCTGAGAGACCAGATTATGAGAGGCATCATGTGCCAAATTAAATGGTGGAAATTGAGGTGGCAGGAAGGGGAAGACATGGAATTAAAGGAAGTAGTATTAAAGGAGATCTCATACATTGCAATTGGTTTTCTCCAATCAAAGTTAATCATGGGTGTATAACTCTTAGGTCTCTGTCTAGCCCAGTTTTCTATGTTAATGACTAGTAGTATTTCATGATAATTACCAATTGTCTAAGAGATAGAGAAATACTTCCAAGAACCTCATTAATTTTTTTCTCTCACAAGATGTTTATTCCCTCTGAGCAAACTAAATATTACTTTACTTAATTTTATATCATTATGCTTTCCTCCCTTATTCTAAGCTTCTTCTCTTCAGTGTTTGTGTTTTATTTTTAATTTTTTAAAAATTAATTAATGAATTTATTTATTTATTTTTGTATTTGAGACAGAGTCTCGCTCTGTTGCCCAGGCTGGAGTGCAGTGGCGCGGTCTCGGCTCACTGCAAGCTCCACCTCCTGGGTTCACCCCATTCTCCTGCCTCAGCCTCCTGAGTGAAAGCAACCTCCGCCTCCCGGGTTCAAGCCATTCTCCTGGCTCAGCCTCCGGAGTAGCTGGGATTACAGGCATGCGCCACCATGCCTGGCTAATTTTGTATTTTTAGTAGAGACGGGATTTCTCCATGTTGGTCAGGCTGGTCTCGAACTCCGGACCTCAGGTGATCCACCCACCTCGGCCTCCCAAAGTGCTGGGATTACAGGCATGAGCCACCGCGCCCAGCCAATTTTTTGTATTTGTAGTAGAGACGGGGTTTCATTGTGTTAGCCAGGATGGTCTCGATCTCCTGACCTCGTGATCTGCACGCCTCGGCGTCCCAAAGTGCTGGGATTACAGGCATGAGCCACGGCGCCCTGCCTAGTGTTTGTGTTTTAATAATATCTAGAATAGGTTACTGCAAGTCTGTTGAGTTACTGCTTGGATAAGCTGGATTTAGCTAGAATATTGCAGTCACACACCACATAATGGCGTTTCAATCAAAGAGGAGCTACATATATAATGGTGGTCCTATAAGATTATGATGGAGCTGCCCTATACAGGTGTACCTTTTTTTTTCTTTTAAACCGTATTTTTACTGTACCTTTTCCATCTTTATGTATGTTTAGACACACAAAAACTTGTCATTGTTTCGCAGTTGCCTACAGTATTCAGCGCAATAACATGCTGTACAGGTTTGTAGTCTAGGAGCAATAGGCTATACCGTATAGCCTAGGTGTGTAGTAGGCTAACCCATCTAGGTTTGTGTTAGTGGACTCTATGATCACATGATGAAATCACCTAAGGATGCATTTCTCAGAACATACTCCTGTCGTTATGTAATGCATGACTTTACTTTTTAACATCAATATATCTCTATTTCTCAAGCCTTAATATTTATTTTGCTTCTTTTTAGTTACTGTTAACTTTCCTAAAATTTAAAGTATGGATGATTTATCTTTGTTTTCCTTTTTGTCATCTTCCCTATTATCTTTTAATACTTGACTCTCTTATGGATAGAATAGAATTAATTGTTACACTGCAACAAAATGAGATACAAGTTTCATGAAAGCAATGGCCGTACCTGACTCGTTCATTGATATGTTCCCACTGCCTGATAGAGCGCCTGACACAGGGTTGATCATACATTTATTTTAAAGGAAAAATAAAATTTACTGCATGTCTATTTGCTTCCAGCTATGTATCAAGAAATCTTTATGAGGCCGTTCTTAAATTAGAACAGTACTTTAGAATCCTCTGGGGAATTTTTTCAATATACACATGTGCTAGTCCTACCTCAGATATATGGAATCTGGATTTGTAGGGGCAAGGGTAATGGAGGGATGTAGACATAAGTATGGTAAAAAAGCTTCATGATGTTGATATCCGTCACTGATAAAGGCAAACATTGTTATTTCTTTCACCTCAGTTAAATTCCTCCTGACCTGAGTCAAAGGATGAAGAAATAATATTAGGCAGTGAGAGGCATGTTTTGGTGTAGGGAATGTTGCCTTAAACCCCTGGGCACATTCTTTAGCTGTCGGTATTCATAAGACTGGCCTCCACTGAGATCAGCATGCCCTGTATTATTGTCTTAAAGAAGTAGCTCTGGACGGGTGGGAAGACCACTAACTTAGAATAAAAATCCTAGGGCTTTATTTTAGTATTCACACTTAATAGGTTTGAGATCTCAAGCAAAATAGTTTTCTGAGCTTCAGTGCCCTCACCTATAAACTGAGAATAATAACATCTATTTGAAAATGTAAGTAAATACGAGCATTTGAATACTGAATTGTTCTGATTAACTTTGGTACTTGAAGAGTATTACTTATCTCTCTGACCTTTAAGGCATATGTTTTGCTTTAAAGGCATAAACTAAGTGGCTACTCGTAGAAGAAAAGAGGGGTGAAGTTTCTCACAGACAATTTCCAGAATTAGCTGTCCTCATGACTAAAATGCTAACTGATTTATCCTTCTATAACTCAAATCAAGGATGCAGCTGCAATGGCTTTTGGTGATGACTTTCTTAACCACCTCTTTAGGACATGACAGGTTTCTCTGCTGTGTCTTTTGAGCCCTTCATACAGTAGCAGCAAATTGATGGTTTTTCATCACTAGAGATTTTTGTTCTCTGTCTTGGTCAGGAAACTTTTCATGCCAAGCAACTGAAGCTGCTGAAGTTAGTTTGCTGTAAACATGAGGAAATAATAGAGATTACAGGGAATACCGTGGGGCTTAAGGATAAGCGGTGTTATTGGGCTTCATAAGGGCCTTGGATCAAGAGCTGGAAAAACCATAGGAGCCTAGAAATGTCATAAAACACCAATATCCTACAGGGGTGCAGTGCTTTGCAATGATGGCTCTTGTTTCAAATAGGAAGTATGAGACACTGAAGAACAGAGAAGATGTTACATAAAAAGCAGAAAGGGCATATAAAATTTTGAATATTTGTCTAGCTATAAAAATATGCTTTACAATCTTATTTTAAAATTTACTTTGAATTTTTGTTTTCTTTAAAAATTAATATGTGTACATTACTTAAGTTTTGGAAAAGAAGAAAAAATAAATCCCCATATTTTTATCATCTTGGCACAATAAATATCTTTTGGAGTGTTTTCTTATGACTTAACTCTAAATGGGTCACTAACCTAAATGGAAGAACTAAAACCATAAAATTCCTGCCTGACCAACATGGAGAAGCCCCATCTCTACTAAAAATACAAAATTAGCCGGGCGTAGTGGTGCATGCCTGTAATCCCAGCTACTTGGGAGGCTGAGGCAGGAGAATCGCTTGAGCCCAGGAGGGGGAAGTTGCAGTGAGCCAAGATCATACCACTGTACTCCAGCCTAGGCAATTATTGATTCAAGGTTACCATGATAGGTTTATGCATATCAAAGTTTAAAAAAAAGGGCCTATGTGCCTATGGCTAGTGAGCAAAACTGGCTAGCCATAGGCACAAAATTGAAACTGGACCCCTTCCTTATACATTATACAAAAATTAGGCCAGGATGGATTAAAGACTTAAATGTAAAACCCAAAACTATAAAAACTCTAGAAGAAAATCTAGGCAATACTATTCAGGACATAGGCAAGGGTAAATATTACATGACAAAAACATCAAAAGCAATTGCAACAAATGCAAAAATTGACAAATGGAGTCTAGTTAAACTAAAGCACTTCTGTACAGCAAAAGAAACTATCATCAGAGTGAACAGACGTGAGTGAATGGGAGAAAATTTTTGCAATCTGTCTTTCTGACAAAGGTTTAATATCCGGAATCTACAAGGAACTTTAACAAATTTTCAAGAAAAAAGCAACCCCATCAAAAAATGGGCAAAGGACATGAACAGACACTTCTCAAAAGAAGACATTTATGTGGCCAACAAACATATGAGAAAAAGATCAACATTACTGATCATTAGAGAAATGCAAATCAAAACCACAATGAGATACCATCTCACACCAGTCAGAATGGTGATTATTAAAAAGTGGAGAAACTACAGATGCTGGCGAGGCTGTGGAGAAATAGGAACACTTTTACACTGCTGATGGGAATGTAAATTATTTCAACCATTGTGGAGGACAGTGTGGCGATTCCTCAAAGATCTGGAACCAGAAATACCATTTGACTCAGCAGTCCCATTACTGGGTATATATCCAAAGGAATATAAAACGTTCTGTTATAAAAATACATGCATGTGTATGTTTAGTGCAGCACTATATACAATAGCAAACACATGGAATCAACCCAAAGGCCCATCAATAATAGACTGAATAAAGAAAATGTGGTACATATATACCTTGGAATACTATGCAGCTATAAAAAGGAATGAGATTATGTCCTTTGCAGGAACATGAATGGAGCTAGAAGCCATTATCCTCAGCAAACTAAGACAGGGAAAGAAAACCAAACACCACATGTTATCACTTAGAAGTGGGAGCTCAACTATGAGAACACATGGACACGGGGAGGGAACAACATACACAGGGACCTCTTGGGGGAGGGTTGGGGAAAGGAGAGTATCAGCATAAATAGCTAATGCACGTGGGGTTTAATACCTAGGTGATGGGTTGATGGGTGCAGCAAACCACCATGTTTGGTGCACAAGTTGACCTATGTAACAAACATGCACATCCTGCACATGTATCCTGGAACTTGAAATTAAATTAAAAATTTTAAAAACAATGACCCAGCACAAAATGGTTCCAAAGAAGATTCCCCCAAACATAGTGAATATAAAGTAAATCACCTTCCATGATTCTGTAACTGGTGGGTGACAACACATGAATAGTATGTGGGGAGAGGGATATGTGGATAAGCTGGGGAAGCCACAGGGGCACATTGTCCCAAAATGTACATTTTGTAAGCATAAAATGTATAAAATAAAAATGGGAGGAAGAAGATTCTCTAAACTGATGAGTTTATGGACCTTCTTGAGAATAGTGATTTTAAAGCCCTCTTAGTTCCCCATGTAACCCTAATGTCCATGTAGGTGAGCTGGGGCATAGAGGTTGTGCCATGTGTGTGGAACAGATGGACAGATACCTTTGTCTCTTTGGCCTTCAGGGTCTCCAGGCCCAGAACAGCCAGATACTCTAGGCTGGTCACTTCCAGATCTAAGGGTATCATTCATTTACCTCAAAGTATCAAAACAAATAGCATGTTCGATGTATGCCGTATGAAAAAACCTGGGAAGCACTTTAACATACTTGCCCTGTTCTGTTCATTTCAGTCAGCATCTCTTGACACTCAACTGTTAATTCTCTTCCTTTCACTTGTATTGCTCTTTTCTCTCTTTGTTCTGGGAGCAAAGGAGGGAGGGTCAAAGGCCCCTGTGGAGCAGGCAGGTTAAGTAAATATTTGTTTGTGGATTTAAAAATTCTGACCTTAGGGATGGAGTGGATATCCTTGCTTTACTTATACAATTTTAGATAAACAGTAATTTTGATGCTGTGTTATGGTGATTTTCTAGCTTAAGTTTCCAATCAAGTAGTAACTTTTTGGAAAGAAGGAGTGTTTGCTCAGATGATAGGAGGGTGTTGAGAGGGAAGATGGAGATTGAAGCCGGGTGTTTTTGATGTTGCAGATGTTTATTTTTTCGTGTAGAGTTCTACCCGCTGGAGCCAACTTCATGAAAATAGAAAGTTTCCAGCATAGTACTGACACGTAATTGACACGAATCTTTTGGATTGAATTGAAGAATAAAATAATAAAATTTGTTGTTTTTTAAATTCAAAAGATAATTTCTTCTATACCCAGTAAGACTTTAAACTCAATGCAGCACTAATCTCACTGCTTCTGCAGCCCCTTCCTGAAAGGGAAGAATTGAGGATTTTCCTCTGTGTGTAGTATAATCTATCAAATTTAGCATGAAGACACTGAAGACAAAGGCTTTGAGAATTTAACAGTATGGAAGAGTTTTGCTGCCACCCAATGGACAAGCGTAATATTTTTTCATTATTCAGTAATAAACAATTTCCTCTTACCTCACTGAACATTCATATACAACTGTAGTAATTATTTCAACAAACATACTTGAATTGCAAATTACTTTTTAACTTTTAATATTACTGGTGTATGTGGTTGTGTATATGTGTGTTGAGGCAGTAGGAATGCAGTGTGTATGAGAAAATAGTTTGGCTAATTTTAATTGAAGCATACTGAATTGTTTTCTATAATTTTGTCTAAATAAAATTTAATAAAGGTTTCGGGGCACAACAGATGACTTATAATTACTGAGCTTTTTAGCTCAAAGAACTCTGAGAAATTCTAATAAACCTATGAGTGAAATGAAGAATTAGAAATAAGTGGGGAGACTGGGGAAATAAACAGGTTGAAATTAAGAAAACCGGGAAAGACACTCTGTTTGTGTGCATGTGTGCGTGCCTCTGCGTGCATGCATTTGTGCACACATGAGAGAGGCATATTTGACCACTGAGCTAAAAATATTAATAGTTGCTTTTGTCTGCTTTTACATTGTATTTCTTTAGAGTACAGGCAGGGGTTTATTTTTGCCTCTTTTACTCACTGATGAAGAATGCCTGGTGTATTGTAAATGTTGATAAATATTTATTGGATGGAAAGCATGTGTCTACATGAACTCTAGAAAACAGAAGAAACAAAATGACTCATAATCCCACTTATAATACAAACAACATTAGTATTTTGAAGACACATAACTATGTAGCTTGCAGTTTACAAGCTCTGTTCTGTTCCTTCAGTAACCTGTGAGGGTTGGAGGAAGGTTTGGTTGTAAAATGTCTCATCCACATATTTTTTCTGGGATATTTTCCAGATTCCAGGATCTCCCTCCATTACCAGTTTCTCTGTGGGTCATGCTCTGGCATTTCTATTCATCCATTCACCTATTCTGAGGTGTGGTTGCCCCAATATTATTACATACTTTTTTCCATTGGATCCATGAGACCTCTTGTCTACTTTCATCCTTCATCCTCCACAAAGGCATCACACCTGATTTTCTAAAAATATGTGACCTCTTTATTTTAGGATGAGAGAAATTTTAGAAAGGAATTACAAGGTTAAAAGGGACCATATTAAAGTCCTAGTTAACCTGGAGTTTTCCTCAAATCTCACAAGTTAAGGAACCAAAATAACGTAGGGCTTCCTAAGAACGGGACGTCATGGATGACTCCCATTCCACCTTCCAAAGATGCGCAGCCAGTCCTCACCTTTAAACCCCTGTGTGCCCTCCAGCTCCAAACATTCCATTCCTGAACATTCTCCATTCAATACTCTACTATCTTCCCTTGCAAAACCTCTACTGCTTTTCACAGGAAGGATCATCACTCCTTGGATCCACCTGAGTCTGAGATTCTGGGATTCGAACTGGTGGACGTTGATGCTCTTCTTCAGCCCTCTAAGAAACAGTGAACGTAGATCCTCCTTGCAGGGCTTTCTTTTTAATCCTTTCACTATGAGAACATGGGTCTGCCATTCTCTTTATTAGCTGACTTATGATCTAAGGTACCTTTCCCAAGAGCAAATGCCTAGGATTGGCGATGGGAGGTGAAAATATGTGCATTACCATTCAGATGTGCAAGAAAAAAAAGTAACAAAGTAACCAGTTTATTTTCTTTATTTTGAAATCATTTTGCTTACAAACCCCCGTCTTTACCAGTGGGGATTGTGGAATAGATATAAAATTGTCAGTTAAGTAGCTCATGCTCTTCTGTTTTAAAATGGTCTCTTTTGTTAAGCTCATTCTTTCACATATTCTCTTCTCCTGCCTCTTACAAAACCCACGGCAAGGCTGAGGGGGAACAATTTGCTTTGTGCTTTGTCTCTATCTGCGACTCCCACAGAACTTGGCTTGGATGTTTTGGCATCAAATCTCACTCTGATAATATAAAGGCATATCAGTCTTTTGATGACACATAACTGTGTAACATGCAGTTCACTGGGGCCATGGTTGAGGACTCCATACTGCTGCCACTTTTAATGTGTCTTTAGGTGGTACAATTTGTGGTCTGTTCTCTTGGCCTTGACATGGTGAGGAGATTGCTCTGGGGAACTTGGTCACCTCTGTTATCTGATCAAGTCACCTCCACCATCTGGTTCACTATTTCTGGCTTAGTAGAACTTGCCCAAAGATATAGCTGTGACTCTCATTCAATCCCTGACATGGGAAGTTGATCCCAAAGCTTTGTGCTGTATGTAAATTAACTTTCTCCTTATCCAGACTCCCCAGGTAAGCTCATGCTATCTGCCTTCTCCCATACATGGGCAATTCTGTATCATTTCTTGTTCCTCAGGAGACAGGCAGAAGATGTAGGACTACCCTGCTCCATGTGACGGGACTTGTTTATCTGCTCTTGCTGTTCTACTGTTCCCCAAGGTGTGAAGTGGAGCACCCATTCAATTGTTCTCAGGTTTGTTCTCAACTTATTTGGAGTTTGTGTCAGAACTTCTATCAACTACTGGATTGATCCCCTTTCCAGGTGCCTGCTGCTTCCTTACCCTGGACTTGTCTTATCTGAACTTCTTTCCCCAGTTCCTGCACATTCCCCCTCCTCACCCCCAACACCCTTCTTCCCAATTGTGCATCCCAAGCCTGTAGGCAGATAAGAGCTTCAGGCACATATGAGCATATGTGATCTGCTGAATGTTCTCTGCCTATATCTTATAGGGAATTTTTATATTCAGATCTCCAACCTTGTTATGTAAAGATTGGCTTTGGGTTAGAACATTCTTTACTTTCTAAACAAAGCCTGATTTTCAAGAGTATTCCCTGACTGTGAACTCAAATATTTAAACTCTGAGCTACAATGAGAAGCCTGTTTGTTCTAGACTCTTACCACTCTCTCTCTTTTTCTAGGACAATGAACCTTATGCCTTATCCTTAATGGTGAAAGGAATGGCTTTTTTTTTTTAAAGTAGGATTAATACAAGGGAAAACACAATGTGAGGTATTTTAAGATGTTTTAATTTTCAAAAATTTATTTATCTCTTACAGCACAGAACCATGCTGAGGGAAAGGCTAGCAAGGCTCTGGGTACCCTTGATATAATAAGTCCCTACTAAAATGCTGAGGATATGGGCAAAAGAAGAAAAACACCTGTTTGCAGTTTTGTTATTACTTTTATGTGAGGAATGGGAAGGACAGGATTGCATTGTTTTGGTTTGAATCATATTCACATAGAAGCTGTCAGTGGGTGATAAGGAAGTAGGGATGTGCATCTCATTCTTCTTGTTCCACTCTTGTTATAATCATAGAATAAACACCATTTTGAATTAAGATGTAAATAAATTGTAGTAATAATATACTAACAATGATAATTTTTATTTGTATAGCACCTGACAAAATATTTTTGTTTAATCATCTTTTATAGAACTGAGAAAACCTTTTGAGTTAGAAATTGTGAGTCCTATTTCACAGATAAGAAACAGAATCCAAGGACTAGTAAGTGACTTGCTCACACTATGTAGCTAATCAATAGCAGCTAATGAATGATGTTGATGCATATATTGTCCTTGATGTTGCTTAAATCACACGATAATGTTTCCCTACTACATGATCTATTTAATAATGATAATAGCCTCATTTCTTTTCTACATGATAACCTTTCACCTATTTGAAAATCTATTATGTGTGTCCATTTTGTCTGATTGTCAGATCTATCTTAGTTTTGATAAGAAAGAAGAAAAAGAAATTGAAAGGGAGAGGATATTCAAGGTGGTTTGAAGAATCACCATCAGGGGAAGAAAAAGAAAGTGTGTACAACCAGGAAGCTGAGTCTAGAAGTCTTATGTTGAAGGCATTTTAACTTTATTTAGACTCATCTCTCTTGATTTTACTCCCCACTAGACTAAGTCAAAAAGAATCTGAGTCCTACAGAGTTGGCAGTACAATTATAGAGGTCAAACTACTCAGTGCAGGAATTCCATAGCACCCAGTAGTGTGGTGGTAAATATTTAACCACCAGATGTCCAGGGAAAACAAAGGCCCGTGTTTTTTAGTGTTTGCTGACTTCAGTGGTGTATATACTCCCAAGTTGGCCAATTTCAACCTACTGAAATAATGTCAGTGAATATGGAGTTTGGAAGAGGTACTAACAATTGTCTCTTGCTTTAACAAACCACTGATAGGTTGATAGCAACTGTAAGATGTGACCCAGCCTTACCTTTGAGTAAGTCTAGTGACCAACATTACCATTCTACTACTTGGCAATTCTAATTACGATAGTTCTTTTCTTGATCTTGCTTCTAAAATTGCTTTTGCTCTACTTTGATTCACTGGCCTTAGTTCTCCCTGTTTATCCTTTTAAACTTTTCCTTCTTCAGGATATGTGTTCTTTGCTCATTAAAGCAATACATATGTGATATTTTTTAGATGCCAAACTATCCTGATAATCCTGTTTTGACAATATTCATCATTCTTAATATTCTTTTGAAAATGTGATATTTATAACTGATCATACAACACAGCTTAGTAGGATACTTATCTTCTCTTAGATAGGGATATTTCTAAAATAGACTAAGTCTATACTGTTTTCATTTTTTCTTTTGCATTAATTAGTTAATTAATCACTCTTTTTTTTTTAGCAGTCACATGCCATAGTTGGTTAATATTAAGCATGTGATCAACTACCAAAAATCCCCTTGGTCTTTTTCATGAGGATGACTGTTTATTCACATATTTGTTGTACTATGCAATCAATTTATAGAATATTAGGACTAAATGATCCACTTGTCAAGCATCTAGTCCAACCTTCTCATGAGAGAACTAGAGAACATTAAGGTTAATTTACTTAAGGAAGATTTACACAGCTTATTGGTGACAAAGCCAAGTTTAGCTTCATATCGAATGACTCCTATTCTGCACTCATTTCCCTGTATTCAGTTATTTCTTCTTGCTCTTAAAAGAATGTAAGGGGAACAGGTTTTATCATCTCCATTCTAAACATGATATAACTTAGAGTCAGGAATACTAAGTGATTTGTCTAAGGTTCCATGGGCAATAATGGCAACTGATTTTTTTGAACTGAAGTACAAAGCTGTTATTTTTCACATTTTCCAGGTACAGCCCTTTATGCTAGATTTTTAAGATTATTTTTAATTTTGACCCCATAATCCAGAAGATAACTATTCCTCCTATTTTTGTGCCATTTTAAAGGGTAATAAAAATAGAATTCTGCCAGCCAGAGTGGAAAATGGAAGCCTACTTGAATGCTTCAAGAGACTTTAACAAAGGTGTTGCATTAATTCCCCAGAGATGCCATAATAAATTACCGCAAACCCAGTGGCTTAAAACAAAAGAAATTTATTTTCTCACAGTTAAGGAGGCTAGAAGTCCAAACTTAAGGTGTTGACAGAATTGGTTTCTTCTAGAGGCTCTGAGGGAAAGCCCATGCGTCTCTCTTAGTATCTGGTGTTTGCTCACAATCCTGGGCATTCACTGGCTTGAAGAGGCATCACCCTAATCTGCCTCCATCTTCACATGGCTTTCTTGGTGTGTCTCTCTGTGTTTTTTCCTCTTCTCACAAAGACACCAGTCATTGGATTTAGGGGTCACCCTAAATATCCGATGATTTCATCTCAAGATCCTTAGTTAATTATACCTTCACAGACCCTATTTCCAAATATGGTCACCTTCTGAGGTTCTGGGTGAACGTGAATTTTGGGGAACACTATTTGAGCTACTTCACGAACTACTTATGAAATTGTGGGTAGAGTAAGAAGACAGATAAGAACAGGAAGTCCTTACCAGCCCTAGGCTTGAAGGGGCAAACAGGAAATGGTGCCTCAGCATCCCATTGAGAGCCAGAGCAGTGGAGGAGACATTCTAGCTGGGGAGAGATGTCGCCCTCACCAGGACACTCAGCGCAGAGCAAGTGGAGAATAGTAAAGGAGTACTCCAACCACTTCTTCCTCTCAGCATCTGATCTTCTTCAGATGATTCCCATTAGCCAAATTCAACCAGAAGCCAGCTGCAGTTCCCTATTACTGCTGTAACAAATGACCACAAGCTTGGTGGCTTAAATAATATAAATTTTTTATCTAACAGTTCTGTAGGTCAGAAGTCCTACAAAGGTCTCACTGGGCTCAAATAAAAGTGTCGGCAGGGCTGTATTCCTTTCTGGGGGCTCTAGAGGAGAATCCATTTCCTTGCGTTTTCCAGTTTCAAAATTCCCTCCATATTCCTTAGCTCGTGGCCAGCTCCTCCATTTTCAAAGCCAGCAATGGAAGATTGAGTCTTCACATAGCATCACCGACTTCTTCTGCCACATAAGGTAACATGTTCACAAGTTCCAGGGATTAGGATGTGAATGTCTTTAGAGGGGCCATTGTTTTTGCTTATCGTATCAGTTGATAGTCTATAGGATTCAGCCTCCTGGACAGGGCTGACTCCAAATTAGGTAGAGATGAGGCTTATACAGTGAGGAGCAGGCCATCTATAAGAAAAATAGTTCCAAATTACATTAGGCACAAAGTTTGGAAGAGGTAACATCTATGGAGTCCTGAGCTGAAGCTTCATTAGCTCCATAGTAAATCAGCCTTTGTTCCTGGGCACAGAGCAGGGCGAAGCAGGGTAGAGAATGGCATGGTGGGTAGGAGCAGTGGGGTAGGGCAAATGGGCAAGAATCAGAACAGCAGGTTTTATATTTTCCTCCTGAGAGCTGATTACAAGGTTGACTTGTTGGAGTCCATTGGTATTTAACCAATGCCTGTTCCTCAAAGCAACATCAATCTTCAAGCCTGAATCATCTGAAATTTGATCATCTTGTTCACAAGGATAGCATCAGCGATGGCCAACAGCTTAGTGAAATGGATTTATGCCATGCCTTCATAGAGCCTGGACTTCCTTCACCCACTGTTTCCTCTTACTGCAGTTAGGCAAATGCGTAGTAATGCTACTGAGCTTGGTGCATTCCCACTTACCCAGTAGTATTCCTTAACTTTTTAAGACAGTGTGGAATATTGGCACCTTTCCCTCCAGTCTTCCCCTCAAGTGGCCTGTAACAAGTTGTTCAGTCATTAATCCTGAAATGTTACAATGGAGCCTTAGATTTTAAAATCGGAAGTTCAGGTGTATTTTGTAGCCTATGGAAATTCCATCTAACCACAGCACATTCAAATCTAAATTTGCTACTTTCTTGTGACTGTGTAGTGTATTTGATACAAAATTTTCTTTCTAGACCCCCGAATTCTAGGACTTTACAGTGCAGTCATATGAGAGTGAGTCAGCAGTTTAATTCCAATCTGCGCCACCACCACCTAGGGACTTTCTAACAAGAACTAAGACTGTTATTACTTTTTTATTATGCAAGTAGAATAAAGAGGAACTACATTAACAAGAATAGAGAAGTGAAGAATACCAATTGCTGATGTCCTAATAGTTTTTAAAATATAAGAGTAAACTCCACTGTAGATTTTACTTTATGAAAATAGATCTATTTCCTGAAGAAAGTTTTGTTTTTAGATTGTTTGCTTTATTTGTTCTATTCTCTATGTTAGATGAATTCCCCTATTGCCTTGCTTGTACTAACCTTCTATATAGTAATTTCACTGAAAACAGAAAAAGTAAGATAATTAATTGTACTGATAGAATTAAGAGGTTAGCATGAATAACCTAATGATGGCATTTTGGCTAATGGCATTCTTTTCTCAAAAAGGTTCACTGAATTAACAAGTCACAAATAACCATACTGAAGTTGGATATGGGTCATTTCTAAGTTCACAGTGTGCGTTCTATTCCTTATAATCTATCAGCCAAGGTCTTCGTTTGATATTAATATCTTAAAAAGTGAAATTGCTCATTACATAGTAAACATTTCTTAGATTGTTTTCCCTGTTGATACTTAAATAAAATAGAAAAAGAAAATAACAAAGGTGTAAAAATAAAAGAAAACTCATGGAAAGGGAACTTACAATGAAGGTAGTGGTTATTTCAAGGCTGGCACCTTCTAGAAGGTCACCGTCTAACTTAAACAGTCCATGGAGCACATTTATGATTCAACAGCAGTGCCAACACACAATGCTACTTTAACATGTCCCATGCAAATTTTAAATACTGAAAGATCTCCACTGACCTTCCAGGTCGGTCACTTACAAGCTGTGTAATTATGGGCAAGGTTGTTAAATTGTTCAAGCCTTTATTTTCTGTTTTAAAATGGTTATTATAATATCTGCCCAGAATTGCTGTCAGAATTAGAAGTGATGTTTGTAAAATGCCTATTATCACCCCCAGCAATTGTGGTGCAGCATTACTAATATTATCATATTGCATAGACATTCATAATTATTTAATATTTTCCTGCATATTTACTTTAACATAAAAGAATCAAGCCTTAAAAATCTCTTGCTGGGGAATTATATGCATTCATTTGGAAATGGGAGTGATGATTCTGGGTGAAACATTTCTCAATCTTGCTCAGTCAAAGGGGTTTTCCACTGAGCATATGTTCTGCAGATGTTTATTAAAACATGCTTCTACATAAGTACCAGACATGGAGAGCTCAATTATTGCTAAATTTTCCATGGTCTATTTTATAATTCTTAATCTTTGAACTCTGGACCACTGATAATTTTAAAAGTAATAGGAGGAGGAATAAAATTATTTCCAGCAAAATTTTGTGTATGTACAAAGGATGTAAATGCTTACAAAAACAAGTGTATAAGCATGGAGTTTTTATAACGAATGACAGCAAGGAAAGTCACCCACTGACTTCTAGATTTTTCTGAATGAGTTAAAAAAATGTCATACAACTTTATTTTAGTTTCTTCTTCTATAAAACAGGGAAAATCCCAATTAATCTCTTCTCAAGCCTCACGTTTGTGATGATTTGTCAAGTTACCCATGGCAGAGTTTCCTAGACGTCTATCCGGATTCATCTCCCCTTATTTTAAAAAGAAATCTTGAGTTTCTGAAGGGTGTGTGGCTGCTCGGTAGGCATTCTGTTTCCCAGTTCCTCTCATAGACTTAGTTGGGACCAAAGGAATAGGAGAGAAAGTGATGTGTGTTACTAGAAGGTGATGCGACTGGGACAGCCAAGGTGGCCCAGAGATGGAACACCCTGTTGAGAAAGGCAGATTCTCTCACCCGATCTGGGACTACTAATCTCTGCATAATCAAATGAGCACAAAATAAACTTACACTTTGTTTATACCACTGTATTTGGGGTCTCTATTTCAGAAGCTCAGCCTGTGTCCTACTTATTCAACCCCTTAGAGGAATACAGCACTAATATAGAGGAAAAGGTAGTTTCCAGGTAAACTGGGCACATTTGTGGGCTCTTTACTGTGCTGAGTGTATACTCCTGACAGCTGGTAGTGGCAAGTTAGAAACATCAGATACCTTTAGAAATTCCAGGGATTTCTATTGAGCTGCTGGTCTGTGGGACTGAGCTGTGCCAACATTAATAGTCTCAGAAGTTCTCAAGCAGCTTTTGGAACAGTAGCTTTCCTGGCTGCTCTGACTTCAAGATGCAAGTGCATGGCAGCTTTAGTGTTTCTTCTTTTGTCCCAGACTTTGCCCTGTGGTTTCTTTGGGATGGACTACCCAGACAATGCCTCTGTCCTTTTCCTGTTCATGTAGAACATAGAACATGACCTCCAACCAACCTGAACAATTGAATTTGCAGTTGTTCTTTGGGATAATACTCTGCTCCTGGTAACAGTGGTCCCTTCCTGGTTTCTCTGGAATTAAACTCTGGGCTATATTGTCAGGGGACCATTTATTGATTAGCTCAAATGTAGTTGAAATTTAGGAAAATGAACTCTATAGAGTTTAGGATTTGTAAATGCAGGCACTGGCAATTTTGCTAATCATATATAACAAAGGGATATTTTGTTACAACAATAGAAACCAATGACTACTGAGTATTTTACAAAACAGCTCACAGTAATCCTATGCCTCCCAGTATGTTTTCCTCCCTATTAGTTACATTATGAAAGGTTTGATTGATTGATTGAAGATTTCTAGGCTGATGTGCCTATTGTACTTTGTAAGCCTACATTGCCTCCTGCTGGCTCTTCTTTCTAAATAACTCTTCTCATGTCTCTTCAGAAATAGATCAACAGGCCTTTCTTTTTGTTTGTTTGGTGTTTTGTGTGTGTGTGTGTGTGTGTGTGTGTGTGCCACATATGTTGCCTCTGTGTTTTCTATCTAGACTATCCTGATTCCTGATCCTTCTCATCAAAGAACACATTTTCAAAATAACTAACCTTTAGCAAATAAAATTTCTCTTCCTCCTCCTTCTCCTACACAAACTCTGTTCTTGTACATCTGTTAAAGCAAAGCCCTCCTTTCCTGCTATCCATATCATGATGCTATCTCTGACTATAGCTGTATGTATATAGCGCTATATATATTCCTGCATATAGCGCCATATATATATATATTCCTGCATATGCAGACACATTTCTTGGCTCTCCAGTTTGACTCTTGCCATAGTAATATAGGAAAGACCCTGTGAATGGCTGCAGTAAGAAAACCTGGTTTTCTTATATATGTGCATATATCATCAAGGGAGTTGGGACCAATTTTTTCAGCTGGACTATTTCAGTAGCCTTCCAATTCATCTTCCTGCTTCTGTAATTGCACCCCCCTCCCCAGTCTGTCCTCCACAAAGCAGCCTGGGTGACTTGGTGATCCTTTGAAAATATAAGTTGAATCATGTTTCTCCTCTGCTCAAAACCTTCTAATGCTTTCTAATGCTAAGAATAATATTCATTGTCCTCATCATAGCCTGCTAGGCACCTGGTTCCTCTTTCATTTCTCTGATCTTATCCCTTATATTCTTTCTCTTACTCATGTTGCCTGAGTCTAAATGGCTTTAATACTATTTTTTTAACTTTTATTTTAAGTTCAGGGGTACAAGTGCCAAGTTGGCTACACAGGTAAACTTGTGTCATGGGGGTTTGTTGTACAGATTATTTCATCACCCGGGTATTAAGCCTGGTACCCATTAGTTATTTTTCCTGATCCTCTCCCTCCTCCAACCCTCCACCATCCAAAAGGCCCCAGTGTGTCCTGTTCCCCTCTAAGTGTCCCTGTGTTCTCATTATTTAGCTCCCACTTATAAGTGAGAACATGTGGTATTAGGTTTTCTGTTCCTGTGTTAGTCTGCTAAGGATAGTGACCTCCAGCTCCATCCATGTCCCTGCAAAGGACATGATCATGCTATTCTTTAAGCACCAGAATACTCTTCTTACCTCAGAGCCCTTACACATGCTGTGCCTACTGCCTGGAATGTCAGTCCCTCAAGTACCTACATGGTTTGCATTCTT
Organism: Homo sapiens; assembly: GCF_000001405.40. Lineage (NCBI taxonomy): Eukaryota > Metazoa > Chordata > Mammalia > Primates > Hominidae > Homo > Homo sapiens. Next base: position 116,161,904 of record NC_000007.14, on the reverse strand, counting down.
TCACTCAATTAACTGCTCAAATGTCAACTTAACAAGGAGGTTCCTGGCCATCTATCAGATTCACCCTTTCCTCCCCCCTTCTAGCACACACAGCCTTTGCCTATCATTGTCTATTTTCCTCCATCATAGCAGATAATTTGTCTAATTTGTTCCCTGATTCACTCCTCTAATGCTTAGAACAGTGCCTGACATGTGGTAGATGATTAATAAGTATTTAACACATTAAAAAGTAATTAAACACTTTGCTAGCAAGGTACTTCATAAAGAACATGTTCTCACATACAGTTGTCCTTCAGTATCTGCAGGATACTGGTTCCAGGACCCCTTAAATCATCTTTAGATTACTGATAATATCTAATATAATATAAGTGCTATAAACATAATTGTTATACATTTTTATTTGAATTTTTTTGTTAATGAAATAAACTTATTGTTTTTGTTAACAATAAAAATACAAATAAAATTATTATATTGCTTTTGTTATTTTCTTATTTTTATTGTTTTTTTCTCCAAACATTTTCATTCTATGATTGTTTGCATCCATTGATGTGGAACTCATGGTAAGAAGTAAGTGTATTCTATAAATCAGAGTTAGACATTAGTTAAAGGCTTACATAATTGTTGGAATAGAATTTGCCATTAATTATTAACCACCTATTTAGTACTTATGGTACTGTAAGATATTTTACTAGGTAATTGGGAATTTAGAGAAGAATAGAATATATTTCTATGATCTAGTAATGGCAACACACAAAAATTTGATACTCACCTTTGTTATAAGACAGAGAAGCTATTATTGTCTCCATTTTACAAATGAGAAACTTGAGTTTAGAGTGCTGAAATGACTTGTCCACAGTAATGCATACAAGTTAGTGAGTGGACCAAGATCTGCTGCTAATTAGTTTGCATTACTTTAGACAAGTATCCGGATCTTCTAACCTTCTCCTCTTTCCATTCTCTCATACTACTATTCCTCATATCCGCTCTAGAGGGAAGGTAGCCCATGTATTATACCGGAGTGAGCAGAGGATATTGTTGTTGTTCTACATATGGATGTTAAATGGCACACTGCTTTTCAAAATATATTAATTATAACTTCATTCCTGAGTCAGTCAGAATTGGCTAGGTTATAGCATACAACCCCCCAGATCTCAGTAGTTTTAATAAAATAGTTTATTTTTCATTTATGCTACGAGTCCAACATAGCTTATAAGGAAGCTTTGTTCATCAGAACCACTTGAGGCCTGAGCTGATGGACGCTCCATCTGGACACCTGCTTTGGTGATCACTGAGTCAGCTGCAGAGGAGAGCTGTAGAGTCAAGCACTGGCAAGAAAGTGTTTCAGCCCTCCCTCTTCATTGACCAGAACTAGACTCGTGGCCACTACTAACTCTGAGTGAGCTAGAAGTAGAGAAGAATTGAATTTGAGTGAAGTGGTCAACACTGGTAATAATTGTCATATGCACGTATTCACACACACACACACACACACACACACACACACACACACTTTTTGCCCTTTCTTTCTTTTTATTTCCCGGGGTGATAACCAACTTGCCCTACAAGACTCTGAATGTGGTAAGCCCAGTGTTTCCTGCTTTGTTTTACTTATTGACTTCTCTAGGAAGGATTTGTAAAATCCAGAGAAACTGAAGCCAGATTATGATGATTGAGGGACAATTTATTTTCTCCCAGGGGCTTTCACCTAACAGTGGCAATATTGTCCTCTTATGGCACAGTTAAATTTGTGCTTGCTACTCAGTTTTTTCTATTAAGCACCTGTAACTTTTATTTGTGTATAGATAGTTGTTGATAAAATAATAAAATATTCCATACAGCAAAAAAAGTAAAGAATTGGACTGGTGTTTGTAATTGCAATTTGTTGAAATCATGAGCTCATAAATATTACTCCTCCTCTTTACCATTATACGAAAATATGAGAAATGAATGTAACATCAAAAAGAGGAACTAAATCATGGTTTATATAGCTTGGCCTCCCTTAGAAGTAGAAAAAGAGGAGAAGTGGGAGTAAACAGAAAGATAATGCTTATGGTACATACAAAACAAATGGAGAGATTGAGTCTCACGGATTCTTCGCCTGAGCCACCAGCAAAGGTAATTTTTCCTCTGAATTATTTAATTGGAACTACAAAGTATAAAATCACTCGTATTTTGGGCTTTAAAATCATATGGCTATAAATTTCAACTTAGTTTAAATGTTTAAGATTATTAACTTTTAACTTACATTAGCTCAAAAAGTTAGAAATAGATAAAACTTTTAATGCTGCTATTTGTTTTTTATGGATGATATTTGATTATAATGCTTCACTGGTGAATTCACTAGAAGGAAAAGGAAATGGTAAATTGGATAACTGCTTTGTGAGACTTCTAAATGTTACTCTTTTTGGACTGTGCAAAATGGTTTCAAATATCGCTGAAGTTTATAGAGAATTGGCGAGACTATGTTTCTCTCCTTTTATGCAATATATATGTCTCTGAAGAATTGGTTGAAAATATAATTATTATATATAATGTAGAATTTATTAATCTAGCATCGATTAATCATCTCAGAAAAACACAAGACAAAATGGTTATTTTATAAAGTATATTTTTGATAAAAACATATTTCATAAATTTGAAAATTTGAAAATTCTATATTCTTAAAGTAGGGCATACATAAATTTGAATTTCATAATTTAGTAAAAGTGAGACATTTATTTCTGATTATCAGTGTAAATACACTTGTGACTTATTATTTCTTGTATCATGTTGAATCCTATTTCAGATAGCTCTTTAAGTAAATGAGTTATTTACATATAAAAACTGTTAAGTTACATATAAAAACTGTGAGTCAGTTGAACTATATATGAATGGTATAAAACACAAGTTATTCAAACTCATATTTGTAAAACTAATTTTCATTATTGCTTAAGCATGACAAATTATATAATAAATTAGCAAAACATTTTATAATCTTTTAGGGACAAAAATGAAGAAATCTTTGTACATTTTTGTTACTTCATCTTTTTAATATGAGCAAATATCAAAAACAAAAGCAAATATAATAAGAAAATGTCTTCTTCAATTCACATATTAAATTAGGATTTGTGAAATACTACAAAATAGGATTTGTGCTATTATAGTGGGACCTAGTATCACATTTTTATAGTAATATGCTATTGCAAAAGAAAGAAAAAGCCTAACATTTTATCCATTATTATGTACTTTAAGCAAGGAGAGCACAACCAAACTTCATAATATATTTTTGTACTTCAGAACATCAAATTTTTTCCTTTGGATATCATTGATTTTCATCAGCACACTTTTCGCTATTTTGAGAATTGTGCCAGAATTTTGAGAAAATAAAAAAATAAATGGCTTAGTGAGCATAATTAAGATGTGAGCTCGTTAAATTTGGCTAGATATATAGTTAGTTGCTTAAATTACGTAAAGCTGACAAGAAGAGGGAATTCATGCTTCAGATGTTTGCATAATTTTTCACAACTAAATAATTTGGCTTACTCAGTTTAGGTATTTCTTTTCTAGTCTGTAATGCTCATTTAAAGCTACAAAGAGTTTTAGCTGATATTACTTTTGAAGATGAGGGGGAAAAAAGAGAAATAGTCATTAAAAAAGACTCTATAGGCTCGAAAATGGACCAGAAACCTCTTTCATAGCATTATACTGAAAAAATTTAGGTGACAAATATAGGATGCTCAGAGAATGCCTCTTCCAAAAATGTGTTAAGTTTTCAAAAACAAAAGTTTGGGTAGTTATTCAGTTTTTAAGGGAAGCTTAAACCTATCTCTTTTATTTTAATTCAATGCATATAGAATAACACAATAAAGGGTAGTATTTTCCTAATTTTACAAATAAGGAGATTGTGGCTCCGAAATATTAAAAGAAATATTGTGTGTATCTGCATGAATTGTAAACGGGGGACAGAGAATTTGAAGATAGGTGTCTGATATGTGCCACATTTCAAATTCAAAGCCGAATAATGTACAGCCATGTCCTCCAGGGGACTGGTGTTTAGTGGGAAGCAGGACAGCAGATGTGCAAGTGAATGAGTACCTTCGGTGTGACAGAAGTTCTGTGTGTGACTGTATTAGAATACAGGTGAGAAAACAAAGTGGGCCTGGACCATTGAATTTGGGGATGCCTAGGGAAGGCTTTAAGGGAAGGCAACAGTTAGAAGAGTTGTCAGGAGTCCAACTTCCCTAAAAAGAGCTAAAGATAATGTGGGCATTTTTGCATCTGTTCGTCTCCTAGTCACTTCCTAGCCCCACACTCAACATATTATTTTTTGATTTCCCTTAGAATCCTGATTTCCATTTTTCTCAAGACTGCTCATTCCCTACTAAACTTACTTTCAGTCACCATATACTAGTTATAATCACAAACCCATTTCAGTTTTGGAATACCTTTTCCTTATTGTGTTATTCTATATGCATCAAATTTAGTATGCATAACTTAACTGTTGAATAAAATTCAATTTGTAATGTTATTTGTGCTTACTTATTTATTTTTTTTGGAACATCTAGGACCATGTTAACTGTCATAAGTGAAAATAAGAAGAAGAGGAAAGGAGAAAATGGGAAAAGTGAGTCAAAGGAAGACAAAGGAAAAGAGAATAGAGAAAAAAAGCGGGAAAGAAAGGGGGCAAAGGAAAAATAAATGCTTGTTAATAAATGTGAGCAGTGCTATGCTTTCACTCTTCTGCATGTGAAAGTATCAAAGCATTGAGATATAGGAAAATTTTAGGGAATATGATAAAAGAAGGATACAATTTTAAAACAGAACATAAGAGAGTATGGGAAAGATCATCGGAGGCCTAATGTATGAAATCCAAACTCTTGCTGTGATTGGAAGTCCACAAATCATTTTCCAAGTGCTCCATTTTAGTTGTAGTTATTTCAAAATAAAATTCAGTATTAAACAAAAGGTAAGACAAAAAAAGTATCAATAAGGTCAACTTAAGCTAAGCCTTCCATATAGTATAAAATGTATATGTGGAACAGAATTATTTGATCACAGGATGTGAAAATGGCAAAGTATGTTAATGGCCATTTAGTCCAAAACCTTCATTTAGGAGATGAGGAGATGAAGGTATGAATGCCTTTACCGTGTACAAACAAGAAAACATTAGGAGCCTCACATTCTGGGCTCTATTCATATTAAATGGAGGCCTGTTAACATTGATATGGAAGATGGCATATTTGTAGACTACATCTAGGAACTGTAAAAGCAAGCCCTTGAGAAATCAAGTAGAAATTCTAAAGAATCACACACACAAAAAAATAGATAGCTTAAAATACACACAAGCCATTTCAATGTGGCCAAATTGCAAGAAAAGATTCAAGGCTGAGGATGGGTGTAGTTATGGAGAAGCCCACATGAAATAAATTATTCCTCTGGTTTGTAATATCTTGTTTTCCTATGTTTTTAATGTCTTTTGCTAATTGTGGTTTGATTATAATCTTAGAAGTAGGACTGATATGAAGGTTATTTTAAAAAAATAGATTTTTTATCTTAGAATCTATTTGACACCCATGATATATATTTTTAGAGACAAATGTTTCAGAAATAATTGTGTCTAATATTCAAATTTGTTTACACTCCATGCTTTGCTCCAAGAATGCTCCATGAGCTGTCTTTGAATATGATTTAAGAGAATGAAATCCCTCTCTCCCTCCTGCTGTTTCTGTCTTTCCAATGGCTGGGAGCCTCTGGGGCAGTGTAGACATAAGTGTCCCACTCTGCTGTCAGCACAGGCTAAGATTCTTTAAGGGAGTAACCAGGACTCCTTCAGCATCAGGACCAGGGCCAGGAGTATGAAGCACTTGCCTCAGGTATGAAATTTAAAGGAATACAAAAAACAAAAACAAAAAACTCAGAAATCAAGATAAATAATATATTAATGCAATATTTTTTAAAAATCAAAATTTACGCCCCAAACTCTGTAATGCATAAAGTATCAAAGGATCAGTAAAGGTGCTGTGCTGAGCCATATTGGGGACAAAAGAAAAAGAAAATCAGTAAAGCTGATCTGAGAGCTGGGGAAAAGCAGGGCATTTTATTTTATTGGTAAGGTAGATCTTAATAATTAGGCAGCCCCGTGACAAAGAATGTTATAAAAAAGAAAGATAGAAGCAGTCATTCAGTCAGCCAACCTAATCTTTTTGATATGTTAACAGTCCTGATTAAACATGTGGCCTGAGGATGGCAAGTGAGGACCGTGCTTTGGAGATGCTGCTAAAAGCAAGTGCATAAGAGCATTCACAGCTGGACATTTCTCCCTAGAAGTGTTTTCTTTCTTTCTTTCTTTTTTTTTCCTGGCACTGCAAAGACATCAGAGTTGGTAGAAAGCAAAATGTGCCTGAGTTTAATGGGATCAACTTTAAAAACAAAAACAAAAAACCTTTGAGTTAGCCATCTGAGGTAGATGCTGGCAGGTTTGCTGTAGGCCCAATGGCACAGTAAGAAGTACGACGTGGAAATATGTCAACTGTAGCATAGCGAGAAATTGCCTTTTGTAAAATAGTCCTTCGATATCTTAAATAAACGTGATGTTTGATCATGTGGCTGTGGTTGCTTCCTTTCCCTTAGCTAATTTCTATTCATTCTCTAGTTCTTGGTTTAAATATTAGTTCTTTAAGGAAGCTATCTCTAATTCCTCAGAATCGATTAGATCTCCCATTTGTATGTTCATTGGACCACATATGTAGCATTCATCAGAATGATGTGTTTCAGTCAGGGAAACAGAAATCGTACTAGGTCTTTCAAGGAGAGTGAATCTAATAGAGAGAATTGGTTACATAACTGGTGAAAGCATTGAAAGCAACAACTGAAAATGAGGTAACTCAGAGACTGAGAATGTATTTGTGACTTCCGGGGGTGCATAGCAGGGGCTAGAACCACCAAAGAGGAAAATTTGGCAAGGGATAGTATGGCAGAAGAGGAAAAACCAGGGCCAAGGCTGAGACCCCTGTGAAAGGTTTCCAGTCCCTTTCAGAGATACCACCACAAAACAAAGAGAGAATTAATATCCAAGAGAGGAAGATCCGCGATTTCTCCCCTCCTACTACCCTCTAATCTTGCACCAATGCCTCTTATTGGCCAAACCAAACTGGAAGTCAATTGGCAAAAAATTCTAGAAGATAGAGTTTGCAGGGATATATCTGGTTTCCTGTGATAATAAAACAGAACCTGGGAGAAAGGAATTAGGCTGATGCAAATATTAATACTTAATATCTTAAAGAATTATATATTCATTAATGCTATTATAAGTGCAATGCCAATCTCTCTAGGCAGTCTGTAATTTCCATGGATCAGGAATGTATCTGCCTTGTTCATTAATATATATTCCCAGTCCATTTCATAGCATCTAACCCATAGAAGATTTTGAATAAATAAAAATATACCTGAATGAATGCCATCATTCCTACCATGCTTTCAAGAATTATGAAACTCTTGAAGGAGTACATGTTAGTTACGTACTCCTTCAAAAGTGATTTTGAATAGGAGCTCAGTGATATACCAGGAGATAGTAAAGCCTCCATCTGAAGAAAGTGAGGAATGGAGATAGAGAAAGAAAAGGAGGTGCATTTGAAATCGACAGAGTTTCAGAGCCTGGAAAAATTCTTTTTTCTCTAAGCCTGGACTGTTCTATGCATCTCACCCTCTCATTTCATAGGTCACCCAGTACATATATCAACTTGGGAGGATGTTTATAAGGAATAGGAAGACTAGCATCATTTGAAGAATGGCCATTGAGTTCAAGATGCATAACTAAAATTAAAGAACAGTCCTCTTAATGTCTGTTTCAAGGCAATGGTTAGCTGGCCCTGTGTACTTTACCACTAAGAGCAGAAACACTCTTCTCTCCTTACAATTTCATCTAATCCCCTGCTTTAAGAGATGGGTCACAGACATGAGATTTTAAAACCTGGGGACACTTTTCTGTTTTCTTCCTTTTTCTATGATTCCAGTTACATGTGTTATCAGGCCACTTGAAGTTATCTCACAGCTCACTGGTGTCCTCCTAATTTTTTAAGTCTTTTTCTGTCTTTGTTTAATTTTGTCCAACAATTTCTGTTGCTGTTTCTTTAACTTTCCTAATCTTTTTTTTATGCAGTGTCCAATTCATTCCAATCTTACCTAGTGGTTTAAAATTTTTACTTCATTATACATTTTATTTGGTTTGCTAAAATAGTAAAGGAAGGAAGAGCTTTTTTTTTTCCTCTTTGTCCAATTATTGTTAATTACTACTGGTAAAGTGAATGATCAGAGGAGGAATGCAAAACAGAAAGCAATAACCACAACTGTGACAACAAAGAAATTAAAAATAGCCAGCTGGGCACGGTGGCTTACGCTGTAATCCCAGCACTTTGGGAGGCCGAGGTGGGTGGATCACGAGGTCAGGAGTTTGAGACCAGCCTGACCAACACGGTAAAAACCCGTCTCTACTAAAAATACAAAAATTAGCCGGACATGGTGGCTCATGCCTGTAGATCCCAGCTACTCAGGAAGCGGAGGCAGGAGAATCCCTTGAACACAGGAGGCGGATTGCAGTGAGCCGAGATTGCGCCAGTGCACTCCAGTCTGGGCAACAGAACGAGACTCTGTCTCAAAAAAACAAAACAAAACGAAACAAAACAAAAACACCCACAACATCGCCACCACTGCCTAACCTAATTTGCTCAAAGGATAAGGGATGTCATTGCTATTTGTCCAGCCTGTTGGTATTTCCTGCTTGCAAGTTTTTCCAGTCTTCAGGCTGGGATTTATATTGTCCAGTATAATTTTTATTTGAGGCATTGTACTTTCTTCCTCTATAACTTAGATTTAGGTTTTAAAAATATCTTTCGTGGCTCGCCTCAACATGCTTATGCTTTCCTCTACCTTCTTGAACATATGGTGTGGGGTCATAGTAGCTGTTTTAATGTGCTTTTACTATCTCTGTCATTTGCTTCATTCATTGGTCAGTTTTTGTTGAATGATTTTTCTCCCTCTCATTGGTCATATTTTCCTAATTTCTTGCATGACTAATAATTTTTGCTTGGATATCGACCATTGTGAGCTTATGGAATTTTTAGTATTTTTTTAAGAAAATATTTTTGAGCTTTGCTCTAGGATGCAATTAAGTCGCTCAGAAACATATTTATCCTTTCACAACTACTTTTTCAACTTTGCTAGGTGGAACCAGAGGAGGCTGGTTTTGTCTCCATTACTAAGGCAATACGATTCTGAGTACATTTCTTGATGTATGTCCTGTGTAATATAATATTTCTCCCCTCTGGCTTTTGGAAATAACCATTCCCAGCTTTATGTGATTTCTGGAAATTGTTCCTTCTGCTCCTTTCCAGTCATTGCCTGGTCTCATGTAGTTTGCTTACACACATGCCCTGATCAGTACCCGCTTGAAGACTCTAGGGGAACCCTCTGCAGATCTCAGGAGCTTCTTCTCTTTGCAGCTCTTTTTACTTTGGTAAACTCTGCCCTGCAAATTCTAACTGCATTGAGCCTCCCAAATTCTCATCTCTGTCTTCTCAATTCAAAAAGAACACTGGACTCTGTTTAGATCCCCTCTTCTTGGGTTTATTCCCTAGTTTATTTTCTTTTATCAGGATCATGCTTCTGTGGTGCCTGTTGTTCCATGTCGGAAAATTGTTTCATATGTTTTCTTTGACTTTTTAGTTGTTTAAGGTATGAGGGTAAATATGATCCTTGTTCTTCTATCTTGGCTGGCAATGGGAGTCCTTGACATTTTTTAACTGAACTAAACTTTTTGCGCAAATTGCTCCTAAATACCACTTTTTTATTAATTCAAAGTTTAATCTAGGTGTACTTGGAGAGATGAGTATTACTCTGCACCCTCAATAAGAAAGGGTTTACTACCTTTTTTTTTGAGAAAAAGTGGTCACAGAGAGATTTATATTTGTTTAAACTATTCTACTTCCTGTATTGGGAAGAAATGAAAAATCTTCTAGAAATTTTATCTTTGTTTACATCCAAGGTGCTTCCTGAATTAGTATGGATGGAAAACAAATATTTAACCCAGTGAAACAAATCAATTCAGGTTTCAGTAGTATTTTATAAACCAATTAAATCTGTCACTTCATATTATCTGAGACTAGATATGTCCATGCATTATTTCATCCATTAAAATGTAAATCTCCCAAATATAAAAATTTTTATAATGATATTAAGAGATAAGCATATTTGTCCTGTTGAATGAAAAAAAAAATTCCATTGTAACAAGTTCTCATTTTGGAAAAAAACCAAAACCAAAACCAAAAAACAAACCCTACTACAAGGAGAAGAAAAATCCAACTGAAGAATAAAAATTTCAACAGCTAGGTCTGGGCACAGTGGCTCATGCCTGTAATTTCAACACTTTGGGAGGCCGAGGTGGGCGGATCACTTGAGGACAAGAGTTCAAGACCAGCCTGGCCAACATGATGAAACCCCATCTATACTAAAAATACAAAAATTAGCCTGGTGTGGTGGTGGGTGCCTGTAGCCCCAACTACTCAGGAGGCTGAGGCAGGCGAATTGCTTGAGTCCAGGAGGCAGAGGTTGCAGTGAGCTGAGATCGTGCAACTGCACCCCAGCCTGGGTGACAGAGCGAGACTCCATCTCAAAAAAAAAAAAAAAAAAAAAATCTGACATAATATCAAAGGAAATATTCTATGTTTAGATTAATGTTACAAGAAATCTATTTTGAATTTAAGATTGATCATTCTTTTAAAAGAAATTCAGACTTTCTCACATATTTCTTTATTTTCATATGCTACTGATTAAGCATGTGAAATGCCAGAAAAACTCACTAAACAGTGCACTGCATTCTTTCTAAAGGAGACCAATGAGAATACTGTGGTTTGGATAAAATTATGTTTAAATTATGTTTAGAATTCATAATTTTAGAACTCCAAATCCTGATTTTACATTAATTATAGTCATTTAAGAGGGATGCATACAAAAATTAATGTTTAGCACTTTGATTCCGGATAAAGCCATATATCAGGAAGGCATTATTTTAATATAAACAAATATGATGTGGGTTTGAGTCACACTCACATGCCTTCCAATCACCCTTACTCTACCTCTGAATGCTAATATAAGAACATGAAAACTCTTCTTATGAATTTTTAAGTGTTAGTTTCACTTCCTTTAGCATAATATTAAAATAGCATTCCCCTAACTATACACTCTGCAAGAAAACAATGTGACAATAAAAATGCAAGCATTTTATTTGAAGAGTAGGTGCCAGGGTTGTTGCTGTTGTTTTTCCTTAATATCCCCAACCATGTGATATATAACCGTGTGACTGTGGTGGTTTGGTTGTCAAGCAGAAAGGTAGGTCATAGTTTTTATTTTATTTTTTTTAATGCCATTGAATTATAGTTCTAGTTTCTCCAAAATAAAACTGACAAGAATGTCCAGTGTTGATACATGTATTCAATATTGTATTGGGTGTCCCAGCTGTTCTAATGCAATTTATTCCCTGAATTCTAAAATTTACTAAATAATTTTTTTCTATTGTAAAAATAATTCATGCATGTCATTGAAAATCTTGAAAATAGAGTGAAGTTGAGAATGGGCACTTATAGTTCCACCACCCAAAGAAGAGGAGCTTAAACAGAAGTAAGGCCTTCTGATTAACACTGAGCAATTTTAAGTAAGAAATACAAGACTAGTAGTAAAACTATGAAAGCAAACAAAGCATAACAACTATACTTTTATAGTTGTTAAAAGTTAATTTTAGATTAAGTGTGAAAAAGATGTTGGTGTTTTGGAATATGTAATTATTTGGAGGTTAAAAGCCAACAGAAACAAACTTCTCAATTTCAGAATTTACTTGGTGGGGAAACAAGATAGGGAGGAGAAAGTATATTTGGTTTTGTCAAATTTCCATTTGGTTTTATGTTGACTGTTGTAAAGGAGTTTACTGCATGGATGCCCCATTGCCTAGAGTCAAGACAAACTACATGAAGAAATAATGTTTAATAGCTGAGTCCAGTGATGAACACTTAATGTCTCGGAGTTCTTTATTGTCTGATCTCAGGAGAAAAGGCTGAAAATTAAGAGTTTTTGTTTTATTTAGTTGGATGTGGAATGCAGGAGTTGGGACAATGGGAGCAATTTTAAGCCAGAAATAAACTTTACTTTTTCATGAGTTATTATTTTAATTGTACATTGCTGGTTTTCATTTGCTAATAAATATTTTAGGATATCTCCATCTCTGTTCATCAATGATACTAATTTTCTCCACTGTGTACTTACTGCAGGCAATAAAAATACATTGAGGAATACAATTTCTTTTCCTCAAAACTTTGAAAGAGTTTTTATAATATCAGAATAATCTCTTCCATTAATTTTTGTGAAATTCTCCTTATAAAATTATAGAAGCCTTGGGTTATCCTTTGGGAAGATTTTAAACTATTGGTTAAATTTCCTTAATAAGACTATAATAGTTTTCTGCTTTTACTTGATTCAGTTCTAATAGTTTATGTCTTTGGTGATTTCTTAATTTCACTTGGGCTTTCAAATTTATTGGTGTAAACTTGTTTTTAATATCTTTTTAACTCTCACCAGCATCTAGTTATGTCTTCCCTCTCATTCCCTACATTATGTATTTGTGAATTATATTTATTCCCCTTGGTCAACTTTGCTGGAGGTTATTTTTGTTATTTCTCTAATAACTAACTTTTTTGATGGTTTTAACTTTATATTTGCATTGTTTTTTACTGAGTTCAGCTCTAATAATTATTTTTTCATCCTTCTTTTTCAGAGGCAATTCTGCTATTCTATTTCTCAGTTCATTAAGTTGGATGCTTAGCCATTTTTGTCAGTTTCAAAGATTTTAACTGGATACACCATAATTCTTTCGGTTTTCCTTTTTACTCTATCAATCATTCTTTCTGGATCCATTTACCCTTATCTCCCTGATCGCTTAAAGTTTCTCAGAGATTAGTCTTTGGGCCATTTTTTTTTTTTCTGTATCTACAGTCCTTCTCTTGATGATCTCATCGAGTGTTGTGCGTTTAATTAGCGACCCTATGTGAATGACTCGCAGATTTACATCTATAGTGAAAAACCTTTCTCCAGAGCTCCTGACTAAATTGTGCAACTTCTGGTTTGCATCTACACACTGATGTCTAATAGATGTTTCAAACTCAACATTCCCGAAGAAAATTGCTGATGTCTTCCCTCTTCCTATTGAAGCTACTTCATCCATAGCCGCAATGGAGGTTAAAGATCCCTTCTTTTTTTCCAGTATTTTGGACAAAATAATTCAGTTATCTAGAGTCTCCTCTTGCCCAATCTATTAGGAAATCTTGTCATTTTATACTCAAAATAAATCCAGAATCCAGCCACCTCTCACCATTTCACTCCTTCTGTTCCTGCTTCTGTTCCCTGCTCTGAAACAACCACTTCTCACCACTCCATTGCTCTGTTCGTGGATTCTGTTCCCTGGTCTAAACCGTCCTCATCTTGAGCCTGGATTACTTCAATGTCTCCTAATTAATTTCCCTTTTGTCTCACCCTTCACCCCACCCATAGCACTATATACTTTCAAAGAGCAGTTAGTGTGATCCTGCTAAAATTCATGTCAACACTTCACTCGCTCCTCTTTCATTTACTATCTCACTGAGTAAAAGCCAAAGTCCTTAAATTGGCCCCTGCTCACTGGGTTCCATCCACATTGGCCTCCTGTTTCTGGAATACTCTGACCACAGGGCTTTGTACTGTCTATTATCTCTGTCTGGAACACTCTTCCTTGCAAGAAACCCCTAACTAAGTTGAAGTCTTTGCTTAAATCTCGCCTTCTTTATGAATCCTCTTCCAATAGCCCTATTTAAATTTGTAGACCTCTGCTACTTGTCAATCTTACTTCCCTTATCTGGGTCCATTCCTTTCACAGCATATTTTACTTATTTATTAGAGTTATTATTTATTGGCTCTTCCCCCCATTGAAATGTAAACTCTAGTGGAGCAGGAATATTTTTTGTCTATTTTATCCACTGATGGATTCTCATCACTATCCAACACATAGTAAGTACATAATATATTTTTGTTAAATGGAGTGAATGATTGAATGAGAGATAATTTCATAGGGTATAAGATTCTACGTTGACAGCTACATTTTTGTTAGTACTTTGAAGTTATTACTTTCCACTCTTCCATTATTGTCACTGAGAAATCATCCATCTCAGCAAACTATTGCAAGGACAAAAAACCAAACACCGCATGTGCTCACTCATAGGTGGGAATTGAACAATGAGAACACTTGGACACAGGAAGGGGAACATCACACAATGGGGCCTGTTGTGGGGTGGGGGGAGGGGGAAGGGATAGCATTAGGAGATATACCTAATGTAAATGACGAGTTAATGGGTGCAGCACACCAACATGGCATATGTATACATATGTAATAAACCTGCACGTTGTGCACATGTACCCTAGAACTTAAAGTATAATAAAAAAAATATAAAAAGATAAATCATCCATTAGTCAATTCATTGTTCTTTTTAGCTAATCTGTCTTTTCCTTTTGGATGTTTTAAGAACTCTTTGTCTTTGATATTCTGCACTTTCACTATAATATGTCTAGATATAGATTTCTTTTATGTAATTCTGATAAAAACCTTGAACTTCCTATATTTGAGGATTAACATCTTTCATCATATTAGGAAATGTCTGTCACTATATTTGTGAATATTTCTTCTACATCTTTTTTCTCATCCATTTCTGAAACTCTAATTAGACAGATATATGTTGGAATCTCTATTTTTACATCTTTTAACTTTAATATTTTCCACTCTTTTGATTCTCTGTGTTTCATTTTGAGTAACTTATCCAGATATGTCTCGCAGTTCACAAATTTGTCTTCATCTTTGGCTAATCTGTTGCTTAATCCAAACTTTGAGTTCCTAATTCTAGTTATCACATTACTCACTTCAAAAAATTTTATTTTGTTCTTTTTCAAATATGTCTGGTCAGCTCCCATAATATTTTCTTTCTTCATTGCACTTTCAGTAGTCTCTTTTATTTATTTAAATATATCAGGTAAACTCATTTTGTAGGCTTCTTCTGATTATTATAAAAGCAACCATCTTTGATGGCCTTACTTGACAGTTACTAGTTTAAATCTTGGTTCTCCCTCATGATTGTTTGTTCCTTGGTATTTGGTGGACTTTTTCACTGTGAGCCAATCTCAGAGCATTAACTATGGGACTTTCTTAAGGTATGTATTAAAATGAGTTTGTCTATAGAAGGTTTGGGTTCCTTTTGTCAGGAAACTGTGTATCCTACCAACCCTGGATCACTTTAATCTGCATTTTCTAATAGGTTATTTTGAACCATATAGGTGATGTGAATTCTTGCCTTAGACACCTGAGATGGAGGCTTGTGATTAGGAATTGAAGATCATTAAATTTCTCCAACCTCTTTCTGCCCTCCACTCAGAGGCAAAGCTGCAATAGGCAGGTATCTCCATAGACACTAAACAGGGATATTTCTTTCAGACACTGACAATAATGCTCTTTTTTCAAGGCTCCTGGTTTTGGTAGGTTTTCTTTGTTATACTCAGGTCCTGGACTCCGCCTGTCATCCCTCAAGTGGAAACTTACTGAGTCTAGAACTCTGTTTTGTCAGGGATTGGCAAGCAGTACCGGGCAAATTCCTACTCTGAGACTTACTTGTCTTTGTAGATCTGCAGTTGCTCATGTTTCTGCTGGTTGGGGAATTCCTTGACTGTCTTCCCTTGCCAAGACAGGTGTCAAAATGATTTTTAAACTGCTAGTTAACATTATTGGGTATACTGTACTCGTAGGTTTTTCACTTAATTACTTGTCTTCCATTATTGCTGGAAACAGAATTCAAACTTTCATTTCCTGTCAGTGTTTGTTTTACCTTTATCTATTACTTTGAATTTGTCATCTCAGTTTTAATTTGAGTTCAAAAATATAAAGGAAATAGTGATAGTTGATTTTTAATTATGTACCATACTTGAGTCTTAAAGTCTTACTTTATTGGTTGTTATAGGGGTTTTGGCATTTTAACTTATAAGCAGTCTGAGAAGTTTTGCCTGCTCTAGAATGACCTGATTTTAGTGGATGCCATGGACATTTCTAAGTCAGTAAGTGAAGAATTCAAGTCCATTTGTGTGTGGATTCAGTCTGGCACCTGGACCTAAGTTAATCCAAAATAACTTGGGTTCCTGAGAGTATGTCTGAAACTGAAACTCCTTGAGACCTGATAATATCTCCTAGGTCCCTCAACAAATCAAAAGTTTCTTTTTGGCTTCTAGGATCTTGGTATTTGTGTAGAAATACTCTGGCTTCTAAGAATTGCCTGTAATTCATTGAGCTCAGAGCATCTGCTAGATGTGAGTCTAACGGTTATGGTCTTTTATGTGTGTGCACCAAAGGAAGTGGTCTCTGTGCTGTGAGTTGATGAGTGCTGCCTGACCCCTTCTGACCCAGTGATTTTTCTCCTCTGTTCGTCTGTGGCCTAGAGATGACTGTTTTAGCTACTTCACATGGGACAGCAAAAGCAGGAGTCACAATCATCAGTTAGCTCAGGGGTGGGGGTGAGATTTGTAGATATCAATTTACTCTCTCATGAGCATGAATTTTATTATTAGTAAGGTGACCATCATTTGGGAAGGAAGAGAAAAGATTAGGACAGGTGAATTTTCAGGGAGAGAAGAGGAACCAGTCTCAAGCTGTTTGAATAATTTAGTCTTGTGAAAAGAATAATTCCACAAATCAAAACTTTCCTAAGGTAAAAGGAAAAAGGTGGGGTGATTGTTATAGAATACAGTTTTATTTGTATTTACTTTTACTTTTTTGCTACAGTTGGCTAGGATTACATTTTTCCTAGCAATATAGTCTATATTAGTCAGGGTTCCTCAGAGAAACAGAATCTATCTATTTATCTGGAGAGAAAGAGAGAGAGATAGGGAGAGAGAGAGTGGTAACTGACTCACATGACTGGTGGGCTGGCAGACTGGAGATTCAGGTAAGAACTGATGTTGCAGTCTTGAATCTAAAATCTTCTGGGCAGGGCAACAGATGAGAAACTGAAGTAGGAATTCTATGCTGCAATCTTGAGGCAGAATTGCTGCTTCTTCTGGAAATCTTAGTCTTTACTCTTAAGGCTTTCAACTGATTGGATGAAGCCGACTCATATTATGGAGATTAATTTTCTTTATTCAAAGTCTACTGATGTAAATGTCAATGTTGAGGCCAGGCATGGTGGCTCATGCCCGTTATTCCAATGCTTTGGGAGATGGAGGTGGGAGGAGCGTTTGAACCCAGGAGTTTGAGACCACCTTGGGCAACGTAGTGAGATGCCCATTTCTAAAAAAAATAATAAATGTCAGTGTAAATCACATTAAAAAATACCTCCATACCAAAATCTAGACCGTGTTTGACCAAACAAACTGGGCATTGTAGCCTGGCCAAGTAGACACAAAAAATTAACAATCACAAATCTTATAAAATTTTAGTGGACTGCCTGCCGATTTCAGTTAACATGATTCAGTTTGCCAAAACCTGTAACCTTTGGGTTATGCCTTGTGAATACTTCAGTTTAATAATCCAAATACCTAGATGAGTGATATTTCTTAGAGTTATTGTGTTGAGGCTCTACCTTTTCTTTGTTTCATTTTTTTTTTTTTGATGGAGTCTCACTCTGTTGCCAGGCTGGAGTGCAGTGGCACAATTTTGGCTCACTGCAACCTCTGACTCTGGGTTCAAGCGATTCTCCTGCCTCAGCCTCCTGAGTAGCTGGGATTACAGGCGTGTGCCACCATACCTGGCTAATTTTTGTATTTTTAGTAGAGACAGCGTTTCACCATGTTGGCCAGGATGGTCTCGATCTCCTGACCTTGTGATCTGCCTGCCTTGGCCTCCCAAAGTGCTGGAATTACAGGTGTGAGCCACCGCGCTCGGCGAGGCTCTACCTTTTCTTAATAGCTGAGTGTCAGTAGAATCAATAAATGTTTATAAAAACCTAGGAAAATGAAGAATGTCTGGGAGCCCTTCATCTCTAGTCTCTTCTGTGATTTCCCTTCTCCCCATAAACCTGTACTAAACATTATAATTAAGGGCATTGTGATATGTTTGCAGAAGGAGTAGGGACAGAGACTTGCTGGAGGCACCTGGAGAGTGTGTTTCCTCACTTCTCTGACTCTTCCCAGATCCTTTTCTAATTGCTAGGATCCCGCAGTTCCCTATAGAAGCATCAATCATATACACAGCAAGGGGTGATGTGCAGAACTCAGTTTGGAAAGACATCTATTCAGTTTCTTGATTTAGACTTCAGCAATTTCAGTTCACTAAATATGTTTTCTCTGTCTACTTCCAGCTGGGAAACCCTGGACTGATGTTTGTCCCTTTCATGTTGCACTTCATTCAGCTTTTCGTCCTGGAATGAGAATTATTAACCCTCATATCCTCTGCTTGGCTTATTCTGCATTTTTTATAAAGGTCTGTTATGACAACCTCTCTGTATTGATTAGGGGAGTCTGGTCTTCTGTATCAAAAAGATCTCATAGTATAGAGGTGCAGATAAGATAGGAGTTTATTTTCTCTTGTGTGAATAGTCCAAAGTCAGGCAGGTGGTCTGAAGATCTTGGTAGAATCTTTTCTCCTGAAGGTCAACCAGTATATTTGTTGGTAGATTGGGTCTGTCCTTCTCAAATGTATTTTTGTCTCTGGTTCAAGGCAATTGTCCCAGTGGTCACCAT